>NC_000002.12:100822951-101125981 GCF_000001405.40 Homo sapiens
AGAAGTGTCTGATTAGCATGTTCCTGATCCTCGTTCTATTTGTAGCAAAGATGGGAGGTCAGGGACTGTCACATTTCATATTCCCCACAGCATCTCATCTCGATGGGGCCTTGTTCAGAATAGATGCTCAGTAAATAGGTGTGGGAAATGAGCTGAATTGTTGGTGGTCACTATCCAAAGGTGAGAAATTTCTGAATGCTAATGGGGTACTTAACTATGAGTAATTCTATTTTAAATCTCAAGGTGATGATGATTAATAGTATCTCAGGGCACTAAATAAACATGTATTAAATATGAGCGTATGTTTAAAGGGGGAGTTTTTAATGCAGTCTTTAAGGCACAACTGCTTCTCACTTGAATTCTTTAACTGAGATTAAGGAGTCCTTGGCATTTTAAGCAAAGTCATTTCTTAGGTAAAGTTCCCCCAGAGACCACTTGAACTTTTGCAAGTCTTAAAACAATGGGTGGTTCCATTTGATGGTTCAGAATAGAAAGGAGAGTGTTGATCCTCTACACTGGTATGAAAAAAACTGTATAAGGAGATGGAGGATGCTGGATATCATAGTGCCCGAGAATCACCTGGGGCCCTTGTCAAACACAGATTCTAACTCAGGACACCTGGGAGAGGACCCGAGCTGCATTTCTCACAGCTACCAGATGCTGCACGCTGGCAAGGTTTTGGGATGCACTGAATCCAGTTCAGCATGTTTACTGAGCATATACCACATAGAGAGCCCAGATGATAAAAAAATGAGAAGATGGGTTGTACCTGCCCTTGAGGAGCTAACAAGGTGAGGTGGCAGGGAGAGAGAGAGGGATTGTAAACTGAAAATGAGGTTCTGGGATGCCATTCTCTGGGGTGGTGGCCAGAAAGGGGCCCAGGAAAGGAGAGTTGCTGGTAGGGCTTCCACATTGCTGACCTTGACCTGTAGTCATATTTGAATGGAGAGCCTTGTGACTTGGCAAGAAATAAAATGCAGATTTTGAAGTCAGACAGACCTGGGGTAGCCTCCCAGCTCAGCTATGGCAACTTTTAACCTGAGACTCAGAGTCCTTGTCAGAAAAACAGTGCAAATGATGCTTACCTTGCCAAGTTTGTAGAATTACCAGTAAAGGACGCGTGTTAGGCCTAACAAAAGTGATTGCTTTTATTACTGTTGATAGGAGAGAGGAGGCTGGAAAGCAAGGAGGACGAAGAGGTTACTAAAATATGTTCCATGTAGTTCACCAATTAGAGATTCAATTTGGTTTACCAGCAAACCCAAGGCCGGCCGTGGAGAACCGGGCCAGGGCTGGAGGGCAGGCAGCTGTGGAAGCTAATCAGAGGCAAAATGGAAAATTATTGGGAGCATGCTTATCTCCACCCTCTCCTGCAGTCCCTGGCTTCTGGTTTGCTTTGTTGATAGCCCTTCCTAGGATATTTTCATCTGAAGCTTTTCTTGGTACTTAAGCTGTAGGTTCTGTTGATCAAGACTGCTAGTGGCAATCAAGCGCTCTTTAAAAATGTAGTGGAGAGGACAAACACCTCTCCTCTTTGAGGGGCATTGGTCTATTCTGTGGTGGGTCACTTTCCAGGATCAAAGCCATCAATCTGTCTTTCCACCATAGTACGAGTTACTTGAAACTAGTGCCGAGCGTGTTGGAATTCACCTGGGGTGCCTTTTATGCTTTGCACTCTAAGATATTGCTTCCTCCTGCCATCTAGGAGAGATGGATATTGCAAGGCAATGGTGTCCTTCACCCTGATATTAGGAGGGGTCACCTGGGTGGCCCTGAAAACACTTCAACCAACATCACTCTGATTTTTTAAAATATATTTTGGGATTCCATTTATTATTTGCAAAGGCGATTTCTCTGCTACCATTTGCCTTCCACGCTCCCTGAAAGTAAATCTTGAAAACCAAGTTCTAAGAGAATGGCAATGGCAGTTTGATGTTTAGGGGGAAGGAAAAGCAGAGGAACCCCCTGGAGCCAAGGCAGGCCTGGGTGAGGGTGGAGACGAGAGAGGGAAAGGAAGGCATCGTCAGGCATGGGAGTACCAGGATGGAAATGGGAGCAGTGGTGGGGGCTGAAGCTGAGAGGTTGGACCCTAGGACTCAATTTGTGGACTTTGTTGCTTTGCTGAAGGCCGTGGCAGATAATGTTCCCAGACCACTGAAAATCATCCAGGCTTCCAGAAAACACAGGCCCATCTAAAGACAGACAGGTGACGAGGTGACAGAACCTAGTGGCGTGATTCTTCTAGCCTCTTCTGAGCCAAAAATGACATGCACAATTTTATGAATGATATTTGTGCCCCTTGGTGATAAAATATTAAGAGCTCGAGGTCATCTGAAAATTATTGGTTTTTTGTTTATAAAAGTACATAGTTTTTGGAAAAGATAGAAAAGAAGGAAAAAACCCCACAATTTCAAGATATATTTTCCGTTCAGTGTTTTTTCTATGCATTGAAATATTTTTATATTAGTTTATCTTAAAAAGCACATGGATATAATCTTGTAAAAATTTTCAAATAGCACAGAACCATTTCTAGTAGAAAGAAAAAAAATTCCCTTCATCCTTGTGGCCTACCCATAATCATCGCCCTATCTTTTATTTGCCTAGCAGAAACTGGATTTTGTACAGTAGACTGCCAACCCACACCTGCCTCTGGAGGTTTATCAGATTGGCCACTCAACCCTGGTGAGGGTGGGGCTGCTGCCCTTGCCAGTGACTGGCTCAGGGTGAGCATGCGGACCCTGTTCTAGCCAATAAAATGTGAGGGTGGGCCACTGGGAGGCTTCTGGGAAAGTTTCCCTGCTCTCAAAAGAGACAAGGAAGGAAACAGTCCTTTCCTTCCACTAGATACTGTGATATGTGGCCATAATGCCTGCAAACTGGGCAGCCATCAGCCACCAGAGGGGCTGGGCCAGGTCTCAGCTGACCTGCGGAAGAATGCAAAGGTGAAGAAGGGCAGGGGGCGGGGAGGTCTCCGTGGTGCCCTTGACTTTCTGAATTACACAAAGAAGAGTCTGTTTTTGAACATGTGTGAGATCATGAAACCATTACCAGATGAAGCAAACTGAGCTAGTTTTTCTGTTGTAGCCAAAAGCATCCCATAACTCTCCACCTTTCTCAGGAGGTAATGACTGATAACCATGGGGCATGTTCTGCTAGTCATTTTTGGCGCATTTACATATACACACACATATGTACACTTTTAAAAACTAAGGCCGGGTGCACTGACTCACGCCTGTAATCCCAGCACTTTGGGAGGCCGAGGCGGGCGGATCACGAGGTCAGGAGTTCGAGACAATCCTGGCCAACATGGTGAAACCCTGTCTCTACTAAAAATATAAAAATTAGCTGGGCATGGTGGCACATGTCTGTAATCCTGGCTACTCAGGAGGCTGAGGCAGGAGAATCACTTGAACCAGCGAGTCGGAGGTTGAAGTGAGCCAAGATCCTGCCACTGCACTCCAGCCTGGCAACAGAGCAAGACTTTGTCTCAAAAAAATAAAATTAAACTAAAAAATAAAAACAAAAACTGAACTCATTTTATGTATATTATTTAGCAACTTAATATGGCATGGATTTTTAATGACATACCTTTTTCTTTATTTTTAAAGGCTACAGAGTATTATTCAGAAGTACAAATAGGACGTTATTTAACCCATCCCTATTAATAAATAATCTATTGAGTTGACTGTTACAGTTTTTGTATTAACTTCCTTATCTGTATATCTTTATGTACATTTCAAGATTTTCTAGGTCAGGGATTATTAGGCCTGGGTAAAGGCACACCTGTTTGAAATATTGATAGATGCTGCCAAATTGGGGGCTAAAAAAAGCTATGCCTGTTAACCTCCCCATCTACAGTGTGTAAGGCCGCCTTGTCTCCATATCTTAACTAACACAAGATATTTTCCAGCTTTTAAATCTTTTTTGTGCATTTTCACATGTTTGAGGTAGTACCATTTATAGTTTTCTATTCTGATTGTTTTGACGTGAACATAAGCATTTTTCCATGACATAAACAATTTAAATTAAATTTTATTGGCTACATAATAGTTATACTTGTTTTGGGAGTGTATCGATGGTACATGAAGACGCAAAGGGAAATATTTGAAATAGAGGTTGTCTATGAAAATTAAGTGGCTATGATCGACCTTGCAGTAAACCTGAAAGATTTTCTGGAAATGGTGTTGGGAGACACACCCCTCCAGTGATATGTTTCCAAGAAAACCCTGAGGAGATGACCTTCCAGGCCTTTCTCAATCCAGTCAGATGGTAGGCTGCCCCAAGCATTTCTAAGAAGCTTTGTTGCTTTTAGAATCCATCAGATTTACAGTCAGACAGGTTCTAAATTCAGTTCTCTGAATGTACAGTAGTTACGTAAACACTTCGTACATTGCATGAGACAGCTGAAAAGTAAATTTGCTGTATTCTTTTAATTTTTTCGACTTTTATTTTAGATTCAGGGGATACATGTGCAGGTTTGTTACCTGGGTATATTGCATGATACTGAGGTGTGGGGTATGAATGATCCTATCACCCAGGTACTGATGTAGTACCCAATAGTTAGGTTTTCAGTCCTTATCCCCTGGCTCCCTGCTCCCTCCAGTAGTCTTCAGTACCTGTTGTTGCCATCTTTATGTCCACAAGTACCCAATGTTTAGCTACCACTTATAAGTGAGAACATGCAGTATTTGGTTTTCTATTTCTGCATTAATTCACTTAGGATAATGGCCTCCAGCTGCATCCACGTTGCTGTAAAGGACATGGCTTCATTCTTTTTATGGCTGCATAGTATTCCATAGTATATATGTAACACATTTTCTTTATCCAGTTCACTGTTGATGGGCATCTAGGTTGATTCCATGTCCAGTAGACATGGACATGGAATCACGATTGCTATTGTGAATAGTGCTGTGATGAACATGTGAATGCATATATCTTTTTGGTAAAATGATTTGTTTTCTTTTGGATAGATACTACTATCAGTAGTGGGATGGCTGGGTCAAATTAGTAGCTCTGTTTTAAGTTCTTTGAGAAAGCTCCAAACTGCATTCCACAGTGGCTGAACTAATTTACATTCCAGTCAACAGTGCATTAGTGTTCTCTTGTCTCCACAGTCTCTCCAGCATGTGTTTTTTGACTTTTTAGTAATAGCCATTCTGGCTGGTGTGAGATGGTACCTTATTGAGGTTTTGATTTGCATTTATCTGATGATTAGTGATATGGAGCATTTTTTTCATGTTTGTATGTCTTCTTTTGAGAAGTGTCTGTTCATGTATTTTGCCTATTTTTAAATATGGTTTTTGTTTTTTTTGCTTGTTCAGTTGTTTAAGTTCCTTATAGATTCTGGATATTAGACCTTTGTTGAATGAATAGTTTGTAAATATGTTCTCCCATTTATGTAGGTTGTCTGTTTACTCTGTTGATAGGTTCTTTTTCTGTGCAGAAGCTCTTTAGTTTAATTAGGTCCCACTTGTTAATTTTTGTTTTTGTTGCAATGGCTTTTGAGGACTTTCTTTCCCAAGGCCAGTGTCCAGACTGATGTTTCCTAGGCTTTTCTCTAGGATTCTTATGATTGAAGTCTTACATTTAAATCCTTAATTCATCTTCAGTTAATTTTTGTATATGGTGAAAGGTAGGGGTCCAGTTTCATTCTTCTGCATATGGCTAGCTAAATATCCTAGCCCCATTTACTGAAGAGAGAGTCCTTTCCCCATTGCTTATTTTTGTCAACTTTGTTGATGCTCAGATGGCTGCAGGTGTGTGGCTTTATTTCTGAGTCCTCTCTTCTATTCCATTGGTATATGTGCCTGTTTTTGTACCAGTACCATGCTGTTTTGGTTACTGTAGCCTTATAGTATAGTTAGAAGTTGGGTAATATGATGTCTCCAGCTTCGTTCTTTCTGCTTAGGATTCCTTTGGCTATTCAAGCTCTTTTTTGGTTCCCTATGAATTTTAGAAGAGTTTTTTCTAGTTCTGTGAAAAATGACATTGGTTGTTTGATAGGAATAGCACTGAATCTGTAGATTGCTTTGGGCAGTATGAGCATTTTAATAATATTGATTCTTCCAATCCATGAGCATGGAATGTTTCTCCATTTGTTTCTGTCATCTATGTTTTCTTTTAGAAGTGTTTTATAGTTCTCATTGTAGAGATCTTTCACCTCTTTGGTTAGCTGTATTCCTATGTATTTTATATTTTAATGGCTGCTGCAAATGGAACTGTGTGTGTTTTGTTGTTTTTTTTTTTTTTTTGAGACAGAGTCTCATTCTGTCGCCCAGGCTGGATTGCAGTGGCGCAATCTCAGCTCACTACAACCTCAGCCTCCTGAGTAGTTGGGACTACAGGCACGCACCACCATGCCTGGCTAATTTTTGTATTTTTAGTAGAGATGAGGTTTTGCCATGTTGGCCAGGCTGGTCTCGAACTCCTGACCTCAAGTGATCCGCCCGCCTGATCCCAGCACTTTGGAACTGTGTTCTTGATTTGGCTCTCAGTTTGGACGTTATTGGTGTGAAATAATGTAGAAATGCTACTAATTTTTGCACATTGATTTTGTATCCTGAAACTTTATCGAAGTCATTTGTCAGTTCTAGGGGCCTTTTGGTGGAGTTTTTCGGGGTTTTCTAGCCATAGAATCATATCAGCAGCAAAGAGAGAGAGTCTGACTTCTTCGTTTCCTATTTGGATGCCTTTACTTTCTTTCTGTTGCCTGATTACTCTGACTAGCACTTCCAGTACTATGTTGAATAGAAGTGGTGAGAGTGGGCATCCTCATCTTGTTCCAGTTATCCAGGGGAATGCTCTTAAAACATTTTCAATTCTGCTAGAGAAGAGAGGAAGGCAAATGAAATGGATAAAACTCATAAGAAATGTTAATCACCCTTCAGGCAAGGGCACATTTGAAAAGCACCACTCTTGGGCATGGACCTCTGATCATCCTTCTACTTCCTCACTCCTAAGTGATAGTGCATAGCCCAGGAACACCCACCACCTGCTGTCCTCCAATAGGAAAGGAAAAGGCAAGATGACAAAAGAAAAAACCTTCTCAGAGTCAACAGACCACACAAGAAAAAGATACCTTGAAAGCAAAAACAACCTATCAGTAGACTTCCTGGGGACATCATGAGGCAGCCAGCATAGCTCTTTGGTCTTTGTTGCATGCATTGAGGCATCCCAAATATCCTAACGCGAATAGAATTGTTAGTCATCAGACTACGTGCAATAACATGACAGGTGGTAGAAGAAACTTTGAGACCACGAAGAAATGAGAATGCCTCTATTTTTTATTAATTTTTATGAATGCCTATATTTTTTGGCATACAAATGCAAACATTTGTTTTCTCCTTAATTCAGATGGGTTAACTCCATTTCTTTTTATTTTATTTTTATACTATAAGTTCTAGGGTACATGTGCACAATGCGCAGGTTAGTTACATATGTATACATGTGCCATGTTGGTGTGCTGCACCCATTAACTCGTCATTTACATTAGGTATTTCTACTAATGCTATCCCTCCCCCTCCCCCGACCCCACAACAGGCCCTGGTGTGTGATGTTCCCTGCCCTGTGTCCCAAGTGTTCTCATTGTTCAGTTCCCACCTATGAGTGAGAACATGCGGTGTTTGGTTTTCTGTCCTTGGATAGTTTGCTCAGAATGATGGTTTCTAGCTTCATCCAACCCAGCAGCTAGTCATGGTTCTCCGACATGGGCTGGAGTCCTTTTGGAGTATTTTCACAAATAGTCCCCGTCAGTAGAAGTCAGATCTGTCTTTAGTGTTGTATAGAAACATCCATCCATTATTTTTTCAATCTCAGAACTTGATGGCTTCAATTTTCCATTATCCATCATGGAGGGTGAAGACCTTTTAGAAGCAGACAGCATCATACGTCCACATAGGTCACGGGACAAACAGTGCTGATCACTGCCTGTTGACAAAGTGTTGACAGTAAGGGAGGGGAGGAAACATTTTCTTGTAGCTAGAGAGGTTTTTTGAGGAGGTGGGTTGGAGTGAGGACAAGGGGAAGCCAGTCTGGCTGCTACATTGACCTACCAAATCTTGTGTTTGGGCTGGGCACAGTGGCTCATGCCTGTAATCCTAGCACTTTGGGAGGCTGAGGCAGGTGGATCACCTGAGGTCAGGAGTTCAAGACCAGCCTGGGCAACATGGTGAAACCGCTTCTGTACTAAAAATACAAAAATTAGCCGGGTGTGGTGATGGCTGTAATCCCAGCTACTCGGAAGGCTGAGGCAGGACAATCACTTGAACCCAGGAGGCGGAGGTTGCGGTGGACTGAGATTGCGCCATTGCACTCCAGCCTGGGTGACAAAGCAAGACTCTGTCTCAAAAAATAAATAAATAAAAATAAAAATAAATTGTGTGTTTGCCACGTCAGCACTTCAGTTTGTGTTGTCTACGAAAGACATGGCATACAGTATCATAAGTTACTGCAAAAGATGCCTAATTCCCTGGAGATCAAGATCTAATAACAAATACGAGGAAAACTTTAAACCCCAAGTTGTGGGGTGTGTGGTAAGGTGGGGGCGGATGTGTCAGCTAGAACCTTGCTGAGAACGATTGCTCTGCAGCTCTGTCATCTCAGCTCATCTAATGACCAAAAGCAGATGGAAGTTTTTGTGTGACCTCTCCAAGGCCTTCTTAATGGTCAGAGAGAATTTTCCTTTTATGGCCTCCCCCCTTTCCCCTTCATAGCATTGTGGGAGAGAGAGATTCATTCACAACCAATTTGCATGGCAATTTTTTAGAGGTTTTATGATCTCTCAAGCAAAATAAAATCTTCTTTACTTTCATTTGATCTGAAAAGGTACCACTTTTGGAAACTGTCCAGGGGAAGCACGGGACCCCTGGATTTGGATCCAGTTCAAGGTGGCCTTGATGAAAATAGACCCCTATCCTGCATTTTACATCTCCTTCCTGGCTTTTCTATTCTCTCAAACCTGCAAACCCATATTCTTTTTGCCTTCGTTTGCTGTCATTTACCCCCTAGCATGCTGATTCTCAGCTGCCAGGGCCCCAAGTCCTTAACTTGCTCTCCAGTTATTCCTGGGATGCTTCCTGGCAAGGCTCCAGCTGCTGGCATCATTGCTCTTGTCCTGATGTGTGTGTGTGTGATTCTCATGACCAAGCTGGGCTCTGCCTGGGCCTGCGATCCCCGCTGAATCCCCTGCACCTCATGTAGGGTAGGCACATCGGCATTCTATCACATTCCATGGAGAGAATGAGAGAAGAACTGTGCTGATTCCTGACTGCCAGACAGCAGATATGAGCCCCTCAAAGAGAGTCTCAGGAAACTCACAGCACCCTGAGCCACCTGTATCTCCCTTCCCACCCTGGGCAGGTCATTCATCATCCTTGTCCCCTGATTTCTGTAGAGACCTGCTCCAAGCGCTTACCTGACGGTTGCCATGTTGTACCTGCCCTGGCAATTGTTGGCTCCTCCTCAGCCAAGGCCTGCTGCTATTGCTGTACCAGTTCAGGGAGTCATGTTCCCGGTGCTCTGTGAAAAATGGGGATTTATTGGGCAGCAAGGTGGTGCGCTCCAGTGTGCGCCACATCTGTTTGGTCTTGTACTGTTTGGTATATACACAGTCCCTCGGTGGGAGTTGTTGGTTAGCCTTCCAACTGTGCAGTAGGTTTTTCTCCTCTCGCCATGCCTGGTCTAGTAGCATTCTCCCCAGAAGAACGTTGCTGCTGGTCTGCTTAAGAGACCTGGATGGGCCCCTGCCTGGCAATGACCCAGGAAACAATGGGGGTGCTAGTGCAGGAGACACCATGCTTAAATTTTAAAAGGAATAGTTAATTCTTCTTGGGCTCCCAGTTTCTGGGAAGCTGTGCTGTGTTTGTGTGAGTTAGGTGTCCAAAGTGGTCAGCTATCTAACCTCTCTGTACAAAATCTCCTTATGTTTTCCTCGTGCCATGTGTCTAAGCACATATCTCTATGAAGCAACGGCATCTCTTTGCCCATTTTGTACTTCTTTGGGTGGTATCATTCGGATGTGCTTCCCTGAGGCGATGTCTGTGTTTTCTAACAGCTCAGACTTTGGCAGCTCTTGCATCTATTGCAGCCTGTTTATATGAGACACCTATAAAAACATTCAGCCTGCACCGTGGGTGTGCCAGCAGCACCCTATGACCTGATTTTAAATCACAGTGTGTGAGTGGCCATCGTCTTATGGGCCAGGGCATTTTTAAATGGTGTAACGAGGACAGCGCATGGCCCATAGCAGAAAGCTTTGACGCCCTGATATGGTCACTGTGACCAAGTGGCCTTGGCAAGTTGCATAAACCCCATGACTCAGTTTCTTCGTCTGTGAAAGGGAGATATTGATACTCAGGATGAGAATCAAGAGGAGAGAATGCTTGTTAGAGTTTCATAAAAATGAAAAGTAGTGCTATTGATTTATTTTGCGCTGTGACCAGTTCACTCAAACTCTTGCACACCCAGCTGGGTAAATGCCAGCCTCAAGGTGTTTTCTTCTTGAATGAAGTACTTGGTTTTTTCAGACAAGGTACATTCTAGCAAGTAAAACCCCAACATATCCCAGTGTTCTCTTGAAAGCTAACATGAAGTGGGGGAAGTGAAATACTTCAACTCTAGAAGCCAAACACTCAGAATGTCTTGGCAGTTGCTTGGGGCTGCACAGTGTGCTTTTGAAAGCTTTTGCCATTTATAAGAGCAAAGTACCCTGATAACCTTTTGTGTCTGGGATTTCAGTCCAAATCAAATAGCCTCTGTGTATCCCATGGATTCTGAAATTTTTATGGGATGTGTGGGGCTGTTTTGCCATGATGAATGTGACATGTGCTACTTCATGTGGCCTTTCTTTTTTATCTAAAGAGGCTTGGCTTGCAGAATGGAGGCTCAGCTCCCACAGTTCTTAAAGGATCCTATTGTTTGTCTCCTATGTCAGCATCCCCTGAAGAATAAGGATCACCTGGTTTTCAACGGAACCAGGAGTTTATTCTTCAGATTGGAGACACACTCCCAATTCTGGTTAATAAGCTGGTTTTGAGGTGGAAGGAAAGGACCCTAGTGATCATCTGGTACAACGTGGTGCACCTTTTCCAGGTAAAAACTAGAGGCTCAGAAAGCAAAGAGGCCTTTGCTGACTCCTGGAGCTTGCCCGGCACCGAACAGACCAGCCGACCCCTTCCTGGTGGCTCAGTGCTTCTCTTTCTCTGATGAGTCCTGAAGAGGCTTCCTCACCTGGAGAATCAGGGGTTTCTCAGGCCCTGCTTCCAGAGAATCCATAAGAATGAGGCTTTCTGGGCTCAGCCGGCGCACTCTCCACCCAGAGGTTTTGGGAGGGCCACGCCACAGGCCAACTACCCACTCTGCCTGAATCGCCTTATCTCTCTGTGTGCTCTCCACAATCTGCTCTCTGCCGTGAGTAGCATAAGATAAGGAAGGCTGGGTGCTAGAGGCAGCTGGGTACAGGGAGAAACAAGGACAAGGATGGACACGGACCGTCCACTTGACTTGTGGGAACCAGCTGACTCTCTTAGGTGCGGACATCTGACTTTTTTCAGATAGACTGAACGCACAGAGCTCATTCATGCCTATGAAGGAGACTAAACTGCCTACTTACTTGACCAGCTTTTAATAGTGCTTCTCATGTATGCCAGGCGGGGTCAGGGTCAGCTGCAGGATTTTCTCACCCGTACTTTTTAATCCCATAACATTGCCATCCTTGGCCATCCCTTTATCATTTTTCTTTTCTTTTCTTTTCTTTTTTTTTGAGATGGAGTCTCACTCTGTTGCCCAGGCTGGAGGAGTGCAGTGATGTGATATTGGCTCATTGCAACTTCCACGTCCCAGGTTCGAGCCATTCTCCTGCCTCAGCCTCCCAAGTAGCTGGGATTACAGGCATGCGCCACCATGCCCAGCTAATTTTTTATTTTTTATTTTAATTTTTGTATTTTTAGTAGAGACCGGGTTTCACCATGTTGGCCAGGCTGGTCTCAAACTCCTGACCTCAAGTGATCTGCATGCCTTGGCCTCCCAAAGTGCTGGGATTACAGGCGTGAGCCACTGCGCCTGGCCCCTTTATCATTTTTCCATAACAATTTAGGCAAGGTAAAAATATCATCAGGTCCAAGGATCATTTGGGAGGGGGGACCCTGTGTTCGACAGTCATCGTTACAGACACGAGTTTGCTCATTTGCTTTGACAGCAGTCACTTGGAGGGAAGCACTATGCTCTTCCCATTTTCCATACAGGCCACCGGGGCGCAGATAAGTTAAATGACTGGCATGAGGACAGTCAGAACAGGAACTTGAATTTCACTGTTTAGAGAAGAACCAGAAATAGAACAGCTCGTTTTTATTTACTTTTTCTGAAATGTTGCTTTGAAGAAAATAGGATGTGTGTAAATCAAATCCAGCATCTGAACCTGCCTTCTTTAGCTTCAGCAGGTTTTTCTTGAGCAGGAGGTCACTGTGCGGCGGCTGGGTGCATGCCGGAGTAGGAAACCACTCCAGTTTGGTGTCCGTGCTCGACTCCACCCTTCGGAGGAGGAGGCTGCGTGTGAAAGGGTACAAAAGAGGAACGCTTGCAGGAAAATCTTTTTTAGGACAAAATCATTATTCTGTTCCTTGCTGTCTTTTAGTAGCGATCCAGCTTTCCAAAATTGTTTCTCTGGCTGTAATAAGGATTGTTAAATCAGGACACTCATTATGTCTCTCCTCATTTTGGAGTCAGGTACATCTTTCTTCAGCTGAGCTTAACCTAGAAGCCAGCATGGAAAGGTAGGGGTCACCTGGACCACATTTGTCAAACAGCTTTTCACCTGGGTCTCATCATCCCGGGCCTGGAAAACCCGAGATGGACTGAATTTATGGGGAAGCCTCCTAGAAGTCACTCAGGGTCACCCCAAAACATATCCTCCTGCCCCTCTTCCCCTCCACAGCTGAGCACAGACCTCAGCACTCAATGTAATATAAAGGAAATACATGCAAGCAAGATATTACCGACTTTTGAGTAACAGGGTTTTCTAAGTCATTGTTCCTCGGTTTGACTCCTGGGGAGTATCTCCGTAGTGATTCACTTAACTGATTAAGGGCAGTTCAGAGCATCCTAACCCCACTCCCGCCACCAGCCTTGGTTGTAAGCAGAGATGCCAGGCTCTCTTTGCAGGATGGCAGTGAGGAGCCCAGTTAGGTTACTTCCACTTTGTCTACCTTCCTGCTGCTACCGTTTATGAAAACAGAAGCAAAATCTGAACATAAACATCAATAAAGTAATTTGATTGACATACATATACACACACAAAATCAAATTTGCCCTAGCGACCTCACTTCGATGTGTACCACCCCCATCCCAGAGAGGTGGGATCAGCCACCCAGTGCCTTCTCAGAATAAGCATATTACCCTGACCCGAGCCATTTCTGTTTTGTTTTCTTCTCCCCACCTGGAATCCTTGAATAACATCTGTCTGAATTATTCTGGGCTGTATATCATTTCAGAGAGTTCTAGGAAACAACACTGAAACTGATTTAAGAAGGCTTTTCAGCTGGAAGACATGGCCACTCAACGCCTGCGCCTGGGGACAGTGGTGGTAGGGGAGGGTGAGGTTGGGATGACCTGTGGTAGGACCAACCATGGAATAACAGGGTCAGGAGTTAACGATTCAAGGGGTGCCTCCGAGTTCCCATTGTGCAGGTCAGGGGTGGCTCTACCGAGTGAATGCCCTTCTTCTTTCTTCCGTACGCACGGAACTGTTTTGCATCTTGGTTCCAATGCCTCCCTGGGTTCTATGGCATTGCAGCTTTGCCCCGTCGTGAAGGCAAGTCCCCGGGCCACATGTATAATGTTGGGGGAAAGAGGTATACAGGGTTTGGGAGGAATGGGGTTTTCCTCCATTTTCCCAGATAGGGAAATGTGTGGTCAGAAATATGAAAGAACTTTGAAAAGAACATGAGATGAGGTCTGTGAATTGTGAAACATGGTGCTCCTCTTAGTTCTGGGGCAGATTTTTCAGGATCAAGAACTAAAACCAAGAATACCTTTGAACACTTTAGTGTGGCTCATCTGGTGGCCACACTCACATTGCTATTTCCAGTAAATTACATCGCTTACAGACACTAGAGCCATACAGCAGCGGGACCCCATCCTTCCAGAGTTATTAATGTTCTAGGACAAATCTAGTATCCCAAGGAGATTTTCTTTCAGCTAAAGCAGAAGCCTGAATTCACTTGAGTTCGGGCAGAATAGATAATTCATCCAGATTACTTGAGGCCCCAAATGGATCTGACAGTCTAAAAGTTAGATTGTAAAAGGCCGTATTGATCCTAATATCTTATTCTCTTTCTTATACCTAACTAGGGATTGCCATTTTTATTTATTTTGTTTTTTTGAGATGAATTTTTGCTCTTGTCACCCAGGCTGGAATGCAATGGTGCGATCTTGGCTCACTGCAACCTCTGCCTTCTGGGTTCCAGCTATTCTCCTGGGATTACAGGCATGCGCCATCACGTCCAGCTAATTTTTTTGTATTTTTAGTAGAGACGGTTTTGTATTTTTAGTAGAGACGAGGTTTCTCCATGTTGGCCAGGCTGATCTCGAACTCCTGACCTCAGGTGATCCACCCGCCTTGGCCTCCCAAAATGCTGCGATTACAGGCATGAGCCACCGCACCTGGCCTGGATTGCCATTTTTAGACACACAGTTTACCTTTTAATTTTGCACTGTCCTGTTTTGATAACTACCTGGAAAATACTTGGGGTTAGCTGCTAATCTGATTGAAGATAAATGGAGTTTTCCTCAGATTGGTCTTTTTGCCCTTTTCAAGCTGAAGTAAAGAACAGTTGGGCGTATGCTGGGAGGAGGAGATATGGAAGAGAGACACTGTTGTCCTCAACTGTGATTCTAATCCAGGAAGTGTCCTTTAGAGAGGAGGGTCAGGGAATGACAGAGCTGGACGAGACCTTAGAGGTCAGGAAGCCAGCACCATCATTTTACAGAAGGGGAAACTGAGGCTGAGGCTCATCAGTGGCAGAACCCAGGGTGGGAACAGGTCTTCAGCCTTCTGTCATGAGGTCACCATCTGCCTTTCCACCTCATTCTCTGCAGCACCCTTTCTTTCTTGCCCTACCTGTCTTTCAGTGGCAGTGTTAATTATTTTAGACACAAGAACGTGATTGTAGCTGTGACATCAGAAAACGACTATCTTTCAAGCCCTGAAATTGTCATCCCTGGGTTAGCTTTTTTTTTTTTTTTTAATAATTCCCCTAAGTCAGATGGGTTATAATAAACATTTAAGATTTGCTTTTCATGAATATGTGTGCTGATTTAATTTTTCCTGAAGATTATTTCTTTTTTATTTGAGACAGAGTTTTGCTCTTGTTGCCCAGGCTGGAGTGTAGTGGTGCAATCTCAGCTCACTGAAACCTCCACCTCCTGGGTTCACACGATTCTTCTGCCTCCACCTCCTGAGTAGCTGGGATTACAGGCACCCACCACCACGCCTGACTAATTTTTGTATTTTTAGTAGAGAAGAGGTTTCACCATGTTACCCAGGCTGGTCTCGAATTCCTGACCTCAGGTGATCTGCCTGCCTCGGCCTCCCAAAGTACTGGGATTACAGATGTGAGCCACCATGCCTGGCCTTTCTCTTGAAGATTGATTTGCATAGTCAGTACGCTGAGATGGAGAGAGCAGGACACCGGGGTCAGAAGACCCCTGGTCTAGGCCCTTTTAGCTGCAGAGAAGTGACTGACTTTACATCCTCTGAGAAATTGAGATAACAAGGCCTGCCTTCTCAAAGGGGTGTTCATAATAATCGGAGGAGATAATGAGGGTGAATTTGCTTTGAAAATTGTTAGTACTGCTTAGAAAGTTTAAGGGGTGCTTTGCTCCATTGCTTTGGATCAGTTATTTTTTAATATACAGAGAAGAGATTAAATTTTAGAAATATATATTAAATATATATTTACAGTTGACCCTTGAACAACAGAGGTTTGAACTGTGTGGAATCACTTATATGCAGCTTTACTTTCAATAAAAGTTATAGTGAATGTGCCTGACTCTCCTGCCTCCCCTTCCCTTCCTCCGTCTCTCCCACCCCTGAGACAGCAAGACAAACCCCTCCTTTTCCTCCTCTTCCTCCTTCTTGGCCTACTCTACATGAAGATGATGAGGATGAAGACTTGTTTTGTTGTTATTGTTGTTGTTGTTTTTGAGACAGTCTCTCTCTGTTGCCCAGGCTGGAGTGCAGTGGCACAATCTTGGCTCACTGCAACCTCCACCTCCTGGGTTCAAGGGATTCTCCTGCCTCAGCCTCCTGAGTAACAGGGACTACAGGTACCTACCACCATACCCAGCTAATTTTTGCATTTTTAGTAGAGACAGGGTTTCAGCATGTTGGCCAGGTTGCTCTCAAACTCCTGACCTCAGGTGATCCACCTGCCTGAGCCTCCCAAAGTGCTGGGATTACAGGTGTGAGCCACCGCGCCTGGCCTGAGAATGAAGACCTTTATCTTGATGCACTTCCATTTAGTGAAGAGTAGATAGATCTCCTCTTTCTTATGATTTTCTTAATAACATTTTTTCTCTAGCTTAGTTTATTTTAAGAATATGGGGTATGATATATATAAATGAAATACGTGTTAATTGACTGTTATCAGTAAGGCTTCTGGTCAACAGTAGGTTATTCATAGTTAAGTTTTGGGGGAATCAAAGGTTATATACTCATATTTTCAACTTCATGAGAGTTGGTGCCCCTGACCCCTGCATTGTTCAAGAGTCAGCCATATTTCTATACAGATTATTTTTGTAATCCTTCGAATTTTTTATGCTTTCATTTTATTTTTATCAAAAATTGCTGCCAGGCATGTCTAGAGTTTTTGTTTCATATCAGTTAAGAATATTTGTGCTTCACTTTTGAAGTCCATCTTCTTCTATAGATACTCTTAGAACCGTAAACAGCTACTCTATGTTTAAATAATATTTTTTTCTTTTTGATGGAATTTAGGATTAACTTGAAAATTGCTCATGGTTAGTAGATGCAGAGTGCGTGAAGGCAGATTTTTCTCATCTATATTCAGGGAATTTTATGCTTTACATGAACAGCAGATGTTAGTGGCATTACTCCGTTCACCTATCCAGGCCCCGGGGCCTTTGCTCATACTGTTACTGCTGCCCTGGAACACCCTTCCTTCCGTCGTTGCTTGCCAATTCTTGTTCACCCTTTCGGACAGCTCTGGCTTCTAAGATCCTGCCCACAGGGGTCGAATGTCTGTCCTCTGGGCTCTGACAGAGACTCCTGCATGTCTGTTACATGGCAGTATCTAAATTTTACAGTTCCAAGGTTACCGGTGTGGCTCTCCTTCACTTAACTACAGCGAAGACTGTAGGTTCCCGGGAGTGGGGACCACGTGTTTTTTCTCCTGTCTTTTAGGAGCTGCTGTAGAGTAGACTTGCTCTATCCATGTTTATTGAACTGCGCTGAAGGACAGGAAGCCTCTGCTCATTTGAATGGAGACCCATCTTTTAAAATTATTCATTTTTAGGTCCTTGAGACGCACCATTTTATTAAATCCACTGTGTTCACAGACCCGGCTTCCTCACAACCCTCTAATGCAACCTTCTGGTAGCCGCTTTATACCCTGGACAATCTTCTCTCCACAGCCCCCATTTTTTTTTTTAATCTTAACCCCCACAGCAACCTGATGTTCCTGAGGCTTTGTTTGGGGTTTAGAATCTGGAATTCCAGAGTCGATCTGTCAGAGAACATCAGATGCCTGTGAAGTCATCAGTTTCACAGTGGTGGGGCAGGGAACATTGAGAACCATATCCATCAGAGAAAGTCACATGTGCGAAGGGAAAGAGCAAGGGGCAAACAGCAGTTTGATTCCATTTTTGTTTAAAAAAATGGAAAAGTGAAAAGAATGATCGTCTAAAAATAAGCACGAGGAAGTCTAGAACACGGTGCTTACCAGTCAAGTTTGGAGTCAGGCAGCTGGGGTTTGCATCTCTGCTCCACTTCTGATTGGCTGTGCAACTTAGGAAAGTGGCTTCAGTCCAGGGTCTCCATTCCTCCTCTGTACAGTGGGGATAATTGTAGGATCTGCTTCAGGATGTTGTTCTGAGGATTCACGGAGACAACATATGCAAAGCCCTACAGTTGTGCCTGGCATATAGTGAGCAAACAGTGCCTATTACTTGTTACTGTTCAATTTTCTAGACTGGGCGCGACAGCTCACACCTGTAATCCTAGCACTTTGGGAGGCCGAGGCAGGTGGATCACCTGAGGTCAGGAGTTCAAGAACAGCCTGGCCAACATGGCAAAACTCTTTCTCTACTAAAAATACAAAAAAAATTAGCCAGGCATGGTGGCAGGCGCCTATAATCCCAGCTACTTTGGAGACTGAGGCAGGAGAATTGCTTGATGAACCCGGGGGGTGGAGGTTGCAGTGAGCCGAGATTGCGCCACTGCACTCCAGCCTGGATGAAAGAGCGAAACTCCGTCTCAAAAGAAAAGAAAAGAATTTTCTACAGTGACTGTGTATGCCCATGCCAAATATACCTATGAAAAATTTGGAGAAAGTGTTAAAACAAGCATAATCCCTATTTGTGTGCCTAAGATCTTGCTGTGGGCCTGTGTAAAGTGGCCAGAGGGGCTGGTGACTAGTTGATGTGACCAGTGACTAAAGGTTAGAACATTCGATAACCAGACTGACCCTCCAGAATTCCATCTACACACACATACATACACACACAAATACATTTACACATACACATATACAAACATGCATATACACGTACCACATGCATACATACCTGCATATGTGTATATACATGCACACATATGCATACACACACGCATGCACAAATACATGTATATACCCACAGAAAGACACATACATATGCACATACATGCACAGCGTATACACATGCACATATGCGCATGTACACAAATACATGTAAAGGTGCACACATATAACTGCACATGTATGTATACCATATACATAAGTGCATGTACATATACACAAGCATGCACAGCATATTCACATCCACATATGCATTCACACAGTACACATATACACACATGCATGTATGCACACCATATACATGTGCACATGCATGTTCATGCATGAGTGTGCATGTACGCGCACACACACACACACACACACACACACACTTAAGCCCCCAGGTGCCAGGAAGACTGCAGCACTGTCTTCCTAGGTATTTACATGTCCAAAGGGATGAAGCCTAGATCTTAGAGACAATTCTAGGTCATAAAAGCCCAGACTCATGAGGCTTTCTGACCCCTGGAGATATTTTATTTATACTTTAAAAGGTTGGGGTGAGAACCCAGGATCCTTTCCATCCCATCTCCAAGGAGCTAAAGGTTTCTCTCCCTTCTTTCTACTTGGGGAGGGAGGCAGCTACTCCTGCACGTAGACAGAATGCATCGTGCGCCATCCCTTGTCAATGGGAGCTAGTCTGCGCCCACATAGAAAGTTTCCTTCGACTGTCATCATCTTGCTTGTGGTCTGGGTGTCGGGGCTGCTGCTGCAGTTACTCTGGCTGTTAGTCAGGGTGTGAGTGTCAGTAAAGAAAGGGCCCTTTTCCCTGACCCAGCTGCCTCCTCTTTCTGCAGTATTCACTTATATAAAGTCCTTAGTCGTGCAAGGTGGGCAGCATCTCAGACCCTACACAGTTTCACAAAGCGGGTCCATATAACTGAGCACTTCACTGGCCTAGAGAAACCTGTGTCCTTGTCTCTGGGATGTGTTTGAGGAACTGGACGACAGGTCAGCACAGCCCACAGGTGCATTGTTGACAACAGGAGGCTCCATGTGGCCCCACCAGTGTTGCTTCTTTTAGCAAAGACATTCAGTGCCTCAACAAACAGCCAGTTTTTACACATTGTAGCTGGATTCTTTTTACAGAAAAGTACAGCTCTATCATAATGAAGTGATTCTGTCCTAAGCTGTTCCTGAGAGGAGTAGGAAATGCTGGGATCGGCCAGGTGTGGTGGCTCATGCCTGTAATCCCAGCACTTTGGGAGTCTGAGGCAGGCAGATCATGAGGTCAAGAGATTGAGACCATCCTGGCCAACATGGAGAAACCCCATCTCTATTAAAAATACAAAAATTAGCTGGGTGTGGTGGTGCATGCCTGTAGTCCCAGCTACTCGGGAGGCTGAGGCAGGAGGATCGCTTGAACCCGGGAGGCGGAGGTTGCAGTGAGCTGAGATCGCACCACTGCACTCCAGCCTGGTGACAGAGTGAGACTCTGTCTCAAAAAAAAAAAAAATGCTGGCATCTGTTCCCTGGTGTCCCCACTTTTGGTCAGCCTCACCTGGGAATTTCATACATTTTCTGATCAAAGTCCAAAGTCTCTGCTTTGCTTGAGCTTTAATCATTGGCTATAAAGCCTCCCCTGCCCCCAACATTGCACACACATTAAAATTAGATTACAGCCAAACAGCAATATAGTTTTGGGGATTGAGGGGGCAGGTAAGAAGCACATTTTTAGATAAATAGGGAATCAGAACCTCCATTATGGGAAGATGTTTTGATAGTCTCAGGTAAAAGTCTGCTTAGAAAAATTTTCACTGCAAGTTTTCAGTATGTTTTGAGATAGTTTGTCCTATATACTGATATTTGTTCATTGTTGAAATGGCTCTGACCCTTGTTTTCTGTTATTTAACACTTATGTTAAGCAGAAGAAACATAAAATGCTTTCCACACTTCAGTGTTCACTTTAACATTTTCTTGATTAAGAAAAATTTCCATTTATCTTAAGGAAGTAGATGACATTTATAAAGAGATCTAAAGGATCTCTTTATAAAGGAAAATGGATGAGGTTTAGAAAGGACTCTGGCATGAAGGAATAATTCCTTTTCAGAGTGTCCTTTATCTCACCCATCAATCAGTTGTTCAGATGGTTTGGCAAATGAGAAGATGGTGTCCTGATAAGCCATTCCAGAACTAAGGAATTCCAGCACCCATGTCCTCCGTTTGCTCAGAAGGAGACAGAAATGGAAGATTCCAATGATTAGATACACCAAGAAGAGGTGAGAAGAGAAATGGTGGTGAAGATGCCCACCCTGATAGGGCCGGGCTGCCCATAGTACACAGACTCCCAGGGCCGTGTCAGCTCTCACTGTCTGCAGGCTCACAGCCTGGCCACCCAATTTCTCCTTCAATACTGACCCAATTAATATAGGGTTTGTGTCATCATCCCCATAGTTAGTGAAGTGATTTATCTACCCAGCAACCACCATGCCCAGCTCTGTGCTGGGTGTGGGTACCACTGAAGGGGGACTCCATGGGGTCAAGGGGAGGCTCGGGGCTCAGAAGGACCCTAGGGACCCTTACCCAGGATGTTGGGAGAGTCAGGGGTTTTGATCAGCAAGTATTTTGATAAATCTCCTTAACCATATATTTTATACTTGGAACACCAATTTTCAGAGAATTAGAAGAAATAAGTATACATAAATGTTACAGAAAAGTTCACCTTTCTTTGCTCAGTTAGCCTCCAGTGGTACCGAGGAGGAGGGGCCCGTGATTCTGAACAGTTTTCTGCATGATTCCCCGCCAGCTCTGCAGGTATAAAAGGTGTAGGGTACCACACTGATATGCATCGACTGCAGAGTACATTTTGAAACAAACCCTTAATATTAATTTTTCTTTTTCATTTAGCTCTTATGTCGCCACATGAATATAGGGGAACGTTTGGTTGTTTGAAATCTAGATCAGTGAGTATTTCATATTGATGCTGTCCGGATGAGTCATACTTACTACTAGAAAGTGAGATGAGAGTGTTTTGTGATCATTCAAATGGGTTGTGTATAGTTGCGCCTCTTTCCAGAGCAACAGTTGACTTTTTCACTGAAATTAACTACTTTTCCTTTGCCACTTTCGTTAGAGAAGGAGACAGAGAGTCAAGGGTGAGGAAGGGATGAGAGACATTGTACTGTGGGAATAAACAAAGACCACCCAAATGAGAACAAGCAGAGGCCATTTATCCAGAGCTTGCACTAGTGAGGGTGTCGGCCACCAGCACTTGTGTTTGGCAGAGACTTAGAGGCAGGCAGGGGGTGGGAAAGCCTCACAGTGGAAAGAAGGGAAGGCTGCAAGCATGCCCTGATTGGAGGCTGTTGGCATGGGGGAGCTGCTGGTAACTAACTAGAAATGGGGCCTCCTGTGTGATCCGTTAGGGGAGCATGTTTGGCTCTCTCTGGTTGGTTCTAAGTTGGAAGCAGTGGATCGGGGTGGAATTAGGGCAGCTGTCATTTATTAATCAACTCCTGGCCATTTGGGGCTGATCATTATAGTTTGGCTTCGTGGATGGTGGCTGCAGATAGAGGTCTGACTTCTTCCAAGTCTGACGTGGAGCAGGCTGGCTCCATGCTGATTATTGTAGATGAGGGGCTGGCTTCCTGTACAGGTTGCTGCAGGCTGGGGATCAGGTTCTGTTTTTACATGTGGTCTGCCCATTGTCCATTTGTACATTCAGTCTCTCAGTGCCAATGTAGCACTGGCTAAGAACAAACAACAGACCCAGCACACCGGTTGGCATAGGCTAGCATGGAAGCCACCCAGCCAGGCAGCTGACTACATGCACTCAGGCACCCAGGCTGCTCTGGGTGGATGCCAGCTGGGGCCACACTGCAGCCATCCAATGTCAGCCCTGGTGGGCAGTTTCATACTTGGCCATGGGGCTTGTTGACAGTGCAGTGTCTTTGTGCTGTGAGCTCCTAACTGCCTTCCTTCAATTTGGGATTCACATCAGAGAACTGCTTCTCTGAGAGGCATGCTGTTTTATTGGGCAAGGCAGCTCTAGCTCAGATTTTAGCCCATTTTTGGTAGTGACCAGCTGTCTTTGTCATCTAGGGATCCCCTGACAGTAAAAGATTCTCCTGCATGTCATCATGCTCCTGTTCTCAGCTCTCACCTGGTTCCTCACCATGGCAGAGGGTTTTCTGGTCAGGAATGGATTATTCCAAACCACTCTGGAATTTCTGTAGGAACCGACCCCTCCTTCAGTCAGTTTCTTGCCACCCCTGCAAGTTCAATGCTGTGGCTTCCCCACCCTGGGTGCGGTGTCAGGCCCAAGGTGAATGGAGACAGTGCCCAAATGGCTTGGCCATGTGGGCCAGCCCTCGGTGCCCACGATTTCAGCACCTGCAGGCCCACATGTGGTTTTCTGAAGGTCATGCCCCTCCCCCATGGTTTTCTGCTTATATGTTTCTTGTGTGTTTTCTCCAACATTTAGGGAAAATTCTAGGGTGGTAACATCATTGGTAGTCAAGGGAGACACTGGAATCTTTTATTTTGCTAGAAGATATGAATAAAAAGTTTCCAGAGTTTAAGGCATTAAGTTTTACATAAAATGCGCTTAAAGTATTAAAGTTTTATAAATAAACTCTAAAAATGTGATGTTGGGTTTTGAAAGACATCTGTAATTTTTGAAGAGGGGATGGTTTTAAAAAGGCATTTCTTCTCTTGTCTTTGTGTGTGTTTGTACGTTTAAATTAAATGACATCCACTGTGTGTAGGAGTTAAAAGAGTGTTTTTTTCTCCTAATAACAACTCTTGTACCATTGACTACCAAGAATAACAATAAGCCTTCTTTTTAAGTTAAAAAAGAATATTTATTTTTGTCACTGAAAGAACAATTATTCATGTCTTTAAGTTAAAGTATTTTTATGAATTCTAAAACATTTTGATGTTTAGCTGCACACAATAAAAATGTCATATTAGTTGGTCCTTCAACTAAAATATTTTGGTTGCAGGATCTTGGCCTTTCAATAATACTAAGTATCATTTAATGAGGACTTATTTGTGCCATAAAGTGTTGAAAATGCCTTACATATGTTAACTCATCTACTCATGCTATTCTCATTTTATAGCTTGTAAACTGAGGCCCAGAAAGGTTCAGCCATCTGCCTGAGGTCACACAGCCACAGTTTGGACCTGAGCCATCAATCATCCACCAAAAGCCTGCATTGACCCTAGAAGATTCCATTGCATGTTGTCAAGGCGCTTAGTTTCTCTCTTGTGTCTCCCCAAAACATAAACCTGGAATGGAAGAGAGCCACTTACTCTATAGATGCTTTTAGCTCAGAACGCTTCAAGCTTTTGGAGTATGAGAAATAATAACAATCATTCCATTCTTTCCTGGAGTTTGATCTCAGCTGTTGGTGATATTGTTGGGACTGATTTGCTATCTATAAAGCCAAATTTGAGAAAAGACAGGTTAAAAATAAACAGGGAGGATGATGGTAGTAAAAATAACGTGACTGTCTTCTTATCTTGGAATTCTTTTTTAGTTTTTAGCAGAGTTACATTTCTTCGTTGTGGTAAAATACTTAATGCCACTGAACTGTCACTTAAAATGGTTAAAATTGTGCACTTTAGATTATGTATACTTTACCACAATAAAAATGAATTTTTTTTTTTTTGAGACGGAGTCTCGCTCTTTCGCCCAGGCTGGAGTGCAGTGGTGTGATCTCAGCTCACTGCAAGCTCCGCCTCCCGGGTTCACACCATTCTCCTGCCTCAGCCTCCGGAGTAGCTGGGACTATAGGCACCCACCACCGCGCCTGGCTAATTTTTTTGTATTTTTAGTAGAGACGGGGTTTCACCATGTTAGCCAGGATGGTCTCAATCTCCTGACCTCGTGATCCGCCCACCTTGGCCTCCCAAAGTGCTGGGATTACAGGTGTGAGCCACCATGCCTGGCCATAAATACTTTTTTTATAAAGCCAGTGAGCTGATGGGGAACCCGGCAAGGTGTGACATCTGTAGGACTCAAAGGTTGTAGTGAAGTTTTCTCCTAGCACGTTAATGTTCTGTGTTGATGACACATGTAATCAGAACGCCTTCGCCATATATGAAGACCTTTAGGAAAAAGCCAAGAATAGTGTAGAAGGGCCTTCTTTTGGTACAAGAAGTGGCTGATTTCGTGGCCTCAAGAACCACTTTGGTTTCTACTGTGTTTGGGGAAGCTACAAGTACAGATAAAGACACTGTGAATATATGTCTTTCTGTGTTTAAAAGAAGAGGAAAGAAAAGAGTTGATGCAGAGGGGACCCCTGGACCTTATTTTTAGTGTTGACAAATCTGGTATCATTTAGAAGTGGATGTTTTCAAGGGCTTTCCCCTTAAAGGAGGAAGCAGAGGCCCAGGGAAGGAGCTTGCATTGGGTGGGCCATTGTGATGCTGTGGCTGGGCCTGGGAGATTCGACTGGACTCATGTTTTTATTGGGATTGTTTTCGATTTTGCAAAGACCCTGGTTACAAAGTCCGGTGGGTCCTCAGTGGTCTGCCCAGCCCTGCTTTTCCCATTGGCCCAGTTTTTCTTAGGGTGTGATCTTCCAGGATCATATAGTATTCTAGAAGAGATTCCTGTATCATACTTGGGAGGTAATGTGAATGGAAAGTTCTTATAGACACAAATCTTATAGGAAAGATCTGGATGAAGCCTTGAGTGTTTGCCTTTCTGGGATCCAAGGAAACTCATGAAACAGGGAGGATTTAAAGGAGGAGGAAAGGGAAGTGAAAAGAGAATTCCCAAAGCCTGGAATTGACCCACACAGTTTGGCATGAAATGGTCACTTCCGCATCTAGAGCACACATTATTTTTCTGAAGCACCCTGTTGAATGAGAGGAATACATACGTGCCATCATAGGTTGAAAAAGTGATCTTTTCAGCATAAATTGGTGGGTGTTTGAGAGCATTACTTGCACAGTTCAACAATACAGAGCTGGAAATGCATAAAGAGGACATTCCCTGCTAGTCAACGAATACATAGATCTGTAGCTGGAAATTAGTTTTAACTTTCAAGTAGTCAAGAAACTTTTATGTCCAATAAGACTCTCTCTACGTAATTTTAGGCTGTACACTGGTTAAAATAATTCTATTTGGGGAAAATCTTGTGGTTGTTTGTCCCAAATCGCCCTGACATGTTCTCTGCCTTGAGTCCCCAAATCCCTGCCGTGGGGCGCAGCCTGTCATGCATGGGCCAGGAGGACAGCCAGCACACGGGGCAGATGCCGCAGGTCATCCAGCTACGTTTTCTGTGCATTCATCTCAGGAATACGGGTTTCCCTGCACACTTAAATCTACGTGTAACCCAAGTTTATAGACCTGCTGGGAAGTGGAAGGCAGTTGGTTGCCTTTCTCAAAGGCTGCTCCATGAGCAAGATGCCTTTCATCTAGACCATTCCGCTGGAAGCATCTGTCAGACCAGAGTAGTGCATCAGTCTAAAGTCAGCTCTCTCTTCTCTGGTTTAGGGTGGTAGTTGTGTGCTTTGGTTCTGTTTAGCTGAGTGGGTGAATGAAAGTAATTAAGATACCCTAAATAGGGTCTTTAGCTAAACGGTCACCTCCCTGCCTAATTGTGACACCAATAAATCCAAGAAAGGGGAGGACAGTGGCAGCAGGTCACAGTGGGAGGATCATGGCTTGGAGCAAAGACAAGGGCTGTGAGTTCCAGCCCTGCCACCATTAGCTGCAGTGTTTGCGCAGTTGGTTTCACCTCCCAGGTCTTCAGGTTCTTCATAGGGTCAGAACTCCAGGTAGATCATTCCTGGGCTTCCTTCACCTTGAAAAATCTCTGCCTCAACCATATTCTAATCACAACATTACTATAAAATGATAGGCATGACTTCTATATTTACAAAAAGCCATAATGTATTTCCTCACTCTCTGTAGGAAGACATTTGAATTGTTACATTCTTTACTTTGCTCTAAAGCAAGGTTGTGGAAGGTTTCAGGTGCCAGCAGGTTTCTCAGGGCTAGAGTCTGTAACAAAGAGATCCTGGAAAACTGGAGAGAGGTTGGGGAGGAGAGGAATGGACACAGCGTGGTTCTGGTCCCACAGAGGTCCTATTGTCTGTAAGAATTTGATGTTGGCTAAAAGAGACATCAGGAGTCACTGGGGAGGGAGAAATTATGCTGTAATGGTCAGGGAAAGTGGTTAGACTTTTTCAAAAACAAACAAAATGTAAAATTTTACATCTTCACTTTACCCTATATAGCCAACTTAAACTCCAAGATAGATCTAACAGTAACTCTTTTTGTAAAAAAAAAAAAAAAAAAAAAAAAAAGCAAGAGAAAATAGAAAAAAAAATTTGTGAAATTCAGTGTATAGAATTTTCTAAGATTCAATGAAATCACTAAAGAACATACTGACAGATTTGAGTTAAACTCATATACTTCATAAAAGGTAATCAAAATGTAAAGATCATTAACCTTTAGAGGAATTTGCAGAAAAGAATTAACATCTTCAGTATAAGGAAAATAAACAAATTTTAAAACTGATACTATAATCGAGTTCTCATATTCTGGCCCAAGAATAGGTTGCATCAGATTTAGTTTCAAGTGTAGATTCCTGTCCTCTGTCAAACTCTTCTGCCAAGTCTTCAGCCTCCAAAGGTTGGGATCCTTTCTCTTCTCTGGCAGAAGGCATTCATTCATGTGAGGGTACAAAAGAGGAAGGAATGGTATATGGTTAACAGGAAAATGGAAGTCAATAATGTGCAAAGAAAAAGGACGAGATCATTTTGTATCAAGGTATCCAAAAAAATGTTACAGGGCTGTACATCCAAGGTTCATACCAACATTATTCTCAGTCACCAAAAGGTGTAAGCAACCCGTGTGTCTGTCACTGGATGAATGGATAAATAAAATATGGTTTATAGGTACAGTGGAATATCCTTCAGCCTTAAAAACGAAGGACAGGCCAGGTACGGTGGCTCATGCCTGTAATCCCAGCACTTTAGGAGGCCGAGGTGGGAGGATCACTTGAGATCAGGCATTCGAGGCCAGCCTGGCCAACATGGTGAAACCCCGTCTCTACAAAAAATACAAAAATTAGCCAGGCATGGTGGTGGGTGCCTGTAATCCCAGCTACTCAGGAGGCTGAGGCAGGAGAATCACTTGAACCCAGGAGGTGGAGGTTGCAGTGAGCCAAGATCGCACCATTGTACTCTAGCCTGGGCAACAAGAGTGAAACTCTGTCTCAAAAAAAAAAAAAAAAAAAAAAAAAAAGGAAGGACATTCTGACCCATGCTACCACATGGATGAATATTGAGGACACTATGCTAAGTGAAATAAGCCAGTCCCAAAGGACAAACACTGCATGATTCCACCTAGATGAGGTACTCAGAATAGTCAAATCCAAAGACGGGAAGTAGAATGGGAGTTGCGGGGGCTGGAGAGAGGGAGGAATGGAGAGATACCATTTAATAGGAATAAAGTTTAAGTTTTGCAAGATTGAGAAGTTCTGGACGTAGTTTACACAACAGTGTGAACAGTACTGAGCTGTACACTTAAAAATGGTTAACATGGTAAATTCTGTGTTATATGTCTTTTACCACAATTTTTAAAAATCAAAAATCCTGAAAGGTACTTCCTGTGGATGTGCAATGGGCTTTCCGCAGCATTGCTTATGGCATGAGCACAGGGAAAGCCTTCTGCAGTATACATCAAGGTCCTTGACAAGTTCACACTCTGAATGCCGTCATTCTGCTTCGGGGACTCCTCCCAAGGGAGTAAGCCCAACTCAAGGAAAGGCTTTACTAACCAGCGTTGTTCATGTTAGCAAAAAGTTGGAAGCCAAGACTCTTGAAAAGCTTTGTGTGGTTAAATAAACCCTGAGCACCCACTGGCCAGAAACACATGCAGCTATGGAAAGTGTTGTTTCTCGAGACTACAGAGTGACATGCGGAAATGCATATAATGTTCAGTGAAAAAGAGAATAAGCCAAATTATATCTACAGCATGATCTCAACTATGCAAAATGGTCCCATGCCCAGGAATGAAAACACAAAACATTAATAGTGGTTGTCTGGGGTCATGAGTCCATGGAAGATTTAACATTTTTGTTTTTTACTTGTCTGGGTCTTCCGGGTTTTTGAATGAGTGAGTAGTCTTATTGGGAAGGTGCATGGTAGATGGGAACACAGTCAAAAATGATCTTTAGTGAAGGAAAAGAAAGGAAAGCAATTGCCTGCTACAGGTAGACCCTGGTGGAGGAGGCTGTTCAGGGAGTCTCACGTTAGCTACATGGTTCTTGCAATAACCAAATCAGGCAGCTGGTGTTGTGCTCCCATTTTGAACAGGAAAAAGTGAGGTTCCAGCAGGTTAGATAACTTGCCTTGGGTTTAGCAAATAAAAGTTTTTGGCCGGGCACGGTGGCTCCTGCCTGTAATCCCAGCACTTTGGGAGGTCAAGGCGGGCGGATCACGAGGTCAGGAGATCAAGACCATCCTGGCTAACACGGTGAAACCCCGTCTCTCCTAAAAAATACAAAAAATTAGCCGGGCGTGGTGGTGGGTGCCTGTAGTCCCAGCTAATCGGGAGGCTGAGGCAGGAGAATGGCGTGAACCCGGGAGGCAGAGCTTGCAGTGAGCTGAGATCGCACCACTGCGCTCCAGCCTGGGTGACAGAGCGAGACTCCATCTCAAAAAAAATAAAAATAAAAATAAAAAAAGTTTTGAAAGCCTCCAGGAATGGGTGTCTGGCCATTTTGAGGCAAGAATTTTCCCCCATGGAACTCTGCCCATCCACGTAAGAACAGGACTTGTTTTACAGATGTTTGCATCTGTCAATGCAGGGACCCCTGGCTAGCACAGCATACCCCATTTGGCCCCACAAACCTGTCCTTGTCTAGCTAGAGTGGAAAGAAGGGAGACAATGAGACCACTTGTGATGGAGCACTGCAGGAAGGGATTCATGCACTCACAGTGGAGTCACCGCCTCTACATTGCAAGAGAGATGGGAGGCACTGATCCCTGCCCTGGTGTCCTGCACTGTTCAGAGCTACAGGAGAAAAATGAGCAAAATCGCAAGTATGGACCCTTTCTGCCTGCCCCCTGCACAGGCACCAGACTCGGTAGGTTAGCACTAGTTCCTGCAGGGGCGTTCAGTGCTTTCTTTAAAAAAATAAAATAAAATAAATAAAAGACAAAAAAACCCGCTAATGGCTTGATATGAATTTCACTCATTATCTTCCCATAGCCCTTAAAACATCATTAAGTATTAAATTAGCAAGCTGAACTTCCTAAGAGGAGCAAGAATAATTTGAACTCTGGATTTTAATTACTTATCTTATAAACTTCTATCATGTGAGGTAGAGTGAAGAGCCCTGTCTACACCCCTGTGGACTTTCAAAGCAGCTATTTAAGATTTCATAAGACTATCCATTGTGACTACAGTGAATAAATTGTGGTCAAGGGAGTGTATCGATCAAACACCAGAAGGCTCCTCTCAGCTTCTGTCGCAATCTTGCACAGGAGAGAACTAGACCTAAACAGGAGGAAGAGTTGATAAGCAGTAAGCGAACGAATCTTGGTTCTGAAAAGAACAGCATCATATGTAAATTTCAATTTACATTTATTAGAATTTGCTCAGTAAATTGTGCTCTACGATGGAGTCAAGGCCAGATTGGGCTCTATTTCCACAACCCCCTAAGGAGTAGCTCACCAGTGTCCTAAGTGGCTGTTTCCTGGGTGAACATAGTACATATTTGCTGTCACGCTGGGAATACCAGTGAGAATCTCATGCATGGACAGAGGACATGATCATCTTTATGTTTGTAACCTCGGGCCTGGAACAGTCTCCTTTTGTGTTCACTTGATTCTGAAAGGTCAGTGTTTTAGAACAGGCTTTTCACATGGTTCACCAGGAGGCCAGTTAGATCCTGTAGTGAAAGGGCAAACTCATGGCACCCTTCTGCTTCTCAAGGCAGGATGCTGCAGGGGCAGTGAGGTAAGACGGTGGACACGTGGAGGAGAACAAAGGGGAGCCCCAGGGGCATCTGCAGCCAGGTGGAGCCGTTCAGCCTTCTGGCACACATCTGTTGGCTGGGTGGAGGTATGAGGGCGCAGATCTGAAAACCAAGTGGTGACCTAGGGAGGGAACAAGCGCTGTGCAGCATTGATGAAACTTAAAAGATGAAGTCCTGGTCCGGGCACGGTGGCTCACTTCTGTAATTCCAACACTTTGGGAGGCCGAGGCAGGAAGATGGCTTCAGCCCACGACAAAAAAAAAAAAAAAAACACAAAAAATTAGCAGGGCGTGGTGACATGTGCCTCTAGTCTCAGTTACTCGGGAGGCTGAGGTTGGGAGATCAGTTGAGCCTGGGAGGTCAAGGCTGCAGTGAGCAGAGATTGCACCACTGCACTCCAGCCTCGACAACAGGCTTTTGGACATAGCCTGCCTCAACAAAAAAAAAAAAAAAAAAAAAAAAAGATGGAGTCCTGCCTTTGAGTCTGGCTGGTGACCTCTCTGTGGCGTGGCATGTAGCCTTAGAGACGGGCTCCTAGGCATGGAGTGGGAGGACATGGCCATGGGCCGGAGTTGTGGGAGTGGCTGAAACCCAAGCCTAAGTGGCTTAAGGAAGTGAGAGCAACTACTGGGAAGGAAGTGGAGTAGGTGGCTGAATCCAAGCAAGAGAGAGAGACCTCAACCAGGGCCTCAGGGCATGGAACTAGGGTGTTTCTTTGCCTTTTCATGACCCCATCCTGAGACAGACTATGACTCTAGATCTCTATGATAGGGAGAGACCTAGACTCTACCCCAGCAACCCCAGGGGAAAGAGAAAGCATTTTCCCCCCAGCTTTTATACATCAGTCCTAGGGAAAGATTCTAATTGGCCTTGCCTGGTCACAAGGCCCTTCTCTTGGACTCCAGCATTAGCCTGAATTATGATTAGGAGGCCAGGGTCAGGTGCTCACCCTGCGAGTGAGGTGACAAGTACTGTGAGTGACAACCTTGTTAAAACTGTATGGCAGGAATCCACAGGAAATAAATGCAGGCCAAAATAACTGAAGCCCCACAAAGGGAGTACACTCCAAACCTGCTGCTTCGTTTGGTGATACCCATTGTTGGTACGTGCATTCACCTGTCTCTACAGCTGTGCACAGTGTGGCTATTGAGACGCTGAAATGTTGAGTGCTGGACCCTGAAACGCTGTGTGAGATGTGCTGTCAGTGTAAAGTGCATACTGGATTTAAAAGATTTAGTAGGAAAAACGAATGCAAGCTCTGCTATTATTTTTTAATATTGATTATATGTTGAAATAACATTTTGTGTATGTTAGGTGAAATAAAGTGTATTTTCAAAATTATACTCACCCATATAGCTTTACTTGTAAAAATGTGGCTTGTAGGCATTTGAAATTACATATGTGACTCATATTATATTTCTCTTCACACCGCTGTTCTAGACTGTGTTCATATTTCTACCTTGGGGGTATTAATCCTTAAGTCACTATCCACTGGGTCATTAATTTTGTTTTCCTTGACATTATTTCCTCAGACTTCAATGTGCACCCCTGTTTGAGTGTTGGGGGTTTCAGTGAGTCATTGTTTGCCCTTCGTGATTCCTAGACAATTCTCCTAACTTGCTTAGCCTGTCTCACGAAGGCCTCGACCGCGGGTAGAGCTGGAACCACCTGAGATTCGAGGGGAAAAGAGTGAGTGATAGGTGTCACAACTTTTGGAATCTCATTCTTGGATCCTATTTGTGAAGGTTTGCATGTCTCCATGAAAAGCACTAGCATTCCGAGTTGCTTGTCTGTGTTCTTACACATTTTGTTTTTACCTCATTGTTGACCCATCATGCATTTATTCCACAATCCAGATGTGAGAAAGCACTTCAGAGCCTAATCAAAATGGCAGCTCTTTGCCCTCTTGTTGCTCTCATGTTTATCTCCCTCCATTCAGCCTTCTGTCTGTCCTTCCATCCATTCTTTTATCAAGTTGTGACAGCCCCTAGTATGAGCCAGGCATAGGGCCGAATTCAGCAGTGAGGCAACCAGGCCCATTCCCCAAACTCACAGGGCTAGCAGATGGTAGCACCAGCTTCAGCTTTGCTGCATGTCTGATGAATCACTGGCTCTTGACCAACTTTCCCCAAAACTCTTGGAGGAAAAGTGCACAATGCCTAGTACAGAGGGTCTCAGCCCACTCAGCTTGAATGGGGAAGGTTAAGGTAAGGGTTGGAGTCCGTACTGCCTTCTCCCAAGGACTCCTCTGAGAAATAACCCCTCGAAATAACCCCCCTCCCTCCAAACACATTCTACTTATCACATCTTCCAGTAATACATTTTGATTAGAGGGATTGGAGCTAAGAGCCCTACTTAAGCAAAATTAAGGAGCTTTGTCTAAAATTGACATATTGAGAGAAACCCATCCAAAACCAGAACAGAAAAATGGATCCAGCTCTCTCTGGCAATTACAGGTAACTCTCCCTGTGGCATGTAACTGCCCAGTAAAAGTCAGACAAGACCATCCATTAGGATTTAAGTGTCACGTGTTTAATTCTGCTTGCTAATTAGTAGCCTTTCTTTTCCTGAATTAAACGTGTGGTTAATTCTGGTTGAGAACTGTTTCGTTACATGACTATCCACATTCCCGAGCACAGGCTCCCAATGCTGTCTGCTTTCTCACAAGCCCCCGGTCCTTGGTGCAGATCCAGTTAGAGGGGACCTGTGTTACCTGCTGGTTGGGTGTGGAAAAAGTATTCTTTGATAAGCATTTAAATGTTCATTTAGATCTAATTGGAAGTAAATTAGTAAAGACTCAGGGTAAAGAAAAGAAAATATTTTTCATTCAGACTTTGAAATTGATTTTTCAAAATTTGATGTTTATAAAGAAAAGAAGTGGAAATAATGCTCACAGAATTCAAGCCATGCGGCACACTCCGAGTGCATTGCATCTGCTTTAGCAGCTCGGACTTCGGAAGCAATGTAGAGAGAATGTGTGTATGGGCGGGGTGGGGGCGGGGGCGGGGGCATGTGTTTAGCAGAATCATAACCCCTGTGAATCAAAAGGAAGCACCTGTGGTGCCAGGGAAGGACCAAACATGAAAAGAGAGAGGTGTCCACGCTGCTTGCACCCTGACCTTTTCAGATGAGCTATGAGTCATTTAAAAATTTCAGAGCAGGTAGTAAGACAGCACCTGGGTGAGGAAGTAGGGCAGGTGATGGAGAGTGGTAGGGCGTGCATTTCTGCCAGAATTGGGAGTGGCTGGTGCGGCATGGATAGGACAGGCTGTCCAAGCACAAGCTTAAGATGTTGTCATTCCTGGCCGGGCACAGTGGCTTACGCCTATAATCCCAGCACTTTGGGAGGCCGAGGTGGGCGGATCACCTGAGGGCAGGAGTTCGAGACCAGCCTGGTCAATATGGTGAAATCCCATCTCTACTAAAAATACAAAAATTAGCCAGGCGGGCGCCTATAATCCCAGCTACTTGGGAGGCTGAGGCAGGAGAATCACTTGAATCCAGGAGGCGGAGGTTGCAGTGAGCCGAGATCACGCCATTGCACTCCAGCCTGGGCGACAAGAGTGAAACTCCTTCTCAAAAAAAAAAAAAAAAAAAGATGTTATCATTCCCTGAGATCGCCCCTGAGCTTTCATTTGTTGAAAACATTTGCTGAGCCCTTCCATATAGTAGATGGCAGGGACATGGAAATAAAAAGCTCAGTCCTTGCTCTCAAGGAGCTGGCTAATGAGAGAGCAGCCCAGTGGATTGTCAGTCAGTGTGGTGGCTGCCCTCAGATGTGGCCATGGGGCTTCCTGGGTCCATATTTAGGAACAGGCCAGAGCAGGCCACTGCAGTGACTTGGTAACCATTGGATAGGTCACTAGATATGTGTTTCAGGGAGGGTTCTAATCGTGAAAGGCCACTGCCTCCAAGAGTGGGAGCCTGGCCAAGTCTCCGCAAATGGGTGGCGTGAAAACACGCTCCTGTTAACCTGGGCTGCATGACCACAGCAAGTGTTTCTGTGCACCCGGCGTCTGCTACAGGGCAGGCCACAGTTTACTCTTGAACTTCGCTTTCCTTCAGTTCTCACCAAATGACTCTTTGTCCCACTGAAACAACCACATGTGTATATTTTGTGATCTGTAACACTTGGTCTCTCTTATGTCTGCTTCGGAGAGCTCAAGCTGCCTCCTGGCATTGAAGAAGAAGCACATTGCCTTAATTTTGTGTATTTGGCCATTATCAGCTGTAGGCAAGTTGGAAAACTGGTTGTAAAACATCCTTTAGGAATCTGGAAGAAAAAGTCAGTACTCAAGAGAAGGAAATGATGCAGCTCTTTATAAAACATGATTCAGTGTTAACCAGTTTGTTTGCATGATAGTCCTAGACAAAGAGGCCAGGGGTTAAGTCATGGAAAAGAGGTCTCGTTGCCTCTCTTTTGCATCATATCAGGGACTTTGCTGTAATTTCTAGTTCCTTCTCACTGTGAAAGCTACAGGCCATCTGACTCAGCCTCTGTCTTCAGGGATGAGGATGCTATCCATATTTTAAAACCGTGACCAGCAAGACGTAGAGAAAGAAAGTGATTTGCCAGGCTGGTAGGTGGTGATAATGGTTAGACTGGAATTCGAGTCTCTTGCCCTTGTCTCTCCCTTTGTCATCTGCTTTAATGCTTAAAAAACTGCAGAGAAAAACAAACTCCTTCCAGCGTGCACTCTCACTTCTATTAGTTACTTTAATTTCCTCGCTGAGCAGAGAAAGCATTGTCACACTAAAGTTTTTGCTGTGAGGGTCTCTGTTTCCAGTGGTCTCTGTGTTCCCTTTCGTTATGGGGAAGGCTGGCCTGATGTGGTGGGGCTGGAAGAGTTAGGGGTGCTGAGCAAGGAGCAATTCAGAAGGTGGCGGGGAGTTCCCAGGACTGCACATAAAAATTAATTACAGAAAAGAAATACATCATTAACGTCAGATCTCACAATAGGTCCCAGTGTGACTATTATGTGAAATTAATTACTCCCTACTTTATTTTTTTAATCACCTTCTCCGTACTCTGAAAATAGTCCTAATTACTGACATTAGTTGTTTAAGTCATTAAGGGTGATCATGTTACACGTCAGTGTGCACGCCCCGTCCTGTTTATTTGGATTTAAATATAGCAGCCCTTGCCCTCCATAGTGTAATTTTCCTGCTCAATAAGATATTTAGTAAAACTAAGTAAGGTTGCATAATCAACGCCTCAAGAATATAAGTTGTTGGAGTAAAATAATAAAAACACATGCATTTGTCTGGGCACGGTGGCTCACGCCTGTAATCCCAGCACTTTGGGAGGCCAAGGCAGGTGGATCACTTGAGGTCAGGAGTTCAAGACCAGCCTGGCCAACAAGGCGAAACCCTGTATCTACAAAAAATACAAAATTAGCCGGGCATGGTAACATGCGCCTGTGATCCTAGCTCAGGTGGCTGAAAGGCATGAGAATCGCCTGAACCCGAGAGGCGGAGGTTGCAGTGAGCCGAGATCATGCTACTGCGCTCCAGCCTGGGTGACAGAGCGAGACTCCATCTCAAAAAAAATAGCATGCATTTGTGATGGAAAGACCACTGCCTCCAAGAGTGGAAGCCAGGTCAAGTCTCTGTGGTCGAGATCTTTTGTTCAGTCCTTTATTCCAGAAAATATGCTTCAGCCCTGGGAATTGAAAGTGAGGAAAACAAGTCAAACCCAGAGCTCATAGAATAGTGGGATAGATGGGCATTAAATGGATAATCACCTAAATCAGTGTAGAATATCACCTTGTGATGGGGAGTTCGGTCCAGTCTAGGGGACAGGGGTGGCCCTTCGAGGAAGTGGATGGATTTGAACTTAGACCTGAATGGTGGGAAGGGAGTAGGAACCAGTGACGCCAGGGGAGCGAGCAGAGCTTTTCAGGTAGAGGGAACAGCATAGAAGGACACCTTGGGTGGAGAGGATGGGAAATGTTCCTTGAGGGGTGGTTAGAGGTATAGGTGCAGATTACCAAGGCCCTGGTAGTTTTGCCAGAAGTGCAGTGGGAAAGCGGTAAGGGTGGGTGGGTTGGTTGGTTGGTGTTAACTTTTTATTTAGAATCATTTCAAACTTAAGAGAAAAGTTGTAAGAATAGGGCAACTAGCTTCCTTATAGCCTTTGCTAAGAATGTTAACATTTGATCACAGTTGCCTATCATGTTCTGTATTTATATTACTGTTTTTTACTAAACCATTTGAAGGTAAGTTGCAGATATGAGGCTTAAGGACACTTTCCTGTGTATGTATCCATGATTCAGTCATCAAAAGAAGGCAATTAACACTGATACAGTATTTCTTTCTAATGCTTGGTCCCCTTTGGAATTCCACAGATTGTCCCAATAATGTCCTCTACAGATTCAGGATCCAATACAGGATCACACGTTGCATTTCGTTGTCTTCTGGTGTTTAGTTTCTTCCTTCTGGGATGGTTCTCTAAGTCTTCACTTGTTTTTTGTGACCTAGATGTTTTGGAAGATTACAGGTCATTTCCTTCATAGAATGACCCTCAGTTGGGGTTTGTCTTATGTGTTCTAATGATTAGATTCAGATTCTGTACTTCTGGCAGGAATATCAGAGTGATGCAGTGTATCAGACGACCATGCTGTTGATTAGTCCCATGACTGGTGATGTTAACTTTGATCTCTTGATTAAGGCGGTATCTGCCAGGTTTCTCCGCTGAACTATTTTTCCTTTTAATTATTATGTTGTGGGAGATATCCTGAGACTATGTAAATATATTGTTTCTCATCAAGCCTCACCCACTAGTTTTAGTATCCATTGATTTTTCTTGCTTGAAACATTACTATGGTGGTTGCCAAATGGTAAGTTTCTAATTCAATCCTCCCTTCTACGTGTGTTAGTTGGCAGTCTACTTGAAGGAGGAGCTTTCCTTCTCCTCCATCCATTCATTCTTTGTTTATTCTCTATATCAGTATGGGTTTGTAGATTTCTTTTATTTGGTGGATTATAATTACAGTTTGGGTTCTCAGATTGTCCCAGATTTGGCTGGGGAGAGCTCTTTCCAGCTGGCTTCTGACGTGTCCGCATCATTCTTTGAGCTCTTCTGACTTTCCAGGCTCATTCTGTACTTTCCTTCCTCCCCACTGGACTTAGCATGGTTTTTTTTTATTGTTTGTTGTTGTTGTTTGTTTGTTTGTTTTGTTTTGTGTTTTGAGACAGGGTCTTGCTCTTTTGCCCAAGCTGGAGTACAGTGGCTCATTGCAGCCTGGAACTCCAGGGCTCAAGCGATCCTCTCACCTCAGATTCCCTACAGGTACACACCACCACCCCCAGCTAATTTTTTTTTTTTTTGAAGACGAGGTCTCACTTTGTTGCCCAGGCTGGTCTCGAACACCTGGCCTCAAGGGATCCTCCCATCTCAGCCTCCCAAAGCACTGGGATTATAGCTGTGAGCCACCATGCCTGGCCCAGCCTGGCTCTTTTCGAGAAGAGTGAGGCACTGAAGGGTTCCGAGCTGCTCAGTGGCCTGATCTGATTGGCATTTCTAACATATTACTGTGTCTACCCTTGAGGAGCACATTGAAGAGAAGCAGGAGACAAACCGGGGAGAACACTTGGAAAACTTTAGGGTGTAGCTCAGTCTGCTGGCTTGGGCTTGATATTCATAGTGCAGACAGAGAATGGGATGGATTTAAGGTAGATTTTGAAGCTGGAACCGACAGAATTGTGATGGGTGGGATGTCGGGGAGAACAGAGGTGTCCTTTTCTGACAAAAGAAACACAAGGGGAGGAGGGGAGCCGCCTTGGACAGGGAAGATGGAAGGTTCTGATTCGGGCCTGTGCAGCTTGAGAGTTGTTTGTCAGCCAGGCAGTCATGTGAGGGGCAGGTGGGCTCAGGGGTCTGGGACACAGGAAGGAGGCCTGGGCTGGAGATGCATATCTGAGAAGGGTGAGATTTGACCACACACCTGGGGGCCTCTTCTACAGGTATTGAATCAGGCTGTCCTGGGTAGAAGAGTGTGTCCTTCAACTCATATTCTGCCTTGTTTTCCCTTTGCAATGCTTGGCAGATGCTTGGCATTTTCACAACAGATATGAAAGCCTTTGGGCATGTTTTCTGGGTCTGGCTGTTGGTATGTGTATCAAGAAAAAGAAATGTAAACAGATTACCTCTCTGCACCATCCTATGACTACCAACCCGGTGGACTGGGGAAGATGTCAACAGGAATTGTCACTTTTTTTGTATTAAGGGATCTGTGTTAAGAAAAGAATGTGTGTATATGTATGTATACATATGTATGTCTATATGTAGTATTTAAAATCTTTGCTGTCAAAAAATACATTATGTCAAAATTAAAATTGATAAGGGGTAATTAAAAATAGATTGTGGATAAAGAATTTATGATGAGGAAACTATAATCATAGCATTCTCACAACCTATCGGATGGGTAAAAGGAAAAAAAAGAATACATCTCAAAGAAAGCTGTAGTCAGAGCTACTGCTAAGTAGATGCGTAGTTCACAAACACAGTGGTTTTGTTGTCTGATCAGACCTCGGAAGGGGATCTGGCTTCTATGCAGTAGGTTCAATCATTTCTGTAGATACAGATGTTGTTTGTTTTGGCATTTTTGGTAATGTTTACTTGAGGGTTGGTTGGGGTTTTTTTTGCCTCTAAATCAGAAACAGCTGATATTCATCGGGCTGTATTTAACTTCTGCTTTTGTCTGAAAAGCAAAGTTGGAGGGTTTCATTGCCTCGTAGCTTAATTTTTATTTCAAATCAAGGGCTGGTATTAACCATAGCTTGGCAGTGCAGAAGGCTGTGGTCAGGTCTGGAGGTCAGGGCATGGTGATCCAGCGGCTGCCTGACAGTCACTGCCCAGAGCTTCCCTTACCATAACCTTCCTCAGTAGACTAGAAAAGGTTTTCAGGTTTGCCCAGGTTATCCACACGTACCATGGCATAGTTTCTCCAGCAAGTCAGCACACTGCCGTTCCTTTTTCACACCTGAAACACGCATTGGGCCTGGCTTTTGCATATAGTTTGGCTTTAGATTCTATGTGGAAAGGGGCAGACAGTGCTCCACTTCCTGTTGATGAGCTCTTCCTTTTACGGGAGTTGCTCTTGTACGCCTCCCATTTTGTGTCCTCCCCAGACCAGACATGGCAGTGAGGGGGACGTATGTGAGTGACCCTCTTCTTACCCTGCCTTTTGGCAGCATTAATAACAGCTATGTATGGAGCTGTTAGTGAAATGGTGTTGTCGGGTCAGGAAGGAGTAAGCTCTGCCTTGCTATAAGGTCGTGAGGAAGGATGTATCTTCACTTCCGTGTCAAGAGCCTTAGCCCGTGCACAGCAGTGCCACCATGGCAGTCACCTATCCTCTTGGTTAATCTGATGCCTCTGAAAGCCTACTTTGAAACAACAGCCCGACCTTCTCACTGTCTAAAATAAGAGCTAGAGCAGAAGGGGCTAGTCTACCGCTAGTAGCACTTAGCACAATGACCCAAGTGCTGGAGCATCTCACACAGGTGTAGGAGTTGGATGCTCAGCCACACTGGTTCCATTCAAGCAAAAGAGGGCCATGGCTGCTAGACTCTGCTTCCTCTTCCCTGCTTTGATGGTGGGTTGCTTGGTTGATTAGTTGGTTGGTTGGTTTGATGGGAACCCCATGCAGTTACCTATGAGCCCTTTCCTGAGTTGCTATCTGTGTGTTAGAGAAAGAGATCCTGGCAGATAGAAAGATGTGCATATCAGTGGCCACACAGTCCGTGGGCCCACAGATCTGTGCCCCATGTTTGGAGGAGTGGTTGCTTTTTTCAACATCCTAGAGGGATGTGAAGCCCAGCTTGAGCGTCTCATGGGGAATTATATCTAATGGGTCAGAATGGCATGAGAATGACTCTAAATAGCTTTTCTTTCTTTCTTCCTGCTAGTCTAAACACAGGAATGAGAAATAAATGCTAACGAGTTGCATCCTTAAATACAGTTGGACCATTTTCACGCAATGGTGAAGACATGTTTTTTTGTGCAAATATTTTATATCTTTGCCATTTTGACCATTCTTATTTTAGTTTCTTCCATCTGTGAGCTCTAATGTATATATGTATATAATTTATATAGCCCTCCTTGCATTCCACTTTGTAGTGTGAGGATTGCTGCAGATCTCCTTCTCTCTCTCTCATGGACAGTGTCCTCCATCAGTATAAGCTTTTGACCTAAAGCACACCTTAATTTGTCACGCTGCCAAATCCAAGCCAAACACAACTCAGCACTTAGAAATTGTCTGAAATGTGAATGAAAATATTTCTATCATATCGAGACTGGGCTAATTGTGAAAGCATTATGCCGAGATGTCATGAAGATGGGATGTGTAGTGAGCTATCAGTAGCTAGATGCTTGGTGGGAATTTGGTTGACTTACATGATTATGAATTAGCATCCTATTTCTCTGTGAGTTATTCATAATTCAGAGCCCATGTGGGATACCTTTTATCTTTTCGGCTTGTTGATTTGTATGTTGGTTTTGTAGAGGAAGAGTGCTCATCTGAATGTCAGAAAAACATTTTGTGGTTATTGTTTTAGTTGTTTACCAAATTACCTTAAGTTCTAGACTGAGTAGTCCATCAGGATAAAATATTAGTATATTTAAATTGCTCACAAATTTCCCTGATCTCTTCCAAAACTGTGTGATATAATAATATTCGGATATAAATAAAGCCTCTCCCGCATTTAATGGTGCTGGGTTCAGCATTAAGTTTCCATACGATTAGCCAACAACTCCTTGGAATAAAAAGTCCACGAGAACCTTACCTTGGGACACGTGGGAAGTGTCTTCCTTGAAACTCTGGAGCCATTTCTGAGGCACCAAGGAACATGGCATTGAAAAATGGTTGACAAGTCTTTTATATTGCTTGAACATCTACATAACAAAGAAAAAATGGGGCACAACACCCCCTTAGTCTTTAAAGTGACTGTTAAGTATTTCTGGTAAGTGTCAACATTTGTAACCAAGGATTTATGTTGAAAATTTAGAGCAGCAGTTCCCAAACTTGTTGATTTCAGGCTTCTTTTACATTCTTCAGAATTATTGAGAATCCCAAAGAGGTTTTGTTTATGTGGGTTTATCTATGAGTATTTATCACCTTATAAATGAAAACTGAGAACATTTAAAAATGTTTATTAATTCATTTAAAAATAATAAGTGCATTGCATTTTAACACAAAAATAATAACTACGTTTCCCCAAACAGTATAATTTAGTGAGAAGAGTAGCATTGTTTTAATTTTTGCAAATCTCTTCAATGTCCAGCTTCACAGAAGGCAAATATCACGTGCCAGTGTCCTCTGGGAAACTCCACTGTACATTTGTGAGAAAATGAGATTGAGAAAGACAGATAATGTCTTGGCTTTATTATGAAAATAGTTTAGACTTTATGGATCCCCTTAAAATGTCATGAGCTCCCAAGGGGTCACCAGACCACACTTTGAGAACTGCTAATACAGAGTAATTAGTTGAACTGGAATATTCTTGAACATAAGAACCCTGAACTCAACTACGAATCTGTTCTCTGTCCATGAAGTTGGGAGTCCGTGGGAGGAAGCAGGTCGTGCTGCCGCCTGAGCCAGCATGCTCCTTTGGATGCATGTTCAACCTTCCCTCTGTACTGGGAACGTAGCCTGGACTCCTGTCTGCTTGTGTGGAGCTGAGGCCCCACTTACCTGCTATGTGTTCTTAGACTACTGCTGCCTGCACTGTTGACCTTTCGGAAGCTCACAATTCACCTGGTTCCCTGACCGGTGACTGCTGACATAGTCTACTTTGTAGGACACCTTTGCTCAAGTCGGGTAACCTGGCCACACCAATCACCACCATGACTTCTAGTTAAAATAAGAAGGTAAGCTCTTAAACACTCAGAACCCTTGTTGAAAATCCACCTTCTGACCCCATTTCAGAGAAGAATTTGGAAAGGGGGCAATTCCAAGTGCCTGGTGTTACTGACTGGATCTCCAATGCACATGCAGGAAGTCATGCTTCCATTTAACTTGGAAACTCAAGGAGCTCTGTCCAGGAAGGACAACTGCTGACTTTGGGAACAAGGAGACTCCTATTTGGACCATACTCTCTAAGTTCTGGAAGGTCACACCTGAGGCAGTACTATAGATGGAAACCTTGAACTACCTCCCGCTAAAATTGTTACCAGTCCCAAGTGCTTGCCTAGACCCTGGCCCTGATATCTCTTTATTCCTGTCTCTTCACTGATTTTGACGCCAGCCTGGACCCAACCCTCAGCCTGACAGCCCAGGGTGACCCGCCCCTCTTCAGTCAATGTTCATGCTCAGCAATTCCGTTTATGAATGGATGGTTTCTCTGTTGCTCTGGTCCCTGCAGCTGTCTGGCCACACACTCTGCAGGGCCCTAGCTGTGCCATCAGTGAGGCCTGAAAGATTGGAAGTGGAGTGAGCACTGTGGCAGAGGAGTTGAGGGGGTGATGGGGAGAGAACAGTTGATCAGGGCAAAGCATTCTTACTCATCTTCTGCATTTCTCCTTGGATACTCCTGACACAGTTTGTCAAGAGCAGGCGACTCATGAGTCATTTGTTGACTGTGTGATTTTATTCCCCTCCCTGTAAGAAAAATACTAGAGAAGTAGAGCTAAGTTCACTTTTGTTTTATCTACCCTCTTTCTGCTTTTCCCAGCAGGCTTTGCTGCCATGAGCAAGCCCAGATATGTCCATCATGGCATCTTTTTCTTTGTCCAGCAGTCTCAGAGTTAACCTGGCATCAGGAGCACAAAAAAGCAACGCAGATGTTGGGTGCTTTCTTTCCAAAATACCATGTCTGAACCTAAATGTGGGATGATTAGGTCACTCACTTGCCAAGTAGCATATACATCACAAAATATTCAGAATTATTACAGTGCCACAGGGAAAGGCAAAGAACATCTAGTAGTAGTGTAGGATCTTCATTCATTTATTCAACCAATCATTCAGAAGTATTTATCAAATGCTGTTATGCACTAGATGATACATCTGTGAACAAAACAAAGATTCCTGCTCTCATTTTACTGACATTCTATCCAGCAAGTAACAAATCAACATTCTCCAAGATTTGGGGTGAAGTGAATCTTTTATCTAGGTTCTCAATGGTCATTTTAGGAGTTGTAGCTTCTATACTCTTTCTAATTTGCTGTTTATTTGCTCAGTCCAGTGAGTTGTGTGAGCGGGGAAAACAATTCTTGTTCTTTGGGGTGACATTAAGCACACCATTTTAAAGAGAGTCATTTACAGGTTAGTTAATTTATTTTGTAGCCAGTGTAATATTTGGTCACCTGACAAATAGCTGAATTTGAAGTGGATGCTCCAAATCCCCTGTTAGGAGGACTGAAACATAGTCTACTGTGACCTAAAACAGCGTCTTCCTAAATGGTCAATATTTGTTTGTTGCGTGCTTGAAGAGAATGTTTATTCTCCCATTATTGGGTATAATATTCCATATTTGTCCATTAGATCTGTGCTGCTCAATTTTATTTATCCTAATTGTTGTGTTGCCTGATATATCACTTATGAGATATGTCAGAAATTTATGACTATGATAGAGTTGTCAGTTTTTCTTTGAGGTATGGTGCTTTTTGCTTTATATAATTTGAGGCTATATTATTAGGTGCATGTAAGTTTAGGATTATCTTCTCTTCCAAGTAAGTTGAAACTTTTATCTTTGTTTTGTGGCCCTCTCTGATGTCAAAGTTATGCTTATATGCTACTAAGTTATGTTTATTGCCTTAAAGTCTGTCTGACATTAACAGATGTATGGTAGATTCCTTTTGTTAGTATTTACCTGGTATTTGTTTTTTCTCCTTTTACTCTTTAAGTTTTCTGTTTTTAGATTTCAGATGTGTTTCTTGAGAACAATGTTTGCTAGGTTTTAAAACATCCTGTGTGATGACTCTTAAATCTTTTTAACTGGAGAGATTATATGTTTATTATGATTACTAAAGTACTTTTTGTTTTGTTTTGTTTTTGTTTTGTAGACAAGGTGTCACTTTGTTGCTCAGGCCAGTCTCACAAACTCCTGGGCTCAAGTGATCCTCCCTCGTAGGTCTCCCAAAGTGCTGGGACTACAGACATGAGCCACTGTGCTCAGCTGAAGTACTTATTTATTTTTAACTATTTTATATTATAGTTGGTATTTGTCCCATTTTTTTCTGCCTTTTTTTCCCCTTTATTACATTTTTCCTCTACTAATTGGAACTTCTGTTCAAATTAATTAATTAAATTTCAATTTAATTAATGAAAATTTTAAGTTAATTTTTCTCCTCCCAAATATGAAGACCTTAGAATGATTTATTACTTACATGTTACTGTTATCCAGTATTATTTTCTATGAAGCACACTATATTTCCTCACTTTTTTGTCTTGCCTCTCAAAATTCCCATCTGGGACAATTTCCTTTTGCCTCAAGGGCATTATTTAGATTTACTTTAGTGAGATTTTGTTAGTAGCAAACTTTTTTCTTCATCTAAAATATCTCTATTTTATCAATTGTTGAAAGATAGTTTTGCAGGGTATACAAATCTAGGGTGATGGTGATGTTCTCTCAGCACATTGAAGGGATTCTTTTCCTGTTGTCTGGCTTCCATGGTTGCTCTTGAAAGTCCTGCTGCCCATCCAGTTGCTGTTCCTTATTAGATAATCAGTGTTTTCTCTGGCTGCATTTAAGATGATTCCCTTGACTTTGGTAATCTGCAGTGTCATGGTGATTGTCTCCAGGAATAGATACATTTTAAATTATTCTGCTTGGGGTTGTTAGGCTTCCTGAATCTAAGAATTGGTGGTTTTCATAAATTTTGGAAAATTTTCTTTTGAATATTTCCTAGACCCCATTCCCTCGAATATCTCTTGCTAGAACTTGAGTTTTGCATGTGTTAGGTCACTGTCTGTTGATTTTACTCTCCCTTTTATATTTTCTGTCTTTTGTCTCTGCATTCTGCAATCTGGATAATTCCTTCAGATCTGTGTTAAACTTTAGTAATTCTCACTCTACCTGTGTCTCAGCTTCTTTTTAACCAATCTATTGGGGTTTTTAAGAAAAATTAATAAATTCTTATTCCAGAAATTATCTTTTCTTCTTTTCTCAAATTTCAAATTGCTTGGTCTTCATTTTCTAAAAATAATCCCTTCTTCCTTGCTTTATTTTTAAGCCTCATGTTTATATCTTTAAACATATTAAACATACTTATTTTATTTTATTTTTTTGAGATGGAATCTCATTCTGCACCCAGTCTGGAGTGCAGTGGTGTAATCTCAGCTCGCTGCAACCTTCTCCCAGGTTCAAGCGATTCTCGTGCCTCAGCCTCCTGAGTAGCTAGGATTATAGGCATGCACCATCACACCTGGCTAATTTTTGTATTTTTTTTTTTTTGCAGAGACAGGGTTTCACCCTGTTGGCCAGGCTGGTCTCAAACTCCTGACCTCAAGTGATCCACCTGCCTCGGCCTCCCAAAGTTTTGGGATTACAGGCGTGAGCCACCATGCTTGGTCTAAACATGCTTATTTTATAACTGACATATGATCCTCAAGTATTTGAGGTCATTGTGAATCTGATTTTGTTCTTTGTTGTTTCTGCTGGATCCCATCCAGGGTGACCTTTTTCCTTGTACATTTGGTGAAATTTGACCAGGATCCTAATCCTTGGAACTTGATCTGTGAGAATTTTTTGAAGGCTGGGTTAAAGTTACCTCTGCAGAGGATTTGTGTTTGTTCTGCTACACACCTGCAGGCTGTCAACCTGAAACCACTCGAAATGATCTCTTAAGGATTTTCAAACCACGCAGTGGGAATTTGGGCCTGAACCTTGTGTGAAGGTCAGTTTGGGACTAGGACTATTTGGGAGAGGCTAACTTTCTCCTTGGCATTGAAAAAGGCATGTTCCCTTCCTGTCCCTTCCGTGTGGGCGGGTTTATTCCTCATGTCCATTAATACTGAGCACATCCTTCCTTTGAGGTCGAGCTTTACAAGCAAGGGTCTCTTCTTAGGCATACCCCTCCCCTCCAAGGATGGGCTTCATCTCTGGCCTCCTGCCTTATCCACACAATATCAAAAAGGCTTGGGCCGGGGCTCCCCTCCTGTGAGCATGCTAGTTCAACCCTGTTACTCTCAGGACCCCACTTCCTCTCTGTGTTTGGCCCCAGCAGACTCCTGACTTCTTTTTTTTTTTTTTTTTTTTTTGAGATGGAGTCTCGCTCTGTCGCCCAGGCTGGAGTGCAGTGGCACGATCTTGGCTCACTGCAAGCTCTGCCTCCCGGGTTCACGCCATTCTCCTGCCTCAGCCTTCTGAGTAGCTGGGACTACAGGTGTCTGCGACCACGCCAGGCTAATTTTTTGTTTTCAGAGATGGGGTTTCACCGTGTTAGCCAGGATGGTCTCAATCTCCTGACCTGGTGATCCGCCCGCCTTGGCCTCCCAAAGTGCTGGGATTACAGGCGTGAGCCACCGCACCTGGCCCAGACTCCTGACTTTCATATTAGCTCAACAGTTATTCAGAAGTTTCCTATTCTCTTATTCTTTTTAGCTGACTTCAGTAGGAGGCTGTCCAGGGTATACACTGAAACCACATGCAGTTAATAAGTGTTCTGTATTGTTAAGGCCAAGGGGCCCCATCTTTTTTCTTACAGGGACCAACTTCTCTGCTTAGTTCTCACCCCACCCCTCATTTTTTTGAGACAGGGTCTTGCTCTGTTGCCCAGGCTGGAGTGCAGTGGCACGATCTTGGCTCACTGCAACCTCTGCTTCCCAGGCTCAAGTGATCCTCCTACCTCCACCTCCCGAGTAGCTGGGACTATAGATGCCTGCCACCACACCTGGTGAATTTTTGTGTTTTTGTAGAGATGGGGTTTTGCCATGTTGCCCAGGCTGGTCTCAAACTCAACTCAAGCAATCCTCCTGCCTTGGCCTCCCAAAGTACTGGGATTACAGGCGTGAGTCACCACTCCCAGCCTTCTCTGCTTAGTTCCTCTAGCTGAGGGTGATATAGGCAGGTCCCTTCTTCTTCCATGTTGTCTGTAGTTGGGCACACACCCCCAACCAGCACTATGGTGTGAGGGGCTGTGCATGTACCAACAGATATGCTTGTGGCAAGCGCTGATGCTTCAGTCCCATCTAGGTGAAGATTCCTGTGGGGAGTCAATGCTTCCTCTCATCTCTGAATTCAGCTGTGTGCCCTCTAGTGGCACCTTGGACTTTGGACCAGTCAAGTCTTTTATCATTCAGAAGATCAATGACTTTTGTGCTTTCCTGTTAACGCTGTTCTGACAGCCTTCTGCCAGCTAGCCTGGGTGTCCCATCACACTGCCCTGGGCAACCTGTTGCCTTCTCTTCAATGCCATGCTCTAAGGCAGGGGTTGGCCAACCACTGCCTGTGGGCCACATCTCACCCACTCACCCACAGCTTATTTTTGTAAATAAAGTTTTATTGGAACACAGCCACACCCGTTCATATTACCTTTGGCTACTTTCCCACTGTGGTAGCCCATCAAACTGAAAATATTTACCATATCTCACTTTGCAAAGAGTTTTTCAGCCTGGCTTTAAGGTCCTGAGCTAGGATGCTTGCTGCCCACCTCTTCTTCTTCCTTGTTTTTTTTTTTTTTTTTTTTAAAGACAGTCTTACTCTGTCACCCAGGCTGAAGTGCAGTGATGTGATCTCTGCTCACTGCAACCTCTGCCTCCCAGATTCAAGCGATTCTTGCACCCCAGCCTCCTGAGTAGCTGGAATTACAGGCACATGCTGCTGTGCTTGGCTAATTTTTGTATTTTTGGTAGAGACAAGGTTTCTCCGTGTTGGCCAGGTTGGTCTTGAACTCCTGGCCTCAAGTGATCTGCCCGCCTTATCCTCCCAAAGTGCTAGGATTACGGATGTGAGCCACCACGCCTGGCCTGCCTACTTCTCTCTTCTTAACTCTTCCCTAGAGCATCCTGTATCCAGGCCTTCACCTCCTCATTAACCACACTTGTCACCTCTTCAGCTCCAGCGTTGCTCCACTGAACTTTTCCTGCTGTCCTCAGCTTGCTCATGATTTGCCCTTTGAAACACTAGAAATTCATCTCTGCATGCTGAAAGACATTGTAGTAGCTTGCCCTTGGAAACCCTTACTTAATTTAGTTAGACGCTTAAAGTCTCTCCACTCCACATCAGGGACCTCATTCCACTCTTCATGGGTCTTCTGTTGCAGACCCTTTGGGGGAAGGCAGATATCTTGACTCCATCCATTTACACATTCAGTCCAAATACACATTTCAAGCAGCAGATAGTCTTGGGAATGCAACAGCAACAACAAACTTGTAACACAGCAAGTTAAATAGCATTTAATGGCACTAGAGGAGTTCTCCTTTTGAGTCATCAGCTTGAGCAGTGAAGAATTAATTTGTACTGGAAACCATCACCAGCAAGTGTGTTTTGTGTAAGTGTTCACCAATATGCTTTCTGTGGCTGCAAGAGCACAGGCTGTTGATGGCCTTGTGGTCAGAAGTGTGCAACCTGGAATCAGACTGCTTAGTTGGGAATCCTTGCTCTGCACTGACTAACCAGTGGGCATTGGCAAGTCACTCTCACTGTGCCTCAGTTTCCTCATCTGGACAAAGGCAAACATGACAAAATGAGATAATATATTTTAAACTACTTAGAACCATGCCTGCAACCTAGGAAGCCGTCAAATGTAATTCATTATCATAATATATTATTTAATCTTTCTGACTTTGTCTTTCCTGCTGTAAAATGGAAATCATAATAACAAACTTTTATTTTAAGGAGTAACCATGATAGATTTAAAGCACCAAAGCAGGAGACACTGTAGGAGCCAAATACATGGTAGATAGATACCATTTTCTGGGGTTTCATTTATATTTGTTCTCTATCTCCCTTTTCCTACTGAGGCTATTTATAAATTCCTTTTTCAAAGGAAATGGTTTCTAGAAACATCTAGAACCTAGTGGCCATCCTCAGCATGGTGGATCTTTGGTAGCTTCTTACTGCCTCACTCTAGAGCTGAACACTGGATGAGAAGCCCAGAAAAGTTTGGTCTCTTGTCTGCTAACTCTGTTTACCAAGACTCAGCATCCACCTCCAGGAAGTCCTCCCTGATCCCTAACCCCCTACCACCTTGGTGCGTCTGTGGCATCCTGAGATCCTATTTGTCTTCTGGAGCAGAGACTGGTGTCATTCATCTGCATATCTATTGTGACTAACAGACTAAGTTCTAGTAAGTACCAAAGACTTCCTGGTTCAATGAATGAATAAATGAATGCCAGTTAAAATCTATTTGAAAACTGGCCAGGCGCAGTGTCTCATGCCTGTAACCCTAGCACTTTGGGAGGCTGGGGTGGGCAGATCACTTGAGGTCAGAAGTTTGACACCAGCCTGGCCAATATCGTGAAACCTCATCTCTACTAAAATTAAAAAAATTAGCCAGAAATTGCTTGAACCCAGGAGGCGGAGGTTGCAGCGAGCCAAGACTGTGCCACTGCACTCCAGCCTGGGCGACAGAGCGAGACTTCATCTCAAAAAAAAAAAAAAAAAAAAATACATATATATATATATATATATATATATATATATACACACACACACACACACACACACACACACACACATATATACATACACACATATGTGTATATATATATATTTTTTCAAATATATATATATTTGAAAACACACAAGGAAGCTACCTTAAGAAATTTGCAGTATGATTCATTTTCTCAATACAACAATACTGAATCTCACAAGAGCACTATATATTGTATCCCTTTTTTTAACCTATCTCCAAATTTCACAGTTAATGGAAATATGCCCAGAAAGTAACCCCCAAAGTATATGCCAACTCAGCTACATAGATAGTCCTTTAAACCTCTGTATTTTCTCCTTTACATTTTGTTGAAACACCATTTCATTTTCTTATGCTCTCTATAAAAATATTTTGTAACTACGATATTATAAAGTGCTTACTTTCATAGCAATGGAGCGGGGATTCATTTGTGAGTGGATTAGGATTGCAGTTTGAGCAGGGCTGCTGCACAGGTGTAATGGATGCACAAGTAAGCTCCAAAATCCCAACCGCTATCATACCTGAGCATCATACCTGCCCTGTTCCTCCCCATCATAACTGTCTGTAGCTTTAAAGGCTTAAAGACAGAAATGTCTTCCCATTTTGGTCAACCTGAAAAATAAGAGGGGCTTCTAGAAGCCTTTGTTCAGCTGGCAGTTTTATATATAACCAACTCTTTTTTTTGTTTTTTGTTTTTTTTTGAGATGGAGTCTTGCTCTTGTTGCCCAGGCTGGAGTGCAGTGGCGTGATCTCGGCTCACTGCAGCCTTCACCACCTGGGTTCGAGCCTTCTGTGTAGCTGCCTCAGCCTTCTGAGTAGTTGGGACTACAGGTGCATGCCACCACACCTGGCTAATTTTTTTATCTTTAGTAAAGACAGGGTTTTACCATGTTGGCCAGGCTGGTCTCAAACTCATGACCTCAAGCAATCCGCCTGCCTCGGCCTCCCAAAGTATATATAACCAACTCTTAATTGTTGAGCAAGTAGAGGAAAGTAATGGAGTACAACCCACATGATGGAGCAGAACAACGATTGGTCATGTTTGATTTTGCCATATGCGGAGCACCCCACATTGCCTTGTACAAGGTGGAGGCATAGTCTCTGCTTTACCCAAGAAGCTGAGAATTCTCATATAGCAACTACCACTTAAAAAGATAAAAATGGGCTGGGCACGGTGGCTCATGCCTGTAATCCTAGCACTTTGGGAGGCTGAGGAGGACAGATCACTTGAGGTCAGGAGTTCGAGACCAGCCTGACCAGCATGGTGAAACCCTGTCTCTACTAAAAATACAAAAATTAGCCAGGTGTGGTGGCGCACACCTGTAATCCCAGCTACTCAGGAGGCTGGGGCAGGAGAACCACTTGAACCCGGGAGGCGGAGGTTGCAGTGAGCTGAGATCACACCATTGCACTCCAGCCTGGGGGACAGGAGTGAAACTCCATCTCAAAAAAAAAGATAAAAATGAAGTAAACATCAGTTTTCTGCAAGCGTTCTCACAGCCCTGCAAAATGTGGCCAAGGCAGAGAATGCCCAGAACCCGGGGCCGTTTCCTCCAGGCTGTCTCCTATCCTAGAATTCCAGGGGCTCTCATGCCAGGCCCCACACCAAGGACCCAAGGAGACGGATGGGCCCCGGTGACTGTGGTGGGCCTCATGCTGGATCATTTGTCTATTAAGTTTCTATTTATTGAAAATGAATGTGGAATCCAAGACATACAACAGGTTGATATTTTTATCATTTTTAGGATGAAAAGCTTAAGCCCATGTGCTCTATCCATACAATACAGTGGAATATTACTCAGCCTTGAAAAGGAAGGAAATTCTGACGCATGCTACAACATGGATGAACCTTATGGGCGTTATGCTAAGTGACATAAGCCAGTCACAGAAGGACAAATGCTGCATGATTCCACCTACCTGAGTCACTTAGAGTTGTCAGATTCCTAGATACAAAAAGCAGAATGGTGGTTGCCAAACGCTGGGGAAAGCAGGCAATGGGGAGTTAGTGTTTAGTGGGTGCAGTTTCTGTCTGATGGTTGCACAATAGTGCAAATGGACTTAATGCCATTGAACTGTACATTTAAAGACAGTTAAAATGGTAAATTTTTAATTATATGTATTTTACCACAATTTTTAAAAATAAAATTTTTAAAAATTAAAAGCTTACACACACACACACACACACACACACACACACACACACACACACAGCATGTAGGGATCACACAGATGTGAGCATGATGCCCCAGTGTTGGCATGAGACAGTCGCTTTCCTTAGCTGGTTCCTACACAGCGCGGCTCCTGGACGCGCAGCTTGTCGAGGCTTGAAAGGCGCGGGCAGGGCTGCCTCCCCTTAGCTTTGTAGACCGAAGGTCGTTTACTTTGGCATTTTTAACAAAGATTTAAAGTTTCTGGAATTTGCCAGCCTGCTTGGTCCCGAGGCCCAGATTAAGCAGCATGCACTTTTTTCCTTAAACGCAGAACAATGGCAGACGGCATGAAAGCTTTCCCAGGGTTATTTTTCCCTTGAAGTAACAAAAGGGGAGACGGATGAGGAAAAAACACCCACATGGAATCAAATACCGCAGAAAGCAAACTTCAAGCCACGTGATATTAGCACAGAAGGGAAATGGGAGGATGGGTTAAAACCGTGTGAAGTGCTCAGAGTTCTGAAGTGAGGGCTCTTAAGCTATTTTTAGCCTCAAAAATGCTATAAATCCTGTTATCCCATTACACTCCAGTGGATCGAATTATTTGCTTTTCTCTACCTTTACCACTCTAATTTTTTTTTGTTTGAGTAAATGAGAGCAGGCCTTCTCAGAGGCAGCTGACATCAGACAGAGACTTCCTTTGCGGCCTCTCTGGTTCTGTTCCTCTCTTCCCCGTAGCTGGTATTTGTAGTGACACCTGGGAGCCACAGATTTGCTTAGCAACCTTTCTCCAGGGTGAACAGGGTATTCACAACTCCTGAACCAAGGCGTGTGGCTGGTATCATTTTGTGGGGCCAGAACGCATTGCGTGGAGAAATTCAGTGATGACCTGGTCCCCACGCCTGCTGCTCAGGGCCCCATCACCCTCGTGACTGTCAGTGGTGCTGCTTCCCACGTCTCCTAAGAGGGCTTCAGGAGAACGTAGAACGAGGTATCTGTCTCTTCCTTTCGGACCTGGCCTTTCCATTTGGCCATATGTCAGAATTTCCAGCTGCCCTAGGGGCCCAGGAATCTGTATTTTAGTTGCTTTCCAAATAATTCTGCTGCCCAGCTGTATTTGGAGACTATAGCCTTAAATCAGTGATTCCCCGTCAGTGGTGACTCATGAAGAGCTTAGATGTGGGCCTGGTGTGTGGTTGGTGGCAAGGGGAGTCTTTCAGATCCCTTCTGCTTGTTGCTGTTGGTGGCAGGAGCGTGCATGTTATGGTGGCTCAGGCCTAATCCCATCTGTTTGGGCATCTCGCCTGTCTGGAAAACAGGTCCCGGAGCCATGCACACCAAGCTCCTAGGGAAGGCAGAGAGCACTCCCCGACTCTTAACAAAGACATGTGGAGGTGGACGTCTGCCCTTAAGCACTCAGGGTTCAAGAAATGCTGCAAAGAACAAGAGCTGCAGCCACCAGGAGATGCAGGTGACTCCCATGGACCAGAAAAAGGACAGAAACATGACAGAAAACTGGTAGAAGAACCAAAGAGGTTTGGCATTTCACAGGGCACCTGACTCTGGAGCCCACAGTCACCCTCCTCGGGGCCCTCTCCATCAACGTCATGGATCAAGTTCCTCCTGATGACCAAGCCACCAAAGAGAGCTGATGGTTATGTTCAGTTGACTCTGCTGAGGCAGTCAGGGCAGTGTGATCTCCTCCTGGGAATTGCTGTATTTGAAATGATTGAAATAGGCTGGGCGCAGTGGCTTATGCCTGTAATCCCAGCACTTGGGAGGCTGAGGCAGGCGGATCACGAGGTCAGGAGATCAAGACCATCCTGGCTAACACAGTGAAACCCCGCCTCTACTAAAAATACAAAAAAATTAGCCAGGCGTGGTGGCAGGTGCCTGTAGTCCCAGCTACTCTGGAGGCTGAGGCAGAAGAATGGCATGAACCTGGGAGGCGGAGCTTGCAGTGAGCCGAGATCGCGCCACTAGAGTGAGACTCCGTCTCAAAAAAAAAAAAAAAAAAAAAAGAAATGGTTGAAATAAGAGAGCTTTCTGGAAGAGTTGCTTCTAAAGATTGTTTTTCTTTACAGTTGGAGCCATGCAAGCATTGGCCAAGCAGCCTTCAGCCTCCCCTCCCCTCAGGTGGGCTCACAGCCCCAAGGGTTTTCACGGGGGACCTTGTCACTTGAGAGTATCCTGTGAGTGTCATAGCACCCATTTTACACAGCACCATGTGCATTTTCTGATATGTTTTTGCACCCTGTGATTACTGTTCCAACCTTCATTGGTCAATTGAATATGGCGTGACTCATCACCGAAGCAGCTTGGCTTGGCATCCCTCTTAGGGAACCCCATCATTTGGCTCAAGTGCAGCCGTGTCTTCAGCCGGTGCATCCTTTTTATTTCATTTCACATACTGCCTTGTAAGAATGCCAAGGACCTTCTCTTGTACAATACCAGGGACCAAGTAAAATGAAATTATCAAACAGTAAACATGGCTGAAACACTACATAAAAAGTGCTGGAAACTTATAGTCTGGGGCCTGCAGAATTTATCAGTTACGTGTGGTATAGCTAATACCAGAGTGCTGTTCTTTGTAGGCCCCGTGGACCTGCCGTGATTGCAAAAAGTGGTGACGAGTCAGCATTCCCCTATGTCCACGGAAGGTTGTTTGGCAGCAGCTGAGACAAGCAGCCTGTGACAGAAGACAGCCTCCAGGGACCAGGTCAGTGCGTGTGGCCGTGCAAGGAGCAGTGGCCCTGGCTCCAGATGCTAGGGAAAGCTGGGCAGAAGGCAAAAAAATATAGAGGACTGTCCGAGGAGCTCGGGAGGGAGCCAGGAGTGAGGCAAGCAGCATTCCCTGACATTTCTGCCTAAGCAAGGGCTCTGCAGGCCAGGAGGAGACTGTCACCCACAACGGAATGTCCTTCTTTGGAAGCAGCTGAGGACCTGGAAAACCAGCAGTTCCTCTTTCCAGCGTTGGACAAGGACATGAGAAAGACCCACAGCAACAAGCTGGAGAATAGCTCCCTCTGTGACATTGAAGCAAGAAGAAAAGGCATGGAGAGATTTGGCTACTTTGTTTGTTCTTCTAAAGGAACACCTGGTTTTAACCGTCAACTGAAATGGCCGTGTGTGGTACATTAAGTTCAGTAAGAATATACACTTTCAGCTATCTGCTAACAGAATCAAGGTAACTTTGCGGTTTTGTTTCAAAAAAAGTTTTCTAATTTTGGTGGCATTGATTTTGTAGATTCTCACTGATACCCAACTATAAGGGAGAGATGTTTACTTGTTTGAAATTCATCTGAGTCCAAATAATATAACCTGGGTTTTAAACGTTCACCGCTAATTTTTTTAAAGACACTGTAAATTATTTAAAAGAAAATGCCTTCTGGCCAGGCACGGTGGTTCATGCCTGTAATCCCAGCACTTTGGGAGGCTGAGGCGGGTGGATCACTTGAGGTCAGGAGTTCAAGACCAGCCTCGCCAACATGGTGAAACCCCCATCTCTACTAAAAATACAAAAATTAGCCAGGCATGGTGGCATACAATGTAATCTCAGCTACTTGGTAGGCTGAGGCAGGAGAATCACTTGAACCTGGGAGGTTGCAGTGAGCGGAGATCGCACCACTGTGTTCCAGCCTGGGCGACAGAGCGAGACTCTGTCTCAAAAAAAAAGAAAAAAAAAAAAAGCCTTCTAAATATTTTCATGAAGGTGCAATAGATCTCCAGGGCACATGTTGCTAAACATGAATCATTTGCTTCATTGATAATTATATTTTAAGATAAATGTTATTGTATTTAGGGTTTACAACGTATTACGGGATATGTATAGACAGGAAACGGGTTACTATAGTGAAGCAAGTTAACATATCCATCATGTTACAGTTACTTTTTTGTGTGACAAGAGGAGCTAAAAATATACTTATTTAACAACAGTTCCTAATGCACTACAATGTTATTAACTACAATCCTCATGTTACTCTAGCCTTGCTGACCCCCCCTCACCTGCTACTTTGTATCCTTTGAACTCTACTTCCTCCTTTTCTCTCTCCCTTCCTTCCATCCGTCCCAAACCCCTGGTAACCACTATTTTCTTCTCTTATCTCTGTTTTTTTAATTCCGCATGTAAGTGAGATCATGCAGTATTTTTCTTTCTGTGTCTGACTTACTTTGCTTAGCATAATGTCCTCCAGGCCCGACCATGTTGTGGGAAATGGCAGGACCTCCTGATTCCCTTTTTAGAGACAGTGCTCACTGTGGCCAGGCCTTTCTTAATATCGTGCTTCACACTGGATATGGTGCTGTGTTCTTTGCAAAAGGATTTCACTTTTTTAGGTTAAAAAACAACCATCAACAAGGGACAAGATGTGTCCTAGCAGCCACTCAAGGAGAGAGGCTCCGAATCAGTGGTCAGGAGAGTCAGCTCTGGGGTTGGCCACTGGTGGCCTGCACGGCTGAGGGCTGGTCCCTCCACACAGGGACACCGGGCCCACTTCTGAAAACCACATTTCAGGGTGTCTTTGACAGTCAAGAAGTGGGGAGCAACTGAAGATATTTGGCCTGAAATGGGGGACCTCTGGGGGGGACAAGATCACTCTGCTCCAATATCTGAAGGCCAACTGCATCCCTCGGATGGCTTTAATTTAAAAGAATTCTTTTGAAATAGAAAATAACAAGTGTTGGTGAGCATATGGAGAGATTGGAACACTCATACATGGCTGGTAGGAATGTAAACTGGTGCAGCCGCTGTGGAAAACAGTTTGGTGGCTCCTCAAACCGTTAAAACATAGAATTACCATATGACCCAGCAGTTCCACTCCTTGGTCTATACCCAAGAGAAATGAAAACATATGTCCCTGCAGAAACTTATGTTAACTTATGAACAATGTTCACAGCAGCGTTATTCATAATAGCCAAAATATGGAAGCGACCCAAGCACCCATCAGTGGATGAATGAAGAAAATGTGGTACCATATGTATATATATAGGAATATTATTCAGTCTTAAAGAGGAAGCAAATTCTGAAATATGCCCGAATGTGGAGGGACCTCGAAAGCATTATGCTAAATGAAAGACGCCATGGCAAAAGGTTGTATAGTCCCTCTCTGTGAATATCCAGAAAAAGAAAATCCCTTGAGACAGGGAATTGGGGGAGGTGGGAGTGAGAGCATAGCTCAGTGGGTACAGGCTGTTTCTCTGAGGAAATAAGAAGGTTTTGAATCCAGAGAAAGGTGGTAGTTGCACAACATTATGAATGCAGTGAACACCACTGAATTGTACATTTTTAAATGGTTAATTCTATGTTATGTGAATTTTACCTCAATTTAAACAATAATCTGAGGGCTGTCATTCTGTGTGACCCCTGGACATATGGCAAGAGGAAATGAGTAGAAGCTCCAGGAGCACAGCAGGGAGGAGGGAGAGCAGTATTTTTGCTCAGCAGGAAAAACTGACTCATAAATACAACTAGTAGGAAATTGAAGAGGCCGCCCAAGAAAGCAGCAAGTGCAGGGGACTGTAGAGTGCCTGTCGGGTGCTGCACTCAACCCCGAGAGCAGCAGTTCTCACCCCGAGGACACGTGGGATTCACTTGGTGGCACAAGAAAGCCACACTTGGGCCCCACCCCAGGGATGCTGACGCTGTTGGCCTAAGGTGTGGACTGGGCATCCGGACAAAGGCCCCTGGTGTCTTAGCTTTAGGTGGAAACAGATGACCTTTTGTGTCCCTCCCATCCTACCTCGGCCCCAACAGGGATTTCTGTTTTAATGACTGTGGTGCCTGCGAGCCTAGGATCATCACTGTTCAGTGTGAGTGGTGTACCCACAGCATCCGCCTCACCTGGAAGCTGGCTGGGAATGCAGCGTCTCCCCTCCCCACCCCCGCCCAGTCAGAATCCATACTTTAGCAAGATCCCAGGGGACCTGTGTGCCCATCTGAGTTTCAGAAGTGCTGCTGGGCCGGGGCATGGGGGCTCACCCCTGTGCTCCCAGCACTTTGGGAGGCCAAGGCAGGCAGATCACTTGAGGCCAGGAGTTTGAGACCAGGCTGGCCAACGTGGCGAAACCCCATCTCTAGTAAAAATACAAAAATTAGTCAGGCGTGGTGGCAGGTGCCTGTAATCCCAGCTACTCGGAAGGCTGAGGCAGGAGAATCACTTGAACCCAGGAGGCGGAGGTTGCGGTGAGCTGAGATCACAGCACTGCACTCCAGCCTGGGCCACAGAGTGAGACTTCATCTCAAAAAAAAAAAAAGTGCTGCTGTCGATCTTTATTTACAAGACACTTCGAGGTGCTTTTCCTCATTTTATCTTCTGAACAATCGCTGGTTTGTTCAGCTGTTTGACAGGGGAGGAAGTCCAGGCGCAGAGGGCTTCACTCACTCCACATGCCACGGACAGTGCTGGTCTCCCACGTGCCCCATTCAGGGCCTTCTCCCCCAGGTCCAGGGCCTGCTTCAGCTCTCTGTGACACCCACCACCTCCCTCATGTGCTCGCAGTGCCCTGCCCGGAGCCCAGGCTGGGTAATTATTGGGTATGCTGAAACTGCTGGGGCTGGGGAGACCCCGTGCCTCAGCTTGGAGCCTGATGCCATGGGAATCCTCAATGCATGGCTCAGCTTGTCATTAGCTTTTCCCTTTCTTTTTTCATTCTTTGTTTTGAAATAATTATAGATTCAAAGGAAGTCACCAAGAGGTTCAAGTTCAGTGTACCCACCACCTGGTTTCCCCCAGTGGCAACATCTTAACGTCACTATAGCACAATATCACCCCCAGGAAGGCGGCACTGCCACAGGGGCCTGTAGAATTGTGTCATTTGCCACATTTGTGGATTTGCGTAACCACCACCCATTTCTTTCCTTGACTTAAAACAAAAAAACAAACAGCCGGGCGCAGTGGCTCATGCCTGTAATCCCAGCACTTTGGGAGGCCAAGGTGGGCGGATCACAAGGTCAGGAGTTCGAGACCATCCTGGCTAACACAGTGAAACCCCATCTCTACTAAAAATACAAAAAAAATTAGCCGGGCGTAGGTGGTGCATGCCTGTAGTCCCAGCTACTCGGGAGGCTGAGGCAGGAGAATGGCGTAAAACCCGGGAGGCGGAGGTTGCAGTGAGCCGAGATCGCACCACTGCGCTCCAGCCTGGGAGACAGAGCGAGACTCCGTCTCAAAACAAACAAACAAACAAAAAACGATGGGGTCCCCGAAAACACACTTTATAAAGACTGATTTCCTGCTGGCAGGAGAGAGAGCTGCTGTACATCACAAAGCAAGGCGGCCCACTAGAGTGGTATGGTCAGCGACCTCTGCCTTGCCTGGGTGAAGTGTCTCTCTCTCTGTCTCTGTCTCTCTCTCACACGCACACATGCACGCACACACATGCCATGCACTTTCTCTGTGGAAGACTTCAAAGTGTTTGGTGGCTGTTCTGAGACCTGTTCCTCCTCGGCTGGGCTAGGGGAGGGGCCCACTCCTTTTACCTGTGTTTCTTTTTAGAGGAGAAACTGACACAAAGTCAGATAGTCTTGGGGATGGAAGTTGCTCTCATCTGTAAGAAAAGGAAACTGACCTAACCAGCAGGTAATCACTTGAAATCACTTGTGTCCCGTGCTGGAAACAGCTCCACAGCAGTGTCTATGATGGATTGGAACCTACACAGCTAGAGGAAGAATTTGCATCCAGAAACCACAGGAGCAGATGACCCACAAGTGTAGCTATTTTACTTCTTTCATGTTAAATTCCAAATAAAAGGATGATTATCTTTGAACTGACCCCAGTCCAAAGTACAAATGCCTGGCTGAGATCCACCAAGGCCAGATGTTGTCATCAGTGACTGGGTTTATGCCAGGCTATCGGTGAACTGGGTCAGAGATGGTGCAGGCAAGGTTGCTGGGTCAGGGCAGGTTCACAGCCCAGTCATTCCTAACCAAGAACATCAGCACCTGACTGGAGGGTGGGAATGAGGTTCCTGACCTGCTGACTCATTTGCAGAGTGGTGTGTCAGAGCCACACACGGTAGCAGCATAAACCTGAACTTCAGGTAACCACACGCCATGGGATGCTGCAGATTTATGTGCCCACTGCTTGCAGCTGAGAGGACCAGCATGAATGGCTCTAATTTGTCACCATGGCACAGTCACAGATGGAGAATGCTCTGTCATAACCAGCGCTCCCAGTCTCCATAGGTTCTTAGCACCCTTCCCCATCCATGTTTACCTGTACAGCCACCTGTGCAGGTCATTCTTGCCCAGAATAGTACATGAGCTAAACAGCCATCTTCAGGTGGTTATAAAACCTCATATTTATATGAGGTTTCATAGTTTACAAAAGTTACTTCTTATTCCACCTAATGAAGAAACCACAGTCCAGAAAAGTTTGGTGCCTCCCCCGAGGCCACCTACCTGGTCAGTGATGGATCAGCACCACAGTTCCCATCTTCTCATTACACCTCCCTACTGGTTAGGCCCCAGCCCACACAGAGAAGTGTTTCTGTTTCACCCCTGGAGAGGGCCCTGAAGCATCTTGTGAGTTTGTGGAAAGAGAAGAGGAGCAGCTCTTGCTTCCGTGGGGAGCACAGCCAGACTCCTGTCTTCATGTCCTGTCCCTTAAATGCCCTCCAAAACCGGGGGCAGGTGCTCGAGAGAACTTGACCCTGATTCCGGATTATGGGGTTTTCTAAACTCAGTACTGTGGCTGAGATCTGTGGGGCATTTTGCAAGCTGCTTGCTTTTGTGTGAAACCCCTATATTTGTCAGTATTTTAAGTTTCTGTGAGGCTGTTCTTGAATTCAGTTCCTTTCTCTTTGCCTAAATGCAAGCCACACCCTCATCTCCTCCCGTTGACCATATAAGAGGTCTCAAGGGCACTGAGGAACTTAGCAGAAAGCAAACAGTACCTTCAGAAGATTAAAAAAAAATTATTGCATTTGTTTTTCTACAACCAAGATAAGAGACAGTAGATAAAGGAATGTGTATGTCTTGTACAGCTCACTAGCCCCACCATCTCTGATACGGACCAGTTCTTCCTGCCCCTTGAATAAGTATCCCTTGTCTTATCATAGTTTACATCCTGCTGTGATGCCATGTGACATACATGCTCTCGCACACACATTATTAAGACTTCACTCCTTGTGATCAAGGCTGAGAAAGATTGTGGTGGTGTTATTGTTAATATAAGATTTATGACCTCAAAATGTTTGCAAGCTTGGGGTCAGAGATGGAGCATTCCTCAGAGGGAGTCAGCCTGGGGTCCTTCTTACATAGACATGAACATAGTTTCTCCAGAGCAAGGCAGAATACACAGTTTAAACCATGGGAAGGAGGAAAGACTCAAAGGAGTGATTTAGTAAGAGTATAGGTAAAGAAGGGAGAAAATATTAGTATTTCTAGGAGAGTTAGAAGGACTTAGTACTTCTGCCGTTTTGTTTTAAAATATATTTTTTTAATATATAAAGAGACATCTTGGCTCTCCCTAACGAAAATGGCCTAAGATCCTTTATATATATATATAATTTTTTTTTTTTTGAGACGGAGTCTCACTCTTTCACCCAGGCTAGAGCGCAGTGGCACAGTCTTGGCTCACTGCAAGCTTCACCTTCTGGGTTCACGCCATTCTCCTGCCTCAGCCTCCCGCGTAGCTGGGACTACAGGTGCCCACCAGCACGCCCAGCTAATTTTTTTTGTATTTTTAGTAGAGATGGGGTTTCACCCTGTTAGCCAGGATGGTCTCTGTCTCCTGACCTCATGATCCGCCTGCCTCGGCCTCCCAAAGTGCTGGGATTACAGGCGTGAGCCACCGCGCCCAGCCGATCCTTTGTATTCTTAATGAAAGAGGGAATGAATTGCAATGAATATGTACTGCTTCTCCAGAAAACAGAAAAATTTTTAATGTTTTTATTTAAACCAGACATATACTTTTTTATTTATTTCCTTGTTGGTTTCTTTTTCTTCCAAATAGGTTGCAAAAATGAAATTTCTGTTTAAATTTATAACATGCAAGAGTATATGTGTATGTGGCCTTGGAATGATTATTTAGTTTTGTTCCAAAGATCTGATAGTTTTTAAATGAACTCTATAATTTAGGGTACTCTGGGAATTGAAAACTTCGTGCTTTATTTAGGTAAAGATATCCTGAATTGCTTACTTAAGTAAGTCAAGTAAATGGAACGTTCTTTGTGATAATGCTGTTGCATTATAAGAAATGCTTTGAATCATAGGTAGGACTAATGTATAGCCTATTTATTTATTTATGAGATGGAGTCTTGCTCTGTCACCCAGACTGGCATGCAATGGTGTGATCTTAGCTCACTGCAACCTCCCCCAGCCAGGTTCAAGTGATTCTTCTGCCTCAGCCTCCTGAGTAGCTGGGATTACAGGCACCTGGCTAATTTTTCTATTTTTAGTAGAGACAGCCTAGCCATGTTGGCCAGGCTGGCCTCAAACTCCCGACCTCAGGTGATCTGCCTGCCTCAGCCTCCCAAAGTACTGGGATTACAGGCATGAGCCACCGAACCCGGCTAGCCAATTTATTTTAACAGCATTTCACTTTCAATTTTGTTAAATTTGGCTAGACATGTAAAATCATTTATTTAAAATTTAAAAATCCAAACTTCTCCCTATTTTGTCCAGAATTTCAAAATTGCAGTGAGTTGTGGTCGCCTGGAAACCAGGTGTATGATACTTTGTTAAGCACACTAATTGGCAGCTTGGAGTTTTGCATTGCAGAAGGCTCGTTAGTGAGGGTGGGTGGGAATCCACACTCCTCCAATTAGTGGGCCCCCAAGCCACTCGCACATTTAAAGTATGATTCACTTTACCCAAGTTTGTTTGTCTTCAGCTCTTCAGGAAAACACTGTTACACAAGCCAAGGTCTCCTATCCAGCAACCTTTTGGATCCCGAGGTCTGCACATAAAAGGACTTGCTCTGCAGGCTCCCTGGTAGCTGGTGAATATCTTGGGAATTTAAATATGAAGATAGTTGATGTCCATAGCTAGGATCTGTTATTTAAATGTAGAAGCATTTAAATATGCCTTTGGAGTTGTTTTTTTGCATTGTGATAGTAGCCACCACCTGAGCTAACAATTCATTGAGTTTTATGCTGTCCCACATTCTAGCTGCTTTAAGGGATTGTGTTCTCAGGTCTCACAGATGGCCTGTGAAGGGGAGAAACTGAGGCAGAGAGGGTTAGGAACTTGCCTAAGCTAGTTAAGCAACAGTCACGATTAGAAGCCAGGATCTTTCAGGACTGTTCCCACGTTATGCGAGAGTCCTTGCCTCTCTTCATAAATGGTAGATTTCCCATCTCCTTTAATATCCTCTAGATGAATTCATGAACAAAGGCCAAGGGACAGGAGAAAGAGAGAAAGGAGGAAGAAATGATGTCAGCTCTTTCCTTCAGTTCTTAAAAATGCCAAAGACAAAACTTTCAGACAAGGTCGTTTCCTGGAAGAGGTGGGGTAAACATTCCCAGAGTCATGAGTTTTTAGATTTGAATGTTTCTAAAATGTTGATTGACAGAACCTTCTAATACATTTGTTATAAACGTGACATAAAGGGGAAAAATGTCCAGCATTTTGAGGAAGAAAGGGCTCTAAATATACATAACTGCATTTGAACAGATTCCTTTGCTTCCTCGTTGGCCTGGGCTGCAAGGCCACTGTCCTCTTATGAGCCCTAGGAAGCAGGACTGGCCTCCTGAGGACCCCAGCATTAGCCTCCAGGTTTGTGCTGGGCCCTCCTGAGACAACCCCAATCCAGACACTAGCTCCTATAAGTAGAGCACCTGAGACTCAGGGGAATTCCCTCAAAGCGTTCCAGCTTCTGAGCCAGAGAGGCCAGAAGTGGAAGCCTTTCTGTCGGACAGCTACAGCCCAGACTGGATGCAGGAACAGCAGGAACAGAGCAGTGGCCTCCTCCGTGGCATGGGGCCTTGTGCCCACCAATCCTGGCACCACTGAACCACTGACTCAAGTCCGTCCTCAGCTCCAGTGAGCCTCTTGTTATTGCCAGTGGCTGACGGAGAGGTGAGGGGAGAGGACGTCATGCAGGCGAGCTGGGAGGTAGCACCACGGTTTCTCAGCAGTGTTCGTGCAAATTATCACTATAATGCACCCGTGCAGGCCCAGCAGCCTGTGCAAGTATCACAGCACCATACAGACATGAATTCATGTGTCTTTAATAACAGGGAAATGGCAATGTGTCAATTTACACAGTTGTTTTTCTGCAGTTTTTTCTTTTTCTTTTTTTTTTTTTGAGCCATCTTCCCAAGTGTTCTCTGGGTTTTCCTCTTACCCGGGTCCCCTGTCTGCCATCCACAGGCTGGCATGAGCCACCCAGGCTGGGTCTGGGATCAGCCGAGGGCCTGGGCTGGTGCCGGCACCGCCCCTCTCCGCGAACGGGCCCTGCATTCGCATCATTAGTTCATCACCATGGAAGAACTGGGCTGTCAAGCTGACCTACTTTTCTTGTTTGCCCACAGCAGGCTAAGCCTGTTTAGCCTCATCCAGAGGGGCTGGGCAGAGCAAGTTGCTTTCCGAGTCATACAGATGGCAGTCTTCTGAGTGAGTGTGGTTGAATCTGTTTGCCCTTTTTGCCCTTAGTCTGCAGAGTTAGGGCCCAGCACCCAGGATGGCTTGAGTCCAGGTCCAAGCACAGGGGCATCCTGCAACCCATATTCAGCCTCTCCCGAAGAGATCCTGCATTAGGATGAATTATTGCGGGAACCAATGCCAGGCTTCTTTCCAAACTTTAAACACAGATTCCTAAATGGAAGCTCTTCATATTCTATACTAAGCCCTAAGAACATCAGCCACTTGCAGAGATGCCAGGAGGGTGGGACCCATGCCTGTGCTTGAGGGGTTTACCATCCAGTGGGGGAGGGTTGTGAACAGCTAAAGCCAAGGAGAAGCAGAAACAGAAGAGGATAGGGATGAGCCGTGGGGGCGGAGGAAGATGCGCTAGTAGGGTAGAAAGTGTTGGAGAGGGGGACAATGTGATGAGGATGGGGCTAAAGTCACAGACTGGCAGCTTGTCATCTGAGGGTTTGAATGCTACGATATGGAACCATGTGAAGTGCTAGTAGATGTACATGTTATCCCCCCACCCCATAGTTACTACCTTTATTCTTTGCTGAAATATTGCTATATTGCTGCCTGTGAACATAGGATAGTATCTGTTAGAGTTGTTCAGGGGAAAATAGTTAAGATCAGACCCAGACTGTCATGATTAAATAAGCTAATGTACAAGAAAACCACTAGCCAGAGCTTCATGTGTAGTTTATCTCTCAAGCTCATGGATTTTGTGTGTAGCAACATGCCTTGGGTCCTGGGCCTGTGCCTTCTAATTCTGATGCCATGACTTCTGACTCAGGCGGACATGTCTTGGACTCTCCTTGACACCCCGAAGCCACCACCCAGAGCTTTGGAGGAGGAATCGGGCCAGTGGGTGAATTATGCCTTAACTGGGGCCACTTCTTTAGACATTTGCAGAAGGAGGAACTCAGTCTCTTTTTAAAAAGAAAAATATGTACTTCTCTTTTCTCTTGCAGTTTCCCCAGCATTATTCAGAGGCAGAGTGACAGATGTAAGGAGAGGGATCTAAAACATCTTTAATATACAACATGAATATCTGAATGGACATTGAGAAACTGGAGATTTCTAGTCCTGCTGAGGCAAAACCCAGATGACCTAGAGATGACATAAAAGTCAGTCATTTCTACCTGTCCCATTACCGGTGATGGTAATGTTTGTCACTCAATTAAGGCAGTAGCTCTTCTTTAGACATTCAGCAAACATTTGTTGAATACCTGCATGGGACTCTGAGTCTTGGTGTTCGAAGAGGGAAAATGGAAATACTCGGCCCTACATTGCCTAAGCCCCTCACTAGGGAGAGCTGTAAGCTCTTGGGAAGGGCTTGCCACGGGGCTTTCTGTTTGTTGAGGTTCACCCTGTATCCAGTGGCTCTTCTAGCACAGGCAGAGACATGCCCTTTGCCGTGTGACATTCGAGGAGACGACCAGTTTTTTTCCCTACTGACCTATGATCCCCACATCCCAGCTTCTCTGCCTACTGGTTGGTCTTCCTGACATTAGTTTTGTTCTTGTGTATTTGATCCATGCACACATTTTTACCACACCGGATATCCTGAAGTTGGGCTGGTTGGGGTTTTGGGAGAGGCATGTCTAGGGTTGGTTCACTCTGTGGATTAGGATCTAGTTTTATCAAGGTGGTGGGAGAAAGGCCTCACCAGGCAGCAATCACCAATGGATCCCAAATTCCCAGCTGGGCCTGCATCCAACACAACCAACCAGGGTTTTCAGACAACTCAGATTTTAAAAAGAAAAGCAGCAACCTGTCAGTTTGGTGACCTAGCAGATACATCTCAATGCTTTTTACTTTTTAATTGACTTTTTAAAAATGGTGAATTAATGCCATTTTCCGTATGAATGCATCATTGTGTAGATTTGTGTAGATGCCTTGGAGACGTCCCCTGAGATTGAGAGCGTGGGGTGGGCATGTTCGGGGGCGGGGAGGGATATGTAGAGCAACTAGAAGGATTGAGGTTTTCCTTGCGTGCACACCCTCCTCCTGGCAGCGTGCAGTGGTGAGTTCCTGGTTCATTGGGAGTGAAATGGGCACCCTCCTGCTTCTGTGTGCATACTGTATGAGGTATGTAGCTTTGCCAGATCTTAGTGTGACACACCAGGATGACAGCTAGCAAGGTCACGTCTCTGAGGGTTGTTAGGCCCCAGCCCTGGTATAATGCCTCTGCAAGGCATGTTGGTCCCCTACAGTGGGCCGGCTGTGTCCAGGGAGCAGGCTGGGCTCAGAGGTAGTGCGAGCTCTCAGCTGGCCTCAGGGCCCAGCCAAGGCCCCTCATCATCTCTGACTATAGGGACAGGTGGGTGCAGGGAAGGGGTGGCAAACTTAGTAACGTTGATCTCCTTGATAGTTTCTACCCCTGAATGCACCTCCACACAAAATTGTGCAGGCCTTCCCAGGGACCCTAGCCTACGGGGAATCTCGGGGCAAGGAGAGGTGCAGGTGCTCTGGGCAGTACCACAGGTGTCCCTGTACCCTCAGGTCATCAGGCCCAAATACAGTGAGGAGCCAGCCACTCAGAGCCACTTGAGGGGCTCCAAATGCCCCATTTTCTCATGCCCCAGGGCCTTTGAACAAACCATTCCTTCTGCTTGCATGCCTCTTCCAGGCTCAGCTGAATTGCATGATACAGTGACAGTGGAAGGAGTGGAGGAGGATCCAACATCACAGATACTTTAACAGTGAATATGTTAAATCTAATACATCATAAGAGAGTCCCGGGTGTGAAGGAAGAGTGCTCCTTGCTGCTGGTGCTGTCCCATCTGCTCCCTGCGGGGCCCCTTGCAGCCCGTGAGCTTGACTTGGCCTTGGCTGAGTCAGCAGGGGTGGTGGGCAGGAGACCCCTGGCTGCACAGGGAGGGCCAGCAGTGTGCTGTCTGCTTAAACTGTAAGTAAAAGAAGTGAGGATGGTCCAGGCGCAGTGGCTCACGCCTGTAATCCCAGCACTTTGGGAGGCCAAGGCGGGTGGATCATGAGGTCAGGAGATCGAGACCATCCTGGCTAACACGGTGAAACCCCGTCTCTACTAAAAATACAAAAAATTAGCCGGGCGTGGTGGCAGGTGCCTGTAGTCCCAGCTACTCGGGAGGCTGAGGCAGGAGAATGGCGTGAACCCGGGGGGTGGAGCTTGCAGTGAGCCAAGATTGCGCCACTGCACTCCAGCCTGGGCGACAGAATGAGACTCCATCTCAAAAAAAAAAAAAAAGAAGTGAGGATGACAGGAGAAGGTAGATGGTGCAACATGAGGGTGCTTTCTACCAACAAGGTGTGCAGCATTGGACACGCATGACCACGTGACCTGCAGCTCTGATGGTGCAACATGAGGGTATGTCCTACCAACAAGGTGTGCAGCATTGGACATACTTGACCACGTGACCTGCGGCTCTGAAGGTCCCACCTGTTCTCGTTCTAAAGTCACCATTTCTGACCGCTGTGCTGTGGAAGGGGAGGCAATTAACCAGATGAGGCGTCCCAACAGATTCTCCTATCGATTGTGAAAAGTGGGTCCACTTCAGCTTACAGATGAGGTCATCATGCCCAGGCTCCAAGGCCACCACACAAGTGAAGGCAAGAGCACTGAGGACATTTCAACCTAGATCTGGCTAGTTTCCAAACTAATTCTGCTGCCTCAATTAGCAATTCACATCAAACCTCCTACGTTTTGATTAAATGTTATTTGAAACTCTTGATATTAAACCCAAGATTCCACAGTCTAGGTGTCCAAAACTAATTTGACTTCCTGTTTCAAGGGCACCTACTTTTTCTCTCCTTGCAAACTTGAGCACAGTGAAGATGAGCATTTCTGGACCTGAAGGAGCATTTGGGGAACAGTTCCATGGAGGGAGATGCTTGCTGGAGCAGTATTTTGTGGATTCATTTCGGCTTGTCTGTGGCAGCCGAACAGCGGTTTCCAACAAAGGCTTTCACTGACTCAGCTCCAAGCATGACTCGTAAATCTCCTTTTCCCCTCTTGCTGATTTTTCTAGGCATCTATTGTCCACACCCTGACCACACACTGTCACCCATCAGAGTCCCCAGTTGACTCAGGTTTACACTGTGCCATCCGAACTCTTGATAGAGAGTCCCCCTAAAAGGAACCTGAGGTGATTGCAACATAAATGTCAAAGGTTGCAAGAATAATATGTTGTGTTAGGATGGCCCTTCCATCCAGATATCATGGCCGTTTCTATCTTGAGAATTATTTGCTGACCAAACGATGTTACGGTACATTTACTTAATAACAAATTTTTCAACTTTCTTCATCCATTCCTTCACTGCATATGTCACCCTCTCTCTGAATAATGAATCATCAGATTCTTGGAAAAAGGAAATCATGAAGGAGGAACCATGGTTGTAACAGGCAGATAAAGCTTCAGCTTGGTTTTTTAGACACTCATGGTAGCGTTTGCGTATGGTCACGACGCTCATGAGAGTCTTGTCTTGGTTTCTTCTAGCCATCTGGCTCTATGAGGCTCCAGCAAGCACTGTGAGACCCGGCTCCTTGGGACAAGGCTGGAGAGGGCTAGTGTTAGGATTGGATCTGTCCGCCTTGCCGTTTCCAGGTCAGAGAATGTGCCAGAATGCGATGAGAACTCCCTAGTTGGAGGGGAATTGGGATTGCAGGAGCTGCCGGCTCTCAGGCTTTCACTGTCCATCTCCTTTAGAAATTTATTTTTTATTTTATTTATTTATTTTTGAGACAGAGTCTCGCTCTGTCGCCCAGGCTGGAATGCAGTGGCGTGATCTCAGCTCGTTGCGGCCTTTGGCTCAGGTTCGAGTAATTCTCCTGCCTCAGCCTCTTGAGTAGCTGGGATTACAGGCGTGCACCAACACACCCGGCTAATTTTTTGTATTTTCAGTAGAGACAGGGTTTCACCATGTTGGCCAGCTGGTCTAGAACTCCTGACCTCAAGTGATCCTCCCACCTCAGCCTCCCAAAGTGCTGGGATTACAGGCATGAGCCACTGTGCTTGGCCTTAGAAATTTATCTTTTCTCACTGAATGAATCATTGCAACACCAAAAGCCATTCCCTGGAGAGGAAGAATCACAATATGGAAGTTATTTCCTAGCTTCCCCAAATGACAAAGGAAGATAAGTGAGCGTCGCAGTTCATCAGCAACTGTTGCTCAAAGGCTTTTTATTCCTTAACATAATGAGGAAAAATCATTACCAAGCTCCCATGTGTGAGATACAGACGTTAATCCAAAACGACATGAGGTCCCCTCACCAGGGACTGGCTGGGAGGACAGAAGGTACACACTCTGTCAGCAATAAATAAACCCCCATCAATTGGGGAGATGTGTGTGCTCGGTTTTGCCTTTTATGATTCCAACTTGTTCTTGTTTTCTGTATTTTTTTCTTTTGATTAAATTCTACCAGGCTTGGTTGGTATGGTGGGGAAGAGTGTTAGGATTTTCCAGCTAACTTGGGACCTGTAATTCAAACCAGTTCTCAGCCAATTTCAATACATCATGATTTTATGTTTGTGAAAACATAGGCCTTGCAACACAACAGGCTTGGGGTAGTCATTTCAGGGAAAATTCATGATGATACAAAGTGACCCACTGGGCCTATAAAGACTTTACAAAAAATTCTAAATTAAAAGACACTGAAGAGGAAAGTTTAGTCATGATTCCAGTGATTCTTTAACATGGTTTGGCAAACTGCTGTCTGGGGACCAAATCTGGCCCACAACCTGTTTTCGTAAATAAAGTTTTATTGAAACACAGCCATGCCCACTCATTTACATGTTGTCTATGGCTGCATTGCACTATAATGGCAGAGTTGAGTGGTTGCAACAAAGACTGGATGCTCTGCACCTAAAATAGTTACCAGGTGGCCCTTTGGAGAAAAGGGTTGCTACCTCCTGCATGAGTGGAGTAACATGCCTTTCCGTGCGTGCTGCATGAGGCCCTCTCTGGAGACCTGGGTGAGCTGCTAGTCCCTGGGGGAGACTGTCACTTGTATGACTCATTAGTCTTCTGTCTCACTGCTGACGCACTTGGGACCCAGGGCGGATATGCCGTGACAAAATAATCCTGCTGCCATTTCCAGGTCCCCATTTGCCAGGGGCCAGAATTCTAATCAGTTGTGTAGTAGGTGGCTGTGAGAAAGAATGTTCTAAAGCCTTTGGGGCAGAAATTTCACCTGGGTGTGTGAATGTCATTTGCAGGCTTCACTTTTGTCCTTTGCTTCAGTTAGAGTCAACAGATTTTTTGAGGGTCTGCTGTGTGAAGGAAAACCCCAGTCATTTCACCTGATAGTCATTCCATTCCCTTCTCTCCTTCCTCACAACCTCACAATGGCCGGTTGCTTTCCTGTTTAGTTATGAGCGGCTCAGGGTCAGTGATAACCAGGTCCATGCATGTTTGTGTCTCTCCACAAGGTCAGACTTTTATTGACGTGATTTCAATCACAAAAGCTGGAAGCTCCATTGAGTTCCCAAGGAGGAACTTCCCCTTACTACTTCCCATTCACTTAGGAGTCAGAGCCGCGGGCACACAGGCTCAAGCCACTCCACAGGTCAGTCAGTGTTGCAAACCATGCATAATAGTACACTTATCAATAAATAAATGATTAAACATTTCACAATAAATGAAGTAACATTTAACATCAAAAGAAAAGGGTTAATGGACCAGTCCAGGGAGAGCAACATGAAAAAAAAAAGAATGTCCTGGCCTGGTCTGGGCAGTCCATTGGTCTCACAAGGAAGAGTCTTTGATGTGGGCAGAGCATTGGGCAGTGGATGCTGGGTGCTGATCACAAGCGACAGCAAGATGGAGTCTGTGGGGACAGCCATTTCTAGCTGGTGAAGTACTGCTCTTATGGCCGCAGAGTCCTCTGGTGAGGACTGAGTGGAGGAATGTACTTGGTTATGTCCTTGTTGGAAGCAGTCTTCATTGATTAGGCAAAACATCCAGTCTTGTTGGCAAGGTGCCTTTTAAAATGTAAGATGGAGTCTTTCTCTAAGATGGAGTTTACTGTGTCAAGGGTACTGTATACAGTTATCACTAGCTAGTCCAGTATTCTAGACAGCGTATGTGTGTCTGTCTGTCCATCATGCGTACACACACACACATACACATTTTCAACACTGGTAGAAGGGAATGATTATCCTGTTTCTCCCAAAGACACTTGTTGGGCTTAAGTACCAGTTTCTACTGTGAGCCCTTTAATTCATGATCATTAGTGATAGTGTGATTAAAATTCTGCAGCTACAATTTTGTGATGACTTATTTGTGCCGGGGACTGTGCTGGGGGCTTCCCTTGGACTCTCTTATGCTGTCTCACAGCCAAACAGTGAGAAAAGCTCTTCTGTTCTCTCACTTTGCAGTTGGGGAGCTAGGGCTGGGAGCATCACACTTGTCCAAGGTTATACAGAGATACTGAAGGGCAAAGCCTGGGTCGGTCTCAGTTTGGGTCGCCTGACCCCAGGCCACCACTGCCTTTCTCCCTTTCACAGATGTGGATGCTGGACCCAGGAACTCTGACACCCAGTGTGCCCCAGTAGCTCTGCCTGCCAGCAGCAGGGGTGGCTGTCTGCCAATTCCCTTAGGAGTTCCAGCCCTCCTCCCCGCCCCTCCACACTCAGTGCTCCACTGGCCTTGCTTGATTAGATTCCCCAGCTGGTCTGTTTACTGGGCCTGGCAGAGCTCCTTACCCCCATGCCCCCACTCAGTGGTCCTCACAGTCCTGTTTGCAGCAGCCACAGGTAGTCCCTAGGGGTGGGGCAGACTCAGGCTTCAGCTGGAGCCCCTGCCTGCGGGTGCCTCTTGGCTGTAAGGCACTCTTCCTACCAATATGGCCTTTTCTGTCTCTGTTTAGGAGCCCCTCTCTGAAACCTTAGGTCTGTGTGACCCCAGAGTCCATTTCTGTTTCACCCCTGGTGACCTCCTTACTGTGCAGAGAATGTGTTCGTTGAAATTCAAAGTAGATAAGAAAGGCTGAAGCTCAGTGTCACCTCCCTTAGCAGGGGCTCAGTGGCCACAGTGTGAACAGAAGGGGTAGGACAGTTAGGTGGGGCAGGTGTGCAATGAATGGAACTCACCTAGAGCTTTCTGTGCCCCAGGCATCATGCTGGGTCCTTTATTGCACACATACCTGTGACCTGCTTCCTGTTTGCACCTTGCACAATTGCTGCCTGGTGGGTGTTAGCTGCATTGTGTTAGGAATGAGGGGAACGGGCTCATGAGGTTTAAGGGGCCTACTCAAGATCATAGAGCAAGTAGGTTGGAATGGAGATTTAAATCAGACTGACTCTGAAGTCGGAAACCCCCTATTCTGAGCAGCAGTGGCTGGAGAAAGGCCTCCTGAGTCAGTGCCAGGAGGCAGAGCCCAGGGTCTGCTCTGTCCCCAAGCCTGTGTCTGTGGGCAGGCCACTTAGCCTTGCTGGGGGGTGGTGCTGCCTGATTTATGAGTGGAGGATAACTATAGCCAGCCCATTCCACCCACAGAACTGATGGAGACAAAATGAGATTATGTTTTTTCAGAACTTGGCAGCTGCCAGGGGTTGGTGAGGGACCCATTGGGCCTTCCTGAAGAGCCCTGGCTGCCAGTGCTGTCTGAGTGGATTTTCCCTCTAGTCAGTAGCTCCTGCACATGCAGAAGTTTTTGTTTTAATTTTAGTCACCAGGATATAACTGTCCCTTCAAATGTACTTTGTAAGCACTATTACCTTGGAGCCACCACGATCATGGGGAGGTTTGTGGGAGTGAATGTCAGGTAGTGGCACAGGAATTCAGATGGGGGTTTGGCCCTGGCTTTGTCCTTCCTTTCCTCCCTCCCTCCCTTCCTCCCTTCCTTTTCTTCTTCATTCCTCATGCATTTATTGAGCACCTAATATGGGTAAGGAGCTTGTATTAGTCCATTCTCATGCTGCTATAAAGGACTGCCTGAGACTGGGTACTTTATAAAGAAAAGAGGTTTAATTGATCCACAGTTCACATGGCTGAGGAGGCCGCAGGAAACTTACAATCATGGCGGAAGGGGAAGCAAACACGTCCTTCTTCACATGATGGCAGGAAGGAGAATTGCTGAGCAAAATGGGGAAAAGCCCCTTATAAAACCATCAGATCTCATGAGCACCCACTCCTATCATGAGAATAGCATGAGGGTAACTGCCCCCATGATTCAATTACCTCCCACCTGGTCCCTCCCAGGACACATGGGGATTATGGGAACTAAATTCAAGATGAGATTTCAGTGGGGACACAGCCAAACCATATCATAGCTGGGCGAGCCATCGTGAAATGGGTGAAGATGCAATTTGCCTAATCCTTGCCATCAAAGTAGAGAACCTGTTTTTGAGTGTCTGCTGCAGGCCAGACTTTGCAAACTTAAGTTCATTTAAGTTTCACCGCTGTCCTCTGAGATAGGTGTCTGTCACTCATGTTCAAAACCTCCAGTGCCTTCCCGTCTCACATAAAGCAAAAGCCACAATGCCCCTCTGCCCCTGGCTCCACCTCCCCCTCACCAAAGCAATCACCGGGCTGGCCTCTGGGCTGTTCCTCGCTTTCCTTGCTGTCTGGGGGAGGCACCCTCACTGCTCACTCCCACACTCCCTTCAGGTCACAGCTCACATAGCATCTCATCAAGGAGGTCTTCCAAGACTCCCTAAAACATCAGAACAAGACTCCCCGAACCCCGTCCCACCCAGGATTCACCTTTTCCTGCACTGCAGTGATAACCAAAGAACAGGCTCTGTGTTTACTTATTTGCTTGCCTGCAGTTTTCCCCAACTCCCCTGACACATGCATCCCCCGCCTCATGTAAGCACCATGAGAGTAGCGGCTTTGCTCACAGTGGGTTCCCCCTTGCCCAGGCACTCAGGGAGTATCTGTTGAATCACTGTATATCACATGCAGTTGGCACATTTGTGCTTTGGCATATACATTCTCCTGCCTCATCACAGAGCCCAAGAGGAGAGGCAAATAGAAGGAGATAGTACACACGGTGCATGGATCAGAGACCTGCACATTGTTAGTTTTCCTAAAATTGATCCCCAAATTCAATTCATTCTCAATCAAAATCGCATCAAGCTATCACTTTTTTTTTTTGAGGCACAGGGTTTCACTCTGTTGTTTAGGCTGGTGCTCACTGTAACCTTGAACTCCGGGCTCAAGCAGTGTTCTTGCCTCATCCTCCCAAGTAGCTAGGACCACAGGTATGCACCACCATGACAAGCTAATTTTTACTTTTTTGTAGAGACGGAATCTTGCTGTGTTGCCCAGACGACTCGTGGCCTCAGGCAATCCTCATGCCCCAACCTCCCAAAGCAATGATATTATGGGCATGAGCCACTGCACCCAGCTGCATCAGGCATTTCTATAGAAATTGACAAGCTAATTCTAAAATTTATGTGGCTGTGCAACGACTTAGAATGGCCAAGGTAAACTTGAATAAGAACAACGTTGGAAGGCCCACCCTACATTTATGTCAGTAATTACTGCACAACTTTAGGAGTTAAGATAGTGTGGTACCGGCATAACAATAGACAAAGGGTGTGGTGGAATTGGGAAACATGGAGTTAGTTTGTTTAAACAACAGAGGAGTTATATTTTCAAGTGAAATGCTCAATATATTTCCAGATGAAGGGCCTCTAAATGTAAAGCAATGGCTCCAATTGTTAATCTGATACAGGTTCACTCATTATATATCTAAGTCCAAAAGTACAGGCAAAAATCATATAATTTTTTTCAGCGTAATAATTGGATCTACCACTTTAAATTTAGATGTCTTTCACCTAAAAAAAAAAAAAAACAAACCTGAAAGTTGAAGGAAAACACATTGTGCATATTACATGTAAATGTAACTAACATACCTCTTATGAGTGAGTTTATCGCCACTTCAGTCGGGTGGCCAAGGCTGGCATCCACAGTGACAAGCCATGTTGACAGCATGATGTGATAAGAAGGACACTTTATTTCCTGGGTCTTCCTCTCAAAAACCCGTATTCTGAGCCTGACTTTGAGAAAAACATCAGACAAACCCGAACTGAAGAACATTCTACAGATACTCCTCAAAATTGTCAAGGCCTGAGAAACTCGCAGAGCCAAGGGGTGTCTAAGGAGATGTGCTGACAAAGCGTGCTGGGGTGTCCTGGATAGAGTGCTAGAGTGGAAAACGGACGTTACGTAAAAACTGAGGAAGTCTGAGCAAGTTTGTCTGAAAATTATGGACTTCTTTTTTTTTTTTTTTTTTGAGACAGAGTCTGGCTCTGTCGCCCAAGCTGGAGTGCAGTGGCGTGATCACGGTGCACTGCAACCTCTGCCTCTCAGGCTCAAGCGATTCTCCTGCCTCACCCTCCCAAGTAGCTGGGATTACAGGTGTGTACCATCACATGGGCTAATTTTTGTATTTTTAGTAGAGATGGGGTTTCACCGTGTTTCCCAGGCTGGTCTCGAACTCCTGACCTCAGCTGATCCACCTACCTTGGCTTCCCAAAGTGCTGGGATTACAGGTGTGAGCCACTGGCACCTGGCCTGGACTTTTCTTAATAAGAAGGTATCAGTGTTGCGACAAATGCACCATACTAATGTAAAATGTTAATAACAGGAAACTGGGTGTGGGGATAAGGGAACTTTCTCTACTCTCTTTGCATTTTCTGTAAATCTAAAGTTGTTCTTAAAAATGCGGTTTATTTTTTAATAAGTTTATCTTATGTGTCTTTCACCCCACAGACATCCTGATTCTGTCCTGCAGAATTGAGACACATAGGATAAATGAAGCTAAATATAGTCCATAAATAATGCATATAAGATCACACACTATTTGATGAAAGTGCTAATGCAATTCAACAGGGAAATAAATGCCTTTTAAACAAACTATTCTGGAGGGATGTCCATATTGGGGGCGTGGTGGGGGTGGTGGTGAATAATGTCCGAGCCCTATCCAACACTACACATAAAATTTAAGTTGCAATGGACTGTGGATCAAAATGTGAAAGCTAAGTGATGAAGCTTCTAGAGGAAAACATAGGATAATTCTTCACGACATTGAGGTGGCAAATATATTTTAGAATACAAAAATCGCTAACCATAAAATAAAAGGTTGATAAATTAGACTTTATCAAAATTTAAAACTGCTCATCAGAAGACACCATCCAAAAAGCACCAAGGCCACCCACAGACTGGGAGAAAATGTTCACCATTCATATTTTCTGACAAAGTACTTGTACCTGGTAGAGATAAACTTCTATGATCAGTATGATGAAGACTAACAGTCCAATTTTTTTAAGCAGGCAAAAGAATTAGACATCTTACAAAAGAAGATATCTAAATAGCCAGTGAAAAGTGCTCTGCATCATTAGTCATCAGGGAAATGCAAATCCCAATGAGATATCATAACACACCCACGTAAATTACTAAAATTAAGAAATATTACATGTTAGAATGGAGCCACTGGAACTCCTTGTACACTACTGGTGCAAATATGAAATTGTACGTTCACTTTGGAAAACAGCCTGGCAGTTTTTAATAAAGTAAGCATACAGCTACCCCGTGTTCCAAGAATGACACTCCTAGATATATACACCCAAGAGGAACGAGTGCTTATTTCCACAGAGACTTCTATATGACTCAACACTGGTGATGTTAATGTTGACCAGTAGGTGAAAGTGGTGTCTGCCAACCTTCTTCCCTGTAAAATGTTTTTCTTTTGTAATTAATAAATACCTTGAGAGAGATACTTTGAAACTCTGCAAATATCCTGTTTCTCCCCAAGCTTTTTCACATTAATTTTAGCATCCATCGGTGGATCTTGCCTGCAACAATGATTACTATGGTATGCCGATGGTGATTTTCTTTTCTTTTCTTTTCCCCTCCCCTCCCCTCCCTTCTCCTCTTCTCTTCTCTTCTTTTTCCTTTTTGTGGAGAACAGTGCCTCACTATATTCCCCAGGCAGGTCTCAAACTCCTGGGTTCAAGCTATCCTTCCCACTCTCCCACCCTAAGGGCTGGGATTACAGGCATGAAGCATGAAGCATGATGGTGATTTTCTATTGCCATTGTTCCTTCTACATTTATTAATTGGAATCTTCTGTAAGAGGAAGCTGTCTCCCTCCCTCCTTCTACCTCCCCATTTGTTTATTTATCTGGGGGCTCTTTGTAAAGGTGTGGGTGGAGAGTAGGGAACCAAGAGGGACAGTGTGGTTACCTGAGGTGGGGAACGATAAAACAAATAAATAAGACTCATGAGTATTTAGTTTGTGGCACAGGCTATAATCAATACGGTTGTCACTCATTTTGTTGCTCAGGTTGTTCTGGGAACCCCTCTCAGCCTCTCCTTTCATCAGGCTCCCATAATTATTGTTACTGTTGATCATGATTTCTTGTGTGGTCAGTTGCTAGGTGCAGATGCCTGGATTTCAAACTGGGGGGGATGTTACAAAGCTTAAAAAGACTCCGGAGAGTTTGTGTTCTAGGAAAACCCAAGAAACCCAGAACTGGAAGAGCCCCAGAGAGATGAATGTTACCGGGCGTGTTCCCTTCTCTCTTCCCTGACGCTCCCCTGTGCAGAGGATCCTGCAGACATGGCTAAAGGAGATGCAGCAGGAGATCAGAGGGTGGGTGGAGAATGAGAGTGTTTATTCCCTTGGCTCCCTTCTTGTCCCTTCACTGAAGGCCGCCTCCTATGGGACACACTCCTTCCAGGTTTGGGAAGTAATTTCCCTCTTGTCCCTTCCCCTTACAGGTGTTCACAGCTCTGCCGTTCCCCACCTCAGGTAACCACACTGTCCCTCTTGGTTCCCTACTCCCCACCCACACCTTTACAAAGAGCCCCCCTGTAAGTCAGCACTCCTCAGAGGATCCCACCCGCCTTCTGCTTTCCTGTTGGGACCCTGATTCACACACCTCGTGACTGTCTACGCCACGTAGGACACATGGTTATCTGGGGTAAAGGCTGTACGGCATCCCTCCATTGTTCACTCTGGGGGTTCATCACCTCAACCATTATGTCTCAGCTCCAAACAAAATCTCCTCTGCTTTCATTTAAGCTCCTTTTCTGTTTTCTGGCACTCTGTGATCAAAATAAAAAAAAAAGTAGATGCTCAAAATCCTTCTCACTGAAAACTTTATACGGTTGAGAAGAGTCATTGTCACCCCCTAAACTTCTCTGTGATTCCTTTAACCTGACCTCAGAGGACTGCTTTTCTTCCCTTCCATCCTGTTCCTTGTTTGCCTTCAAGCTGGTTCCAGATCCTATTATTAAGTAAAAGGGTGACTCTAAAACGCAAGGGGGGATGGACACCCACACTCAACAGCAGCCGAGGTGGAAGTAGCCCATGTCCATGGACAGATGAATGGGCAAGCAAAACACTGCGTTTCCGTGCAATGGGATATCACTCGGCCTTAAAAAGGAAGGAGAGTGTGACCCATGCAGCAACATGGATGAACCCTGAGGACATTACGCTGTGTGAAATAAGCCAAATACTGTCTGGTTGCACTTACATGACAGACCTGGAATAGTCAAATTTATAGAGACAGAAAGTAGAAGGGCAGTTGCGAAGCCTGGAGTGAGTAGGGAATGGGGACTTCTTGTTGAATGAATAGTTTATGCTTTGCAAGGGCAAAGAGATCTGGAATGGATGGTGGTGATGGTTGCCTAACAGTATGAATGTGCTTAATGCCACTGAGCTGGGCACTCAGCAGTGGTTAAGATGGTAAATTTCTGAGGTGTATTTTATCACAATTTTTTAAGTGAAAAAATAACATGGTAGACAACAGAGGTGACAAAATAGTAAAAATATCAGCACGGAGCTTCTGTGACAGGTGCAATGGGAACTCAGCTTAGAGGCCCTCTCCTCACACTGGGTGCAGCTCAGCTGAATGGCTTAGTCGGGTCAAGTGAGAGGAACGGGGCAGGGAAATGAGAGGGATGCTGAAGAAGAGGAAATGGGTGTAGAGCATCCAGGTTTTATAGATTCAGGAAATGTCTGCGGGATAAACATACAAATCACAGAAGATGTGGTTGATAAAGAAGAGCTATTAGTCATTTTTAGATGTTTAGTTTATGACTCAGCAACCCTGGTCATCCAAACAGGATCCCAGGAGCTCAGGAGAGTGGACTGAGGAGCAGCAGCCAGCCCTCCTGTGGACAAGCTCTGTCCAGGGGCCCCTGGTAAAGAACACAGCGTGGCCGGGTCCTTGCTCATGCCCTGGGGCTTTGATCAGCCACCATTCTCCTTGGAAGCACAGGCTTGGGGTAGGGCATCATTCAATGAATTGACATAAAACTTTGAACAGATTCCATCTGGAAAACATTAAGCACAGGCCTGTTTGCAGATGTGTTAACGCTGACTCAATTGTAATACAGGCTTTAACTTCTAAGCAGCATTTCTTGCTAGTCCATTGTGGAATATGCCTGCTGTTGACTGCATGGGCATTATGTGAACAGGGGCTGTGGCTGCAGAATTCATCTTTGCTTTGGCTCAGACCCATGTTTGTGTACGTAGGTGACCAAAATCACAAAACTAAATGAGCTCAGAGAAAGATTGATTGGCTCCATTGAAAATTTTTATCTGAAACTTTATATTTCAAGAGTAATTGGTGGTGCATTTGCGAAGTGCTGGTTTGGGAGTTCCGACTGAAGACCCTGTGTGTTGAGCGTAGAAGCGGGTGGGCAGTGGTGATTCAGCTTCTCCATGGTCCCCACCTTTACCTCGATCACACTTTGCCCTCCCAGCCACCGCAGCCTTCAGCCTCCCACTCCCACAGCTGGCATTGGCCTCATGAGTGCCCTGAGAACGGTTCTGCTTGATGTGCTGACTTGGGGGGCGCACCCCAGACAGGTGGGGCTCTGGGAAATGTGTGAATGAAGAAAGGAGCCAGGGCTATGCAGCTCTGAGGGGTGGAGGGAACCCAGGCCTGCGTGTGGTAGGAGAGGAAGCTGGATCTGTGGGCCTGAGAAGCATCAAGCCAGTGGCCTGGGAGAGTAGAGGCTCCGGTGTTGAGGAAGAACATTCCTGGATTGTTACGTAATCTTTCACATCTGTGCACCTTCGCTGTCTCAAGGAGAGTAAACGCCCTAAGGGAGGAACTGCGGATTACACTCCTTTGGGGCTGATTCTTCCAGGCCACTTGTCAGAGGAGCTTGTGTGGTTTGAATGGACAGATAAACACTCTCCTTTAGGATGTCATAGGCCACTGGGGTCCTGCAAGCAGGAGTGAACAAGGCCCGCTGTGGTGTCGCTAACGGATCCCAGGCAGGCACTGGGAGGTGCGTGCGACCTAAGGCTTGAGAGGAACAGATGCTGCTTCACTGAGCAGGTCTGGACAGCACTTCTCAAAGTGTGGTCTGAAGACCCTTGGGGTCCTTGAGGTCAAGACATTTTTTCAAAATATAATTAACTCGTTATTTGCTCCTTTTAAAAGAGCTCTCCTTGTCTCATGAGTGTACACGACATAATTGTTCTGACTTTTCCAGAAGTTACTTGACATCTGATGACTTCATTGCTCCGATGCCCAATGAAAGAGTGCCTGTGCATTTAAACATTTCTCAGCCTTAACCCACATACACAGAAGTGCTTTGGAGACCTCAGTCCATTTTGAGAGTGTAAAGGGGTGCCAGGACCAACAAGTTTGAGAACCACTGGGCTAAGACCAAAATGACAACAACCTGAAAGACTTTTAAGAAAGATGTAGAAGCAGACAGTAATTATCCATTCTTTTTAATTTTTTTTTTTTTTTTTGCAGGAAAAACTGCATAGAAAATCTAATGGATGAAGATGAGAAAGACAGAGCCAAGAGGTAAGATGCAGCTGTCCCCCTGCTCAGCAGAGCTCTCTGGCCCCCGGGGGTCTGCCTGGCAGAATCTCGCTGGCTTTCACTCTGTGCAGGTGAGGCCACCAGCAAGATAGGCAGCTGTAGGACACACTCTCTGTGACATATTGCAGTGCTCCATGAGAAACCTTCTAGAGAGCTCACTCAGCCCTGCCCCTCACTGTGAAATGACACATTGTCTAGGACTGGCTGAGTGGTCTGGGTTTTTGTCATGCTCCTGTGTACCCCTGTTGACACTGGTCATCTTTCAGGGCTTCTGGTTACTGCTTTTCCAGGACAGACACTGCTTGACAAGTCAGGCTGACTGGAGCCCAGCAGGCCTGGATTCAAGTCCTAACTCAGTTGCTGGGGCTCTGTCTGGCTTTGGATAATAATAATGATCATTGCCACACAGTGAGCATGCAGTCATCACCCAGCACTGTGCTAAGCACTTTTGTATACATAGATTAGCTCAGTTTCCTCGGCTGTAGATTGGAGATGTCATAGACACCTTGCGCTGTGGTTGGGTCAACTAAAAATACTAACTTGGCAGCTGGCATGTGAGAGCCCTGATAACCTGTCTATGTTGATTCCTTCATTGGACATGTATTGAATGCCTACTAGATATGCAGTGGAATCATAACAGTGACATTGAGAGGGTCAGGAACAGTTGAATGTCATCAGTTTCACACGATTCACCCAAGTCGGCAGTTACTGTGCCATGCTCTGGGGAAAAAAACGTGAGCAGGAAGCTCCTCAGTGGCTCACTGCAGGTCATTCGGGTGGAGGCCCAGCCACGAGCCTTGGCAGCAGGGGACATCCTCTCTGGAGACACTCTTCATTGCAACCCCACTGGACCAGCCTCCTTGCTGTGATCTCACCCCTTTCTGCCTCTGCCACTGCTTGTGTGTGGCAGGGCTCTCCGTCCTCTGTGACAGCCTCGTGAGCCTGCAGAGCTAAAGGGTTTGCCCACTTCCCTTCACAGAACCCACTGCTTGCTTGTCACCTGTAAATGGTAGTGCCCTCAGGTACCACCCAGCTCTGTGGCTGCAGGGCAGCTGTCGTTCCATGTCACCTGGAGAGGCAGCCATGAGAACCACAAATCCCTGGCCACCCCCAGACCTGCCAGACCTGAGTCTGCAAGGCATAAGGGGAGTCTGGGTTGTTTTAAACTCCCCCAATATTTCCTTTAAAAAAATCAGGGAGCAGAGGAAATGGCCAGAAGTGTAGACAGAACAGCCTTCATCCCAGGATCTGGGAGATCAGCACTGGGGACTCTTAGTACTCTTTACTTTTGCATATGTTTGCAAATTTCTGCAATAAAAATTCAAACAGGCATCAGTGCATAGAACTCCCCAGCTTATCCTGAAGTGACAAGCCCTTTACTTGGCATTGGGACCCAGGTGCTTTGCAAACTGTAGGTCACAACCTACAAGGGTTGCAAAATCCACTTGGGTTCCAAGCAACAAATGAATAGACTAGATTAGACCAGACTAGAGTTCCTTCCTCTGGGATGTTTTGGTTTCCTCCAGCATAGCTATGGATGGAGCGCTGGAGACAGATGTGAGCTGCATTCCTGGCCTGCCCTGTGCTAGCTGATGAATTCCAACTGACCCCTCATCTCTCAAAGCCTCTGTTTTCTCACCTGCAATGTAAGGGTAGTAGTGTCTGTCCTGCTTTCCTCACTGGTTATTTTGGAAATTAGCTACAAAATACACTGAGTAGTGCTTTTTAAATATTCATCATTACATGTGTATGAATATGCAGCACACTTTACAGTAATACATTTACAGGGCAATCTTTTTTGTGTGTGATGGAGTCTCACCCTGTTGCCTAGGCTGGAGTGTAGTGGCGCGATCTTGGCTCACTGCAACCTCCCTCTCCCGGGTTCAAGCGCAGGCCATTCTTATTAGAAATGATGGAAAGAACAGCAGTGGTAGCCAGCATTCGCTGGGTGCCCACAGTACTGAGCTAAGTCCTTTTATGTACGTCATCTCATATTATCTTCTCAACATTCCTTTGAAGTGTGTATCATTCTTATTCCCATTTTACAGGTGAGAAGACTAAAGTTCAACAAGGTTGAGTACATTGTCAGAGATCAGAAAGCTCTAGGAAGTGGCAGAATGAGAACTTCAATACAGACTTCTTTAATCTTAGACTCTATTCTTATCCCCAGACCACAAGAGGCTTTTCATATAAGACCAAACTCAATCTACCTGGCCGACTAGACAAAGAGCTGCATTCTGGCATGACTAAGGAGTTCATAGGAGTTTTACTTTTGCTGTTGTCATCTTTAATATCACCCTCCAAACCCCTTCTAGTCCCATCCCTGCCTCTCTCCTGCACCGCTTACCTCTAAATCAGGAAGAGATAAAAATGCATGTTTAGGCTCTACCATACGCAGAAATCAGCAAATATAGACATGCCAAAAAAAATCTGGGCTAAAAGTTCCTAGAAATAAATCAGTTTGTATGCAGTTTCTTTTCATTCATTCCCCTCCCCATTTGCTTTGGGCCATAAGCATACCTCCCCCACCCAAAAACTTCTCTACTTGGAAATCTTTGCACAGAGACCTGTGTAGTGAGGCTGGGGCCCACACTCCTCCCTTGTACTCAGATGGAAAAAGGAGTTTAGAACGTTTGGTGGTACCCAGAAATAGCAAGGACGCAGTACCCCTCCTAACACTTGGGAACACACACACACACACACACACACACACACACACCCCTAAGATCGTATTCTTTTCAAAGTAGTTTTTATAGCAGTAACATGGGAGGCCCTTCCCCTAATCCCACCTGGAGGCCTGGCATGAATTGTTTTTACTCACCCATTATTTTTGATGAGATTAGAAATGTTTAACTTGAGATCAAAACTCTCATTGCCTCCAGAAAACATGCTTTGTGTTAGGCAAGGCTTTCGATGCTTTAGGGAATTCATGGTGTATTTGGGTTGTTTGATCAAGTATTCCAAACAAGGGCACGGTTCCACTTTCTTCCGTGAATTTCCATGTAAATCCAGGGAGTATTAATTGAGTGTCTATTGTGTGTTCAGAACTGAGTGCTCTATTCTTCAGGGAAGACGCAAAAATATAGTCCTTGTACTCAAGAAGGAAACAGCTTGATTGAGAGATATTTGTAATCCCTAGATAATGAAGTTCACAGCTTTTTCTGTATTCCAGTTATAAGCATGTCTTTCTAATTCTGATGTGAAACAGTGTTGTAGGGTGTGTGTGTGTGCACGTGCATGCGCGTGCATTTGTGGTCATCCAGGAAGCAGTGTGGGGTAGCAGGAAGTGCGCAGGGTTAGAATCAGACAGGCCTGGCTTTGATTCTTGCCAATGTTTACTGTCTGTCCTTGGGCAAGTCACTAAATCTCTCTTAGCCTCAGTTTCTTCTTCTGTCAAGTGGGGTGATAATAGTAGCTACTTATTGCAGAAATTAAATGTAGCTGCGTCTGATCCCCTGGCACAGTGCAGTATGCAGTGCTGATAGGGAAAGCTAAAATTTGCAGAGCGCTCACAGCCTGCCTGGAGCATTTTACATGCAGTAATTCTCCAAGCCTTACAACACCTCCTCACAAAATAGGTTATTCTTAGCCCCATTTTACAGTTGAGAAACCTGAGGCTCAGGGATTGCACAGCCAGTTGGCAGCAGGCAGGGATTCAAATGCACACATCTGTTTCTAAAGTCTGGGCTCCTAACAGCGTCTGTGACATTCAGTAAATGGAAGCCGCTCCTTTTGAGTCACCACCTTCCCAAGGGGTAGAGAAAATAAGTTCTGATAGGAATTCTTGCTTTCCAAAGAAAGCAATTATCTAACTTTGCCGTATTGCAAAATCCAGCTTACTCCATTTCTTGACAGAAATGAGCACCTGTTGGCTAAGAAGAAACTGCTTCATATTCACCTCTTCCTTTAATCCAGTGTTAAATGAGTCCATGACCTCCTCTCTCCAGTCAGCTGTGAGGTTGTTTCCATAGTCCCATACCTTTGGTTGAGAGACGGAGAGTAGAAGGGGAGTTTATGGCTCTGCTGCCTTTGTTCATGAGAATCAAAAGTGTCAGGTCAGATTCGCTGATTCTTGGGGCTCTTAATGGAGTGGATGCTGGTTCTGAAACATCAGCTAAACAATTTTATGATTCTTTGACCCTAATTCTTAGTCTCAATGTCAATAAAGTGGTTCAGATGAGAGGGAAGAGTTCAAACATAAGCAAACAAGAAGCCTACGCATGCCATTTTGCAGAAGCAGATATTTCAGAAGGAAAAGGTTTAGCCATTTGGTTATTTCTTCTGGTCCCCCTGGGGTGGAGGAAAAGGATAGGGTAGTTTAATGACATGGACCAATGAATGGCTGAGACCATCCCATCTGTATTTGTTGACTAAGTGATGTGGTGAGCAAGTGGATGTTACAGATGAGGATACATAGCATTATCCTGCCCTCAGAGCGCTTTCAGGCAAGTTAGAGATGCATTCATGAAAATAAGCATAAAGAAGGAAAAGAAAACACTTTCTGCAGAGTCTGTTTTAGGCCAAGACAGGATGGAGATCGAAATTTGTAAACTCAACCCTTTCAGCCAATTGCTCTTTCAGGGAGAGTAATGTGGCAAAGAAGAGAGACTGTTCTCGTTTCATTTGTACCATTTCTTTGGATATAAATTCTGTAGGTCTGAAAGCAAAGGTCTGCCCAGAAAGGCTGTAGCCCTTTTGGAGGACTCCAGCCCCATGCACACTTGCAGAGTGCCCCTGCATGCAGGCACAGTGCAGTGAGAACCCCGGGCCCTCAGCATTGGACAGTGGGCTGATGCTCCCAGCTGGAGCCTGTCGTGCTAATTTTGCTGTGATTTCCTTTCATAGGCTTTGGATTGGGTTTTACTTACATCATCATAAGCTCCCACACGGGGGGAAAAAATGGCAGTAAAACATCTCTGAGGCTTCCTCTTTGTTTTTTTTTTTTTTATGGTTAAGGCAGCAGCAGGCATTGTGAGAACGCAGGAGGTAATAGGACATGCGATTCGTGTATATTACCTTGTAATTTCCAGATGAGTGATTCTGTTCTCAAAACAAAGGGGAAAGTAGAACTGTACTTGCAGGCAGAATGCTAATTCTTCCTGTAGCCCAGTAAACGATGGAATGGAAAAGGGGCCTCCCTCTGCTGAGGGGCTTTTGGCTTTTACCCTGCTAGCGTTCTTTGATTGGCTCAGAGGAGTTGTCAGAGAAGCGTGGTGTCTGGCAGGCTTAGAAACTTGGGAATGTCTTCGTTCAAGGAGATCCAGAACCTCTCTGGGGGCATCTGAGGCAAAAGGCAGTTTACTAAAGCCTTTTCAATAATTTCAGTAAATTTTAAATTGAAAAGAGATGATCAGGAATGCACCACTTGAAAATGCTGCCTTTCTTTAGAAAAGGCTAAACGTTTCTTTTTAGAATTTTGGTGACAAGTTCCTAACTATCATGTTCCAATTAAATGGTGCCTGTGTTACTGTTAACTAAGAGTCACTATGAAATTAGGCCAGCTTCCCATTTGGGCCCAGACACTTTCTGCTAACTGTGGTTAAGAGTAAAGCTGTTCTGTTGCTTCTCGGGAGAATAGACAGCCTCAGCTGCTCTCAGTCACCCCCAGACGCTTTGCTAAGTCTCTGCAATAGTTCCCTAAGTTCTCCATGAGGTGAGGATGGTATCAGCCCTTCCTGCTGGGGCAACTTTTCTCCCCACACAGCCAGATGACATCTTCTTTTTTTTTTTTTTTTTAAGACAGAGACTCTGTCTCACTCTGCTACCCAGGCTGGAGTGCAATGGCGTGATCTCAGCTCACTGCAACCTCTGCCTCCTGGGTTCAAGTGATTCTCCTCCCACAGCCTCCCAAGTAGCTGGGATTACAGGCGTCCACCACCATGTCTGGCTAATTTTGTATTTTTAGTAGAGTTGGGGTTTCACCATGTTGGCCAGGCTGGTCTTGAACTCCTGACCTCAAGTGATCCACCTGTCTCAGCCTCCCATAATGTTGGGATTACAGGCATGAGCCACCATGCCCAGCCTAATGTCTTCTTCTTACACCAAACTTCTTGAGACTCTGAGCCCAGTGATGCCCCCAAACCGCATGGCCTCAGCATGCAGGGATGCTGCCTGGGCTATGGAAGTGAGGGGTTGTGCACCTGTCTCCAGACTCTAAGCCTGGGCACAGGAGGGGACTGCACTGACCTTATATGGACCTTGATTTATGCCGAAGTTACCCAAAATGTATTATGGAGAATATTAATCCCAGGAAATGCCCCCAAAATAATTGCGGACTGTATGTTTACTGTTTCTCCCTTGTGGAGAATTTTAGGGCTTCTCAGCACATTAAAGATGCTAAGACTGCAATTAGCAAATAACCAAAAATCATACAATCCTGCATTTAAAAAATTATCCTGAAAAATAAAAACATAGTGGCAAGAAAATAACCTCCTCTGGCCATGGTCCTTCCCCTTTCTTCAAGTAATTCTTCATGATTTTCCACAGAAGACCCATTGACCAACACTATCTTAGGCAATAGATATGTCATCTGTATTCCCATTATAATTATACATTTTCTTATATATAAAAAATTCCAAAACAACATTTGAAAAATTCTGAAATGTTTGAAGATGTGAGCAAAGATTATTTATTTATTGAGACGGAGTTTTGCTCTTATTGCCCAGACTAGAGTGCAGTGGCGCAATCATGGCTCACTGCAACCTCCGCTTCCCAGGTTCAAGCAATTCTCCTGCCCGGCCACAAAGATCATTTAGAATCATACCACCTGGAGATAGCCACTGTTAATATTATAGCATATTCTCTGTCAGCCTTTCTTATACATTTCCATTCAATTTTTTTTTTTTGAGACAGAGTCTAGCTCTGTTGCCCAGGCTGGAGTGCAGTGGCACAATGTCGGCTCACTGCAACCTCCACCTCCCGGGTTCAAGCCATCCTCCTGTCTCAGCCTTCTGAGTAGCTGGGATTACATGCATGTACCACCACGCCAGGCTAATTTTTGTATTTTTAGTGGAGATGGGGTTTCACCGTGTTAGCCAGGCTGGTCTCAAACTCCTGGCCTCAAGTGATCCACCAGCCTTGGCCTCCCAAAGTGCTGGGATTACAGGTGTGAGCAATGGCGCCCGGCTTCCAGTCAGTTTTAATAGGAATGCTCATAGATGCTCTTTGTTAATGTGCATGACCAGCTCTAATGTATTCTTTAGGAAAGTTCACCTTTTATGGACAGCACTGTCTTCACTGAGCATCGTGTGCTGCAGTTGCCTCTTAAAACTGTGAGCACCTATTTGGTATATTTCAGTTCTACCAGAAATGTGTGTTCCTTCTACAACCTCAGTCGTAGGCACTGTGGAGACTACAAAGGAAGAATAAGGCCTAGTCCTGATATGCCTTCTAGAAAGGTTCAGTTTGCTCCATTTATTTATTTATTTATTTATTTATTTATTTATTTATTTATTATTATTATTTTGCTCAGTTTATAAAACTCAGATTTGAGAAGCCTAGTGCTGCACCCTTTTCAGTTCCTGTCCCATCCTATAATGCAGAACTAGTGACCCCAGGTAAGATATGCCAGAATTCCCCGTCTGGAAGGAACTTGGGTATCAGTGTGTCTTTGGTTTAGGCATTAACTATTCTGGGTTTCTGTTGCTATGTAACAAACCACCCCAAAATGTGAGGGATTAAAGCAATGGCATTCATTTTGCTCATGGATCTTTGACTAGGGTAGGGCTTGGCAGGGAGTGCCTGTTTCGTTCCAGGTGGTATCAGCCAGAGTAGCTCAAAGATGGTGGGTAGAACCCCCTGAAGACACGCTCACTCCCACACCTTTGGTTGATGTTGGCTTTCAACCAGCATGTCCACTGGAAGTAGCTTTCCCTATGGAGATATGGCTTCCTCACAACACGTGGTTGCATTCAAGGGCGAATGTCACGGGGAAGCTCTATCTCCTCTTAGTACCTGGCTTTGGAAGCCAAACATTGTCACTGCTGCTGCTATCTATTCATCAGGAGCCAGCCTCCAAGTCCAGCCTTTATTCAAGGGAAGGAGAATTAGAACCCATCTTTTGATGGGAGAGCTTCAGAGAATTTAAATGCTGTGTGTCAGAATCACCATATCAATGTCCTCACTGTTTTTTAAGAGGAAACTGAGGAACGTGTGGTTGGGAGTGCCTTGCTTACTCTCTCCTGGCTTAGGTGCCGAACGAGGATGAGAACTCACATCTTCTGAAGTCTGTCTAGTGCTCATCTCAGCCAAGCCAAATTGTCTGGATTCTCTTCTTCCCTCCACCTCTCTTCAGCTCCCGGTGGGAATTGGGAACATGAAAATAGGATGCCTCATAGAATGCCTTTAGCTCCTCACCATAGAGACCCTCCAAGGGCAAGAAGTCACTCTTCAGAGAGCTGCACATCTATCTGCATACCTATTTGTACCTCTTGTTCAAATACCAGCTCTTCTTGGCAGCAAGGGAGCCTGCTAGTGCTCCCTTCACCAGTTCCGAACATAGCTTTCCAACTTGATTGGAAAGCATTTAATTTATGAGCTTTCACTCCATTTGGTCAACTGTCTTTGATTCAGAGAGCATCTTCTATATTCCCCCATCAGGATGCCCTATTTACTCAGTTAACAGAACTAGACTTAGTGGAGCCAGTTTAAAAGATGGCACCCTTGGGAAGAGGCACCAGGAAAAGCATCTTAGTAGCAGGGAAGCCTGATAGACGTTATGGATAGTTTCCCAATGGATACCAGAGATGCATAAGCTGAAGACATTGCCAGCCAGAGCAGTCCACATATGAAATGGATTAAAAGGAAGAGCTTCCTAGGAATGATAGTTTTTCCCCCCTCTTTTCTCTTTTTACTGCCTTTTATCCTCATTCCTGATCCAGCTCACAGATGAGGAGTTCCGATTCAATGGTTTTTAATTTTTTCCCAAGGGAAACATAGGACTTTTGGTGATGTATAAAATGTACCTGCACCACTATGCATGCGTTCTTGTGAATTTAAGGAAGACAGAGGGCCAAGGACACAAACTTGGGGGTGCTCGATGTCATTCACCTGCATGCTCAAAGTATTCTTGGCACAGGGTCTCTCCCAGCAGGATGGGAAATGAGCATCTTCCTTCCTCCTCTGTGCCACAGGCCTCTCAGAAGGACCTGATCCCCATCCCAGCTACAGCCATGCATCTTGGGCAGCTGGGTGTGAAGTCCAGTCTTGCACACTAAGTGTGCACACCTGTATCATCTCTTCACCAAGAAGGAGGGGAGAGAAGCATTGAGTATGGTGTAAATAATATGCATTTGTCTTATGAAATCCTCTCAGAGAAGCGCCTCCAAGATTCCACCTGTGGGAGAAACCCAAGGGGTATGGGTGTGGGTGTGTGTGTGACACTTTGCCTTGGAACCATGGCCCTCTCCTGCCTTGCATTATGTGGTGACTCTCCTTCCTTCAGCCTTCCTGAAATACCACAGACACAGCCCCTTTGTAAGAGTATGGGGCTACTGTGCTAGGACTCGCTTGGATCCTGAGCTGCAAGTACAACCCTCCTCTGGATTCCAGAGTTCTAGAGAGCTACGCCTGAGGTGCACATCTACTCTCAGAGGGTAGGGAAGCATAGGACAGTAGTTTTATTGGGTTAGTAAAACTCCATGTTGATGTGCAATGGCGGATTCCTTTTGATGCTTTTTTAATGTTAGCTCATTCCAGAGTGATACACTAATACCAAGGGAAGAAGGGCCTGCCCAGTTCGTCTGTCATTCTCTTTGTTCTGCAAGAGCTACCCAGAAATATGTTTCTTCAAGAGTCTCTTATAATTACAGTCCAGCTCACCCCATACGCTTTTCTGCAAAAGGATCTTATTAACAGCCCCTGCCACCAGGCTTTTATATTCTCTGTTCCCACCCTTTGATTTCTATGGGTTTTTTACAAACTCATTAAAAAATATATGAAAAGATATATGAGAGTTTTGGATCTTGGTAAGATGGAGTTAGCCTACTCCGTCCTGTCCATCACACTGAATGCAGCTGTAAAGCGTGAGCAGAATGCATGAAACAGCCATTTGAGGACCCTGAAGAGTAAATAGTAGGGTGCAGATTGGGGAAGCACTACCAAACCAGCAGCGAGTTCACCATTTTTTCCCCTGTAATATCTCCTAGCCTAGACTCAATGCAGCCCCACACCCAGAAGTGGGCCTCTGCTGACAGAGAGAGGACCAGGAGCTCTAGTACTGGCTTAAGGAGCAGGAACAAGGTCTCCTAATGCTCAGATTGTGCAAGGTTAAATCTGCCCTTTTTTGTTTTTTATTTATTTCCTTGCATCCCAGAAGCAATCCTCCAACAGCAGCATAGCAGGAGCAACAGTGGCCATCAGAATCCACATGAAACCTTTTATGCAGAGGAAGGGGAACCTCTCTCCAGACAGAGCAGCTACACTTCCAAGAGGGTGGGATGAAACCCTGCTGCTTTCTTCCCCCTTGCTCTCTATCTTCCTACTGCTTGGCCCCAGATGAAAGCGCAGATGTAGGTAGTATGAGGAAGGGCAGGATAAATAGAGCCAGCTTTCTGGCCAACGGAACAGAAAGGGAGCCTGGGAACCAGAAGGTACTGGGCAGATTTCAGAGAGGGAGGTGCTCAGGAAAGTGACTCTATAAAGCTGGTTGTGAGTTTCTGAGCTCACCCCTGAGCTGAATCTGCATGGATCTGATCTTGAGCAGCATACCATAGACCCTCAGGTCTGAACTTCAGAATAGACCACCACCCAAGGTCTATGACTGGCCATGTGGAACATATTTTAGTAGCACTATGGATTTCTCATCAGAAAACAGGGAAGCCTTCTGATAGGGGTAAAATATTTTTTAAATGTTAAAAGAAAAGAGCTATTAACCCAGAATTCAACATGCAGTGAAAATATCCTTCAGGAATGAAGGTAAAATGAAGATTACTCTCAAATGAACGAAAACTTCCTGTCAAGAGACCTGCTCTGAGAGAATTACTAAAGGAAGTTTTTCAGCAGAAAGGAAATGACACTAGATAGAAACTTGGAATAGGAAGAATAAAGGAAGAAAACAGAAATGGTAAATATTTGACAAAAACAGCATAATCTGATAGGGTATATTTAGTGTATGTATAGATAGTACATAAGACAATTGCAGCATAAAAGAGGGGAGAAGGTAGAGGGGGCTATATAGAGAAAAGTTTCTAGATTCCATTTGAAATGATAAAATATTCTAAGTGGACTTTGAAAAGACAAGTTTGTATATTACAGTCCCTAGAATTATTACTAAAAGTCATACAAAGAAATATGGAGGGGAAAACAATAGATAAATTAAAATGGAATACTAAAAAATGTTTAAATAATCCAAAAGAAAGCAGGAAAGGGGAAATAAACAATAACCCAAAACAAAGAATGTACAAACAGAAAGCATGTTAAAATAGAAAATGTAAATCCAAACATATGTGATTACATTAAATGTAAATTGTCTAAATATGCCAACTAAAAAACAGATTTTGTTCCAATGATTTTTTTCAGTAACCTAAATACCTAAATATATGCTGTCTACAAGACATTCAACTCAAATATGATGCTATAGGTAGAGGGTAAAAGTAAAACTATGGAAAATGATATACCAAACAAACACTAATTAAAGAAAGCCAAAATGGTTCTATTAATATCAAATGAAATAGATTTCAGAGCAAAGAAATTTACTAGGAATAAAGAGTGACATTACGTATGATACAGGATCAATTCACCAAGAACAGATAATAGCTCTAATATGTATACACCTAAAAACAAAGCTTCAAAGTACAGGAAGCACAACCTGAAGAAGTTAGATGAGTCTTTAACATGCTCCTCTTAGTAATAGAACTAGTAGAGTAAACTTCAGCAAGGATATAGAAGAACTGAAAAATGCCATCAACCAACAGAATCTGATTGGTATTTATACAACATTCCACTCAGCAATAACAGAATACACATATTTTCAAGTACATATTGAACATTTACCAAGCTAGACCAAACCCTGCTTCATAAAACAAATGTAAATAAATTCAAATGAAAAAATTAGAAACAGAAAGATAGCGGGAAAAATATCTCCACATCTTGGAAATTAAACAACAAACTGTGTAGTAATCCATGGGTCAAAGAGAAAGTCTCAAGGATATTAGAAAATATTTTAGCTAAATAAAAATGAACATACATTTCAAAATTAGTGGGTTGCCGCTACAGCAATGCTTAGAGGGAAACTTGCAACATTAAATGCTCTTATTAGAAAAAAAGGAAAGGTCTCAAATCAACAACTAATCTCTACCTTAAGAAACTAGAAACAGAAAAGCAAAATAAACTCACAGCAAGAAAGATGGAAATTAGATATAAACACAGAAAGTAATAAAATTAGAAACAGAAAAACAATATAGAAAAATCAACTAAACTAAAAGGTGATTTTTTAAAAGATTGGCAAGGCATGGTGGCTCATGCCTGTAATCCCAGCAGGTTGAGAGGCCAAGGTAAGGGGATCATTTGAGGTCAGGAGTTCAAGACCAGCCTGATCAACATAGTGAAACCCCCGTCTCTACTAAAAATACAAAAATTAGCCAGGCGTGGTGGCGGGCACCTGTAATTCCAGCTACTTGGGAGGCTGAAGCAGGAGAATCACTTGAACCTGGGAGGTGGAGGTTGCAGTGAGCCGAGATCGTGCCATTGCACTTCAGCCTGGGTGACAAGAGCGAAACTCCATCTAAAAAAATAATAAAAATAATAAAAGTTCAATAAAATTGGTAAGTCTATCAAGGGACTGAAAAAGACACGATTTATCAATAGCAGGAATAAGAAGGCCTATCATTAGATATTCCTGAGAAATTCAAAGGGCCATAAGGAAATACTATGAACAATTAGAGCCGCATAAAATCCAACCACTTAGATGAAATGGGCCAATTACTTAAAAACCACGACTACCAAACTCACAAAAGATGAACGAGAAAACCTAGAGTCCTATAACTAAGAAATTGAATTTGTATTTGAAAACCTGAACAGGAAATCTCCAGACCCAGATGATTTCACTGGTGAATTCTGCCAGACATTAAAAGAAGAAATATCACCAATTCTGTTCACACTCTTCCAGAAAGTTGAAGATAAGGAAATACTTTGGAGTTTATTTTATGAGACCAGCATTACCCAAAGACAGTATGAGAAAGGAAATCTACAGAACAGCATTTTTCATAAGTGTAGATACAAAATTTCTCAACAAAACATTAGCAAATTATATCCAACTATATATATTTATATATATTTTAAATTACAATCAAGTGGAGCTTATCTAGGGAATGCAAGGCTATTCAGAATTCAAAAATCAATGTAATCCGTTATGTTATGAAGTTACAAAAGAAAAACCACATGATTATATCAATTGATGCAGAAAAAGACTTTGGCAAAATGCAACATCTATTCATGAAATAAAAATCAATACTGAAATTATAAATCTAAATGTAAAATACGTAAAACTGTAAAACCATAAGAAGAAAAAATAGAAAGTCTTTGTAGTCTATAAGGTTAGGCAAAGAGTTCCTAGACCTAACACCAAAAGTACAACTCGTAAGAGAAAAAATTGTTAAACCTGGACCTCATCAAAATTAAAAACTCACTCTGTAAGTTACTATTAAGAGATTGAAAAGGCAAGCTATAGTCGGGTAGAAAATACTGACAAATCACATTTCTGACAAAAGACTTGTATCCAGAAAATACAAGCAACTGTCAAAACTCAATAGTAAGGAAATAGACAACCCAATTTTAAAATGGGCAAAAGATATGAACAGATGCTTCCTCAAAGAGGGTCTACAGATGTCAAAAAAAGTGAAAAGATGTCCACTGCCATTAGCCATTAGATACATGCAAATTAAACCTCTAATAATGTACCACCGCAACTTTCTTAGATTAGCTAAAATTTAAAGTACTGACAATATTAATTCCCTTTAAGGTTGTAGAACGCTGGATCACTCATACATTGCTGGTAGGGAGGTAAAATGGCATGGCCACTCTGGAAAACGGTTTGGTAGTTTCTTATAAACATATAGTTTCCATATGACCCAGACGTTCTAGTCCTGGATTCTTTACTTCAGAAAAATACAAACACGTTCACTGAAAAACCTGTACACCAATGGGCATAGTAGCTGTATTCATAATTACCCAAACTGGAAACAACCCACATTTCCTCAATGGGTGAATGCATAAACCGGCTGTGGAACACCCGTACAGTAGAAAACTACTCACCAATGAGAAGGCACACGGTATTGACAGACACAAGTTGAATAAATCTCAAAGGCATTATGCTGGGTAGAAGCAGCCAGGCTCAAAAGGTTACATGCTATAGGATTATACTTTTACGACATTCTTGAAAAGAGCATAGGGATGGAGAACAGAACCGAGCTGGCCAGAGTTTTGTGGGAGTGGAGGGCATGAGAGTTTTGTAGAGAGCTCTCTCTCGTCTTGATGGTGATGACGGTTGCATACCTTTATACATGTGCTAAAACGTATAGAACCGTGTCCCCGAAGAAAAAGTCAGGCTCACTGTGTGTTAATTTTAAGGGGAAAAAAAACAAAAACAAAAACAAAAAAACGTTTTAAAGCACCCACCGTCAGCGTCACTTTTTCGAGGCTAATGAAGTTTGACTGAGCCTTGCTTGGCTCTTTCCCTACATCCCCCGCTGGGGGCGGTAGGGAGCAGCAGCGCCGTGCTGTGCTTTGGGGTGGAGGAGCCTCACGGACCCTTCCTGTCTCTACTCACTTCCCCTTTAAGTTGGGTCCCTCATCCTTTCCTGAGGACCCATTTCATTTCCTTTCCCTGTCCCCACTCATCCAAAAGCTCAGACCAGGTTGCTTGGCCTACCATTCACGACTGCGCCGTCGGTCTCCCCGTGCCTCCCCACCCTATCCTTTCCTTCTCCAATTGAGCCCAACTCTGCTGCCAAACTTGACCACCCAGCTTTCCCCTGGGCTGTCCTCTCCACCCCTGACTATGCACCCCTCAAAGCCACCTCATGTTCTTGCCTCTAGGGGCTCCGTGGCTGGGCTCCCTCCTTGGTGAGCACCCTTGGCGATTCGTTGGAACTTCTCACCGGGCAGTATTGTATTGCACCCCCTATACCAGCTTCTGAGGAATGAGTTCCATCTCTTCCTCTAGACACTGAGCTGCTTTTAGTTGAGGGCCAAGACCTCTTCATTGCCGCCTCCTCCATATCGCTTGATGGAGCGCCTTGTGCACAGAAGGTGCTAATCAGAGAATATAGAACAAATACTCTTCCTGTCTCTAATTGCCCTTGTCCAGAGAACCCTCAAGTCAGAAGTGGAAGAGGGTCCTCCTGTCAAAGGGGGAGGGAGTGGGGAGATGTTAGTCAAAGGGTAGAAAGCTTCAGTTAGACAGGAGGAATCAGGTTTTGAGATCTATCACACAGCAGGGTGACTGTAGTTAATAATAACGTACAGTGTTGTATATTTCAAAATTGCAAGGAGAGTAAATGTCAAATGTCTCACCACAAATAAGTGAAGTGACTGATATGGTAATTAGCTTAATTTAATCATTCCATGTTGTATATATATATATCAAAACATCACATTGTACCCCATAAACATGTACAGTTTTTAAGGGTACTGGAAGGTAACCTGTGCCCCACTTCCCTGGAGGTCTGTCTGTATTGCATTTAATAACTGGATGTTTGAGTTCCACCCATGAGTGCCTTTCTGCTCAATCCCCTACTATGTGTATCCAGATAGACTAGTTGGGCTATGTGGCCCACAATCCCCATATCTCAGTAAAGCTGACGTGCTCATCACAGAGCTGCTGGCCCCTTACTATAAAGTGTCCTCACCCAAGGACCCAGGCTGACAGAGGCTTCACCTCCCATTGCCAAGGGAGGTGAATGGAAAAAGGAATGAAACAGATTTTGCACTGACTCTTCATGCTTCTCCCTGGGAACTGACACATGGCACTTGTGCGTACGTGTTCTTGGCCAAGCGAAGGGGCAGGGAAGCACAATCCTGCTCTCTCCAGAAGACAAACTGGAAATATTTGGTGAACAGCAATCCTAACACCACAGGTGACCACGACAGTGGGAAAGGCCACTCCTCCTAGGAGCTGAAGCGAAGGTCGCAGTCTTCCCTTGATTTCCCGCAGTACCCTTCCCCAACGGGGAACACAAACACCAGCCTCCTGTTAGTGTGTGGCACTGTTTCTCTGCACGGTGTGCTTAGTTTTTGTGCTATAAACTCAAGCAGCCAGAATTAGTCACTCTCAGTTCTGTGTTCCCAGAACACTGGGTCCGTAGGTCCATAACAGATCCCGCCACAGTGATTTGGAGGGAGCTGTAGGAAGTGGCAGGAGGGTGCACGGCCTCACAGCGTGGGCACTGGAGCCAGCCTGTGGCACCACTTCCCAGACCTGTGATGGTGGTGAGTTACACAGCCTCTCAGTGCCTCGCTCCTTCCCCTTGGAATGGAAATGCAATAGTACCTGCCTTAAAGGGTTGCCATGAGAATTGAAGGAATGAATGGATGTAAAGCTCTTAACATGGTGCCCGTTACATACATAGTAAGTGCCCAGCAAATATTCCTTGTGTAACCAGACCCAAACTCCCCAAGATGCCCGATGATGGACGCTTCAGAACCAGATAACTTGGGGTTTTTGAGCCCCACATTCAAAAATCAATATCCATGTATATTTAAAACACACACATACCTTCCCTTCCTCCCTCCCTTGGTCTCTCTCTTACTCTCTCTTTCTTAAACTCAATAAGATGATGACAAACAGCCCAACTGGAAAATAGGCAGAAGATTTGAACAAACGCCTCACAAAATAAGATACATAAATGGCCATTAAGCATGTAAAAAGATGTTCGACATTACTAGTCACTAGGAAAATGCAAATCCAAGCCGCAGTAAGGTAACATTTCAACGGCTAAACATTTCAATGCACTGTATGTCAGTGCAGCCGTGTCTTATCAGGTTAAACATACGCTTAGCAGATGACCCAGCAATTCCATGCCTCTGTATTCACCCAAGAGAAATGAATGCCTATATCTACACACAGATCTGTACATGAGTGTTCAGAACGGCATTATTCTTATTACCCCTGAACTGGAAATGAACCAGATGTTGTGGCATATTCATACACAGGAATGCTAGTCATCAGGAAAAAGGAATGGGGTGTTAATATGTGCAGCAACATGATGCAACTCAAAAATGTCATGCTAAATCAAAAAGACTGTATACTCTGATTCCAGGTCTGTTAAATTCTAGACCAGGTGAAACTACACTACCAGCAGATCAGTGGTTGGTTGCCTGTGGCTATGGCTGGGGGTGGGCGGATCAATCACAAAGACACAGGAGAAACCTCTTTAGGATGAAGGAACTGTTGTTTATCTTGATTTTGGTGGTAGTTACCCAACTAATACACCAAACTATGCACTAAAATGGATGAATTTTATTGAATTTAAAAAATGCCTTATAACTCCAAAGCCTGGCCAGGCATGGTGGCTCATGCCTGTAATCCCAGCACATTTGTGGAGGCCGAGGCTGGTGGATCACCTGAGGTCAGGAGTTCGAGACCAGCCTGGTCAACATGGTGAAACCCTGTCTCTCCTAAAAAATACAAAAATTAGCCGGGTGTGGTGGTGCATGCCTGTAATCCCAGCTTCTTGGGACGCTGAGGCAGGAGAATCCCTTGAACCCGGGAGGTGGAGGTTGTAGTGAGCTGAGATCGCGTCACTGCACTCCAGCCTGGGCAACAAGAGTGAGACTCTGTCTCAAAAACAAAAACCCAAAGCCTGGTTGTTGGGGTTGTTGGAGTGTCTTTCAAAACCTTCGTCCCAGTGTCTGTGTGTGGTGGTCTCGGGGCCTGCCGAGAGGACCTTCTTTTTGGAAATAAGGTCATTCCAGGCTCATTTTCTTTCTCTTGCCTGATAGCAGTGGAACCAGCTGACAGCGACCAGTTTCCAGTGGACACCACAGTGTGTCCCAGCCGGAGGCGGATGGAAACAAGCTTGTGTCTCTGTCACTAACGATAGGAGCCTTCGTCGGAGTTGCTACCAGGCCATGTTGGTCGTCATTACACCCATTGAAGACGAGAACAGAGCAGTAATGAGCTGGGTGTTATCAGCTCACAAATAATTTATAATGGGCAAACTAGGACAGGAACAGAGCTTTTTTTGGCTAAGGAGGTTGCATGTCACTCTTTAAAATCTAGGCCAAAAAATTATTTATAATGCATAGACATTCACTCTGAAAGTTAAAGGATTCCTTTCTTCTCTCCCATGTGTTTGAACATGGTCTTTTAGCCTGGACTAGCAACAAGACTCCGCAACATCTTGCTGCCACGCCTGCAGTTAGTGTGTGATGTGAGAGAGTGCAGGTAAAGAGAGTGGCTCGGCGAGGGACAGGGCCTTTGTAGAAGGCCAAGAACAGACAGGGAGGAGGGGAGAGGCAGGAAAAGACCCCTAGGTAAAGGGTAGTGACCACACACGTTAGCTGAGCTTTGAAGAATTGCCCAAATGTTATCAGGAAACAGCCTAAACTGAGATAGGACCGGTAAAAGATGGGTTGTGAACATGTGTGTTGAAATAAAGGCAGGTTGTGTGCAATTAGGCAGGGGCAAACTGAGTGGTTATGGTCCTCGTGATGTCTAGGGAAAGGGTTTTGGAAATACGTCCTTTTGTGTCCAAGGGCTGTTTATTGATACTGTTACCTATAGATACTTACACCTGCTCCAAGGGAGGTGAATCAGAATCCAGCAGCACACTCTGTCCTGACCACACATTGGCCAGGAGCCTCCTGGTGAAGGATTTGCTCCCCTGAGAACCATGACCCCGGGCCCAAGGTGCCTGGAAAAGCAGCAATGTTTTATGGGCCTGGCCTCTGGGGCCCCTGTTCTCTCTCAGAGAGTTGACTTCTGGAACAAGTCTGTCTTCAGTGAACTGGGGAGGAGTGAGCCAGCTTTCTCAGCCCTGGATCACCTTCAAATACGTGGATTGTTGATGAAGGGCCTGTGGCGTGTCATTGAAGATGGAGGCCCCTCGAGTAGCACTGCTTCCGGACTTTTCAGGAGGGCTTTTTGCATCACGTGTTCCTTGTTCGTTGTTAATTAGAGCATTCCTGAGAGCCACGATTCCCTACTCAAGTTCCTGAGGATCTCAGGGTCCTCAGAGGTGCTTGGGTGGCTTGGGGGAGGCCCCTCCTCTCTAACCAAGCAGCTTCCCTTTGATCTCTCCTATAAGTGTGCAGCACAGGGTGTCACTTATTTAAAATAGACTTTATTTTTTGGAGCATTTTTAGGCTCACAGACAAACTGAGTGAAAGACACAGAGCGTTCCCATATCCCCCTGAGCCCTCCCTAGACACACTCAGCCTCCCCCATTATCAGCATCCCCCACCAGAGTGGTGCATTAGTTATAGCTGATAAGCTTACACTGATACATTGTTACCATTCAGAGTTAACATCAAGGCACACTCTTGTGTTGTACATTCTCCAAGTCTAGACAAATGTGTTGACACACATCCACCAGTATGGTGTCATACAGAGTGGATTCACTGCCCTAAAAATCCTCTGTTCATCCCTCCTAACCCCTAGCAACCACTGATCTTTGTGCTGTCTCTGTAGTTTTGCATTTTCCAGAATGTCATATACTTGCTATCATACAGTGTGTAGCTTTTTCAGACTGGCTTCTCCAACTTAGTAATATGTGTTTAACTTTCCTCCATGTCATTTTAAAAAGTGTTCGTCTGCTCTTAGCAGCTTGACAGCCATGGTGCAGTACCTGTCATACCTCTGCCCTGGGTCTGTACAGCCCTGGCTGTTGTAGGCAGGGTGTGTCTTGCCTCCCCCAACAGGGCGATGAGCTCTTTGGAGCAGGGGCCAGGACATATGCACTGGTGGCACACGGGATACCTGGCCACCCCGTGGGCCCTGGAACCAGGCTGGGTGTTCTGGATTGAAGGGGACTTGGTTTGAGTCTTAGGAAGGGCTCTCCGAGCACAGCCATCTCAGTCAGCAGTGTGTCCTTTGCTCTCTGAAAGTGAAAGCTCTATGAGATCCGAATGAGCAGCATCCGGCCTCAGAGCTAATCTGTCAGATTTTGCGTCTGAGTCAGAACTTACTGGTTATTAATGCTGTCTGTCTTTGTGGCCAAGAGTCTAGCAAAACATTTTCTATCCTCCTGCCTTGGAAATGTGGCCAGCGTGACCTTCCTGAAAGAGTTTTTTGATAAGATAGATGATCACAATAGAATGTGCTCTAATAGAAAGTGCTTTTGTTTCATCACAAAGCCTTTGTGACGTGGAATGTTCCAGTAACCTGCTCGTTTTGTGTTTACAGAGCTTCTCGAAACAAGTCTGAGAAGAAGCGTCGGGACCAGTTCAATGTTCTCATCAAAGAGCTCAGTTCCATGCTCCCTGGCAACACGCGGAAAATGGACAAAACCACCGTGTTGGAAAAGGTCATCGGATTTTTGCAGAAACACAATGGTAAAGGTCACCCTTCTCTCTGTTTTTTTTCCACCCTGCCCCGTCCATGTGGTGATGACTTCACCAATCTGGGCTGCCTGGTTGGTTTTGTCTCCCCAGCCAGGCCCAGCCTTACCGGTCGAGGGCTTCCCATTGTAAAGACACTCCACCCTCTATCAGCCCGTCTCTGGCTGGGTGGGGAGAGGGCACACACCTCCCAATTGCATTATAAGCCAGACGAGAGAATCCAAAACAACCTCACAGGTAGCACCCAGCCGAAGCAGCGTGGCATTCACAGTGACAACATCTTGATCAAAAATCCCTGGAACAAGTGTCTTTTATTCAATGCTGAACAGATGCAGTGGCTGAATACTCACTTCCTGTGGGATCAGACTATGTGGGCCTTTTCATCCCTCTCTGCCACTGCCCTCGAACTCTTTGGTCTTTTGCGCTACATCATGAAAAAATACATTGAAAAGAATTTATTTTCTTAATGTCACATTCATTCTGTTTTTATTGAGATATAATGTTTATACCATAAAATTCACCATTTTAAAGTGTAGAGTGCAGTGGTCTTCAGTATATTCACAAGGTGGTGTAACCATCACCACTCTCTAATTTCATCATGCCAAAAAAGAAACCCTGTATCCATTAGCCATCATTTCCCATTCTTCCCCCTCCCTCCAGATCCTGGCAACCACGAATCTGTTTTCTGTCTCCATCAATTCCCCTATTCTAGGCATTTTATACAAGTAGAATCATACGGTATGTGGTCTTTTTGTATCTGGCTTCTTTCACGTAGCATCTGTGTTTTAGCATGTGTGAGTACTTCATTCCGTTTCATGGACCAACAATATTCCATTGTATGGATATATTAATATCATATTTTGATTAACCATTCATCAGTTGATGGATATTTGGGTTGTTTACAATTTTTGGAAATTATGAATGATGCTGCTGTGAACATTCATGTACAAATTTTTGAGTTGATATATGTTTTCACTTCTTTTGTTTGTATTCCTAGGAGGGGAATTGCTGCATTAAATGGTAGTGTTTAGCTTTCTGAGGAACTGCCAAACTGTTTTCCAAGGTGGCTTGTACCTATTTATATTCCCAGCAGCAATGTATGAGGGTTCCAATTTCTCCACATCCTTGGCAACACTTATTACTGTCTTCTTTTATTATGACTATTATTAATATAATCTCCCTAGTGGGTATGAAGTGATATCTTATGTGACTTTGATTTGAATTTCCCAATAACTGATCATGTTTTCCTTTTCGTGATCTTTTCATGTACTTATTGGCTATTTGTGTATCTTCTTTGGAGAGATGTCCAAATCCATGGCCCCTTTTTAAATCATTGATTTTTCTTTTTATGCTGGAGTGGTAAGAGTTCTCCATGTATTCTAGATACTAGACCCTTATCTGGTATAGAATTCGAAAATATCTTCCCCCATTCTGTGGATTGTCTTTTTACTTTTCAAGTGATACTCTTTGACACACGAAGGTTTTAAATTTTAATCAGTTAATGTCAAATTTATTTTTTTCTTTTGACTACTTGTGCTTGAGGCATTCTATCTAAGAAATCATTGCCTAATCTAAGGTAATGAAGATTTATATCTATGTTTTCTTCTAAAAGGTTTATAACCTTTTTTCTTTTTTTCTTTCTTTTTTTTTTTTTTTTTGAGACAGTCTTGTTCTGTCACCAAGACTGGAGTGCAGCGGCGTGATCTAGGCTCACTGCAAGCTCCGCCTCCAGGGTTCACACCATTCTCCTGCCTCAGCCTCCTGAGTAGCTGGGACTAGAGGTGCCACCACACCCGGCTAATTTTTTCTATTTTTAGTAGAGAAGGGGTTTCACCATGTTAGCCAGGATAGTCTCAATCTCCTGACCTCGTGATTCACCCGCCCCGGCCTCCCAAAGTGCTGGGATTGCAGGTGTGAGCCACCACGCCCAGCCTAAAAGGTTTATAATTTTAAACTGTAGGTTAAGCATAGATATTTGATCCATTTTGTGTTCGTTTTTGTAGATGTCGTAAGGTGGGCTATGAAAATTCATCCTTTTGCATGTGGATTTCCAGTTATCCTGGCACTCCATTCTTTTTCTAACTTTGTAATACTTTATAAAAGTAACACATACAGAGAATATACAAATCATAACTGTACAGTTGAATTAATTATCACAAAGCAGACACAGCCAGGGAACCAACGACCCAGGTCAAGAAATAGAAGCTCCTTCCTGTCTTCCTCTGCTTTCCCAAAAGAAGGAACCTCTGTGCTGACTTCTAACCCCATAGGTTGCTTTTGCCTGTTGGAACCTTATTCAGATGGAACCATGAATTATACACATGATGTTTATGAGATTCCTCCCATTCTTCCCATGCTATTGCTAGTTCCCTTTCATTAGTGTATAGTATTCCATCACACGATCACCTGCATATGCCACTTGAACTCATCCTTGAGCTCACATCTTTCTCAAATCATTCTCTCTCCCTTTTCCTCTCCTTCAAACACTTTTACCTGTTAGTGTGTGGTCACACCTACCCTGCCAGTCACCCAGGATGTTACAAAAAGTCACAGAATAGTTAAGAGGGCTCAGAACCTATTAGCAAGCAGGAAGAGCAGAATTCTTTTTTCTTTAATCATGACACCAAACATAATAAGTCAGAAATGTCAGAATTAGTGAGGAAATAATTACAGTTCTTCCATGCAGGCAGTGATGTGTCTCTTCCACTGAACATTTTCCTAGACAAGATGATTTCATAAAAGAGGGTGCGGCTGGGACATCAGAAAGTTTCATTATACTTCTTAGTCTTTTATTATTTCTTTGATGATCATATATACCTATTAAAAATGTGACAGTGATGATATATCCTCATATTATTTTTTCCAAAGCTGCCCAGGAGAGAGTAAAGAACATGTTAATTGCTTTTGTTAAAAGTCAGGAAAGACCAATCAAGCAGGATTGGAACGAAGTGTTACAGCAGTATTTGATTGCCCTGATAATTTAATCAAATGGTTATATTTCCTAAATAATGATTTAGCCAAGTGAAATAGCAGGTTGGTTTGATTGCCAAGATATTTTGTGCAAATTACTCAAACTAGGTCATTGCCACCGAGAAGCAGGACAGCTGTTAAATAGGACAGCTGGGATCAAGTTCATCAGCCTGACATTTATGCCGGGCTCTGTCCACTGTGGAATTACAGAATTGTCAAATCTGGGCCCTGGAAAGGATAAGTCAGCAGAAATGCAGCCTCCAAATACCGGGAGAGCCTGCTTCAGCTCGCCTTTTTCATAAGATGAAGGCCTACTCCGCACAACCTGCTTAAACACAATGAGGATCATGCCAGGATCTCACTCATCTCTGTGATTTCATATTCAAAATAAAGCAGAAAATTCATGGTACGTTTTTTGGGGAAGTAGAGTTGTTGGAGCAAAACTTGGATTAAAGCAAAAAACAAAGCAATCACTTTCCTTTACTTGCAGTCCAAATGGACATGAACTCTGCAGGCACCTGCAACAGAGTAGAGAATACTGACCGTAAGCATCTGTTCAGGGCTTGCTATGAGCTGGGCAATATTCTAAGAGCTCTACCTACAGGAACTCCTCTACATAGAGCTCCTCTTCATGGCAGCACTTTCTTTTGGGAGACAGAGTCTTGGTCTGTCACCCAGGCTAGAGTGCAGTGGTGCAATTTCAGCTTACTGCAGCCTCCACCTCCCAGGTTCAAGCGATTCTCCTGCCTTAGCTTCCCAAGTAGCTGGGATTGCAGACACGTGCCACCACACCTGGCTAATTTTTTGTATTTTTAGTGAAGACGGGGTTTTGCCACTTTGGCTAGCCTGGTCTCGAACTCCTGGCCTCAAGTGATCTGCCCACCTTGGCCTCCCAAAGTGCTGGGATCACAGACGTGAGCCACTGCACCCGGCCCATGGCAGCACTTTGAGTTAGTTCCATTGCACAGATGAGACACACAAGGTCAAGTCACTCATCCAAGTCAGACAGCCAGGAAAATGTGGAATCTAAGCCCAGCAGCCTGTCTCCAGAGCCCAACCTTTTAGCACTACACTCAATGGCTGCTCCACAAGGGGTGATCTACAGGGCTTCTTGTGGCTATTTATATCACAGCTGCACTCCAGCTGTTCATGAGTGTGTCCATTTAGACTGCTGGTTCTCAACCTTGTGTGCACATTTGAATCACCTGAAGAGCTTTTGAAAAATACATATTACCAGGTAACCCCCCACAGACCAATATGTCATGATCTCTAGGGGTGGGACCACAATGGGATACCAGCTTGCAAGAGAAGATTGTTCACTTTTCAGGAGTTTTGCAAGCCAGTTGACATCAAGTTGGTAGCTTGAAATCAGCCATGGTAGGCGTATTTACACCACAGAAAGGGGCAAACACTGCAAATCAGGGCTGTTTGTTGTAGAGGGTGGAGAGCCTTTCACCAGCAGATGGCTAGGTAAGGCCCAGGCATCAGCATTTTTAAGGCCCCCAGGTGATTCCGGTGTGCAGTGAGGGTTAAGAACTATGAATTTCAACATGCTTCCTGCCGTCATGCTAAAGGGAGATCACATGATAAGTAAGGAAAGATGATTAGGTCCAAGTAGTTATTATTTAGCTCTTTCCCCAATAATCTTTCAGCATTGCTATTTTCTCAGCTTCGGAAATGAATTTTAATCCTGAACTGTACACTTATTCTCTCTGAAGTAATCCAAATCAAAATGAGAATCTGATCATGATTCTTTGTAGCAAAATTTTGTAACAGTAGCTATTATAAGAGAGAAATCCCTAAAGTCTGTAAATAGCAGGACATATTGGACATCCTTATCTACATCCATCTAGATGTTCTAGTGGGTCAGGCTGGCCTACACATTATCCTCTTCCTGAGTGAGTCTAAATGAAATTTTCTCCTAACATTAAATCCCATTCCTCATTCACACTTCTTTAATGTGTCTGTCTTCATGGATGGAAGATGAGGTGGGGAGAGCTGTAGAACAAGGAGAAATTTCCCTATTGAACAGGGTAATATATACCCAGGACAGCTGTGGAATTTCTGCTCCATTTTCCAGGCTTTTATTTGACCACATACATCCCAAACATATACTGCTTATTATTCAGATATACCAGGAGCAGTCGGGAGTTGAGCACTCTAGGAAATGGGTACAAGTGATATCAGAGTAGAATTTGGGGGGTTGGCTCTTAATCACAATGTTTTCCTACAAAAATGGCTCTCAGGTGGTTTTGTTTCCCTTGAAATTTGGAAACCACTTTTACCATAACACTGAATTTTACTTCCCAGTGTAACATTTTTTCCTCGATTCGAGACATCGTATCTAACATATTTTTTTAATATGCTATGAAATGAACCTTAACTTCCAAGGAGTCTAATTCAGTTGTTGAAATACAAAGTGAATGAGATGGCTGCTTTCAGTGTTATTATGCTAGCGTTAACAAAATACCCAGTCATACAGAATGATCTAAAAATTACTTAAGTTAAAGAAATGGGTATTTCATTTTCCTTCACCATTAAGTTGAATGGATCTCTATTTAAATGAAATTTGGGCTGCCATAAAGACTCTTCTGCTAGAAAAACAGTTAGTCTATAGTTTGATCCTAGTGGTCAAAAGAGTCTCACAGATGAGTGTGCATATTGGGGAGAAGAGGAAAGGCATTTATGGGGTTAAATATTATAGCACATCTTCAGTCCCTCTCTTTTCTAAGTGGTCGAACTGTGGCAACCATCTGTTTGAAGAACTGGGAGTTGCACCCTCTCTTCCTTGCCTCAGCCAGCACCACAGAATGGATTCTGGCCCACGATGTGCATGTAGCACCTGCCTCTGCTTCCCATGCTGCATTCCACCATGTGCATATGAGGCCCGACACTGGACGTTTCCCCACAGCGCGGCCCTCCCTCCAGGGGCCCTCTCAGTGTCGTTGGCTGCCTGACCATCAGCACGGTTTCCTCTCCTGGGTTTCTTCTCCTGGGTTTCTTCCAGTGTTCTATTACCAAAGGCTCATAGCAGCTCTTTTCTGCCCCTTTAAACTCACAAAGACAAAAATCCAATTTTGTATAACAGCAGCAGCAACTCGTTCTTTCTGACATCTCGAAGGAAGGAGTCTTCCTGGTGGAGACGAGCACTGCTGGGAACATTGGGTTTTGGAACAAGTGGAGGTTCACAGGGTGATGCGCATAACTCAGCTCTTTTTTTTTTTTTTTTTTTTTGACATGGAGTCTTGCTCTGTCACCCAGGCTGGAGTGTGGTGGTGCGATCTTGGCTCACTGCAAGCTCTGCCTCCTGGATTTATGCCATTCTCCTGCCTCAGCCTCCTGAGGAGCTGGGACTACAGGAGCCCACCACCACTCCCGGCTAATATTTTGTATTTTTAGTAGAGACGGGGTTTCACCATTAGCCAGGATGGTCTCGATCTCCTGACCTCGTGATCTGCCCATCTCGGCCTCCCAAACTGCTGGGATTACAGGCGTGAGCCACCGCGCCCGGCCATAACTCAGCTCTTTACATCTTTTGTTCATGAGTAGCTGCTGCATTCACTAAGATTCATTCATTCAAATGGCAGAATGCATTCCTCATGCGCCACGTAAGAGAGATTATCAAAAACACAGGCACAAAGGAGAGAGCCTTGAAATCTTTCTCCTGGCTTAAAGTTGATGGATTATCTGCCTGGACCATATGCATTCTCCAGGAAGTTGTTAAACAGGTTAGTTTTATTCTCTGAGCTATGAGTCTTATGTTCTTACATTTTTCCTAGCACCAAGGAAATAATCTCTGAAGAAACCTCTTACTACATGAAATGGAGCAAAATGTTGGCTTAAGATGGAGGATAAACTGAAGGAAAAACAAACATATTTGATATTACATTTGAGCCACCTATAATTATCTTATCAGAAATAATTCAATAATAGAACAAAACATTCTTTAAAAATGCAGAAGAACTAAAATATTTAAGGAGCCCCTTGTAGGCCAATGACTATTTGAATTTACAAATCGGCATAATGTCTTCAGTACAAGGCAGTTCTGTGAAATGGATAAACTATAGATTAACCCCAAAAAGTTTTGAGAAGAGTACATTATGTGTATGTGTATAGCACGCTGTATTTCAGTAATGGAAATGCTGAAAAATATGGTACATTCTGTATAACACAGTGGGTTATTTTCCACACGCCTAAGGTGTTTCTGGAATTTTTAAAATCCCAGGTCTGTGAAGTGTTTTGCTTCACCTGGGCCATGAAGAAGCCACTTATGAAGGTGTCACACCATCCCAGTGTTTGTTCCTATTGCCTTCATAGGTGGTAACTACCTAATTCCAACTGTTGACGATGGAGTTCGTCATGTAGACATTCAGGGCCATGGTACCACCTGCAAGGGCAGGCACCACAGCCATAGAGAAGGTGGGGGATGCACCTCCCTAAAGCCTCATTAAGGGAGATGAGAACATCCGAAGCTCCCAGTCCTTGGAAATCAGGGTAACATATTTCCTTCTGCTGGCTTCTTAAATTAAACTACACAGAAGTTTACACAAAATTACATAGAAGTAACATGTGCTTCATTTGTTAATTCCAATTTCTAGGTGCCATTGAATATAAAGGCTTATTTGTGTCTCTTTTCTAGAAGTCTCAGCGCAAACGGAAATCTGTGACATTCAGCAAGACTGGAAGCCTTCATTCCTCAGTAATGAAGAATTCACCCAGCTGATGTTGGAGGTGAAATGCACTTTCAAAATAGCTTAAACAGTTGCCAGTTAAAATGTAGCTACTTGTTGCAGATAAGTCCCTGTACCCAAAGGAAACTACTGTTCTTGATCCTGGGAAGACTTGACTTTGAAACAGATACCTCCCTGAGGCTCTCTGCCTGCTGTTGCCTATGGGCCATGTCAAGAAGAATCCCAAAATTGAATGTGGTCACGTGTTTTCACTACAGTGACCACAGGATGAGCCCCTTGATGGTGTCACAACCAGAGGACACCTTGCTGGGGAGCCAGGAAGGGTGGGTTCGAGGTAGGTAGAGAGAGGAGAAGGACAGAGGGAAGATGAATCAGCTTGCACTGTCATTTGACTCAGAGAGTCTTCTCTTAGACTGCTATGATTATACATTTTTTCCCTTAGTAGAAACACGTTTTGAAATTAAAAATTGTCTTTTTAAGATATGCTTTGAACTTGAACTCATGTTACATCCACATGGCATACAGATATCAGCCACAGGGATCCCGTGCCTCCCCATCCAGCTCATGTCCTTTCTGTGCTGAGTGAGATGCTCATGTTCCTCCCTCTGGGTCAGAGGCCCCATACTCATCTACAGGGCCGTATTTGTGAAAACCTGGCTGATCTAAATGAGTCCCTTTCCTCAACATCATGTATTTGTATATGGGTGAAACTCCTCAATGCAGATAAGCATAAGCCTCTACAGAAACAACTGCCAACGTGCTGTGGCTTCTCACCTGGAGATAAGTTTTGGAGTATATGGATATGGCAGTGGGTCAGAGAAAGCTCCAGGCATGACATATCCACGCCCGCAACCAAGAGGAGGCAAACTGGGACAGATGAGCTCAGCAAAAGGAAGTTAGACGCTGGCTGTGACCAGTGGTTCCTGGCAGGGTGTTTGGAGAGTGGTTTCTGGGGATAAATCTTTCTATCTCATATCTTATGTGCCTATATAAGACTGATGTAAACTTCAATTTACATAGATTAACTTGCAGAAAACAGAAAGTACTGGAGTAAGAAAATGCCAGAATGAAGATGTCCAAATATTATGAAATGTAAACGCATTAATGAACATTTGCATAAGATGAAAGATACTTAAATCTACATGTGAACTATATTTAAAGAAAATACAGAACTTTCTGCAGAAGCAATGCATTTTTAAGTATGTTAAATTTAAAGCAGCTTGTGAAATGTTGAATTAATGTATCATTATGCTAATTTACATAAATCGATTTATCTTTTAATTCTTATGGAAAAGTAGTTAAAACACATAACCCTATAGCAGCAGCCTTTTTTTAAGAGCCTGTAGCACAACCTTTTTTTTTTTTCCCAGTTAGTTTCAAACTATCAAAAGTATTTGAGGAAATAGGGCTTTTGTAAAGTTAAAAATGAATAAATTTCGGGGCTAGAAGACGGGACTGAGATTCAGGAGACTGGAATTTCTAGACAAGGAAGATTGATATTTGTATAGTCTTTATGCACTTTCCCTTGCTCCCGGTGTAGACTCCTAGAAGCCGGTGGAAAGGAAATCATGCTAGATGAATGAATTGGATCTGAAATTAAGCCTGCACAACCAGCAGGCCTTCTGGGTGAATGGCAGCTGTGAGTGGTCTGGAAAGTCCACCAACTAGTACTGTTGACCCTGACTGTGTCAGGCTTCTCTTCCAACCTGTTGCTCTTCAGTAGACACAGACCTAGTGCTGAGTGACTGGAGCCTTCTAGCATCTCCTCCCTGGTGGCCTGAGCCCCAGCTGTGGTTGGGGGAGATGGGGAGCTCCCACGGTGATGTCACCATTGTCCAGTGCAACCTTCCCATAGCATGGGTCTCTCTCCAGCTGCCCATCTCTCTGTTTTTTTTCAGAGCCATTTCAGAGACTGTGAAGAATCCAGGTGCCATGTCTTAGTGGCCAGGATGTTCCCTTTCTAAAATGAGGACAGAGCCCAGGAGATAACCCATCATGTCCCTAGGGAACTGCTAATGCCCTCCAGATGTGACTCCCGTCTTCTTCCCTCTTCTCTCTAAGAGGCACAAAACCAGACTCCAGGAGGACTCACATAGCTGTGAAGTTTGAAAAAACAAAATTGACCTGGCTGAAAAAACAAAATTGACCTGGCTGCAGACCAGCCAAGCTGGTAAAGTATCAGCTGGCAAAGACTGTGGCTACCAGCATTGGAGCAGTTGCACTCAAAAGGAGCCAAAGTGCCTGTGGCCTGCGGAATAGGGAGCTTGTGGAATTTCTGAATTTTAATCAGAAAAGCAATCTCTTCTCTTAGCCCAGAGGTTGTCCCAAGGAACACAAGAAATGTTCCATCTGATTCAGGAATTTGCAGAAAGGGAAGGTTTCGTTTCCCTCTAATGTGTGGCGGTTAGAAAATTCTGGGCCATTATGGCACCTTTGGAAACACCCCAGTCAAAATCACCATTCCATGGATAGGGGCACAGCACTTTGCAATCACTTGCTGTTGAATCCCTTTCAGATGCTACTGATGGGACTTCCAGAACCACAGCCAGCTTTCTTAAAGCAATGACTCAGTGCAGTTCTCATAGAGTTGATGGAAATGCCAATGAGCTGATGAAAGTTATCTCCCGTCTATAAATACCTTCAGCTTTTTAACACCCGCTTGCTTTAGACATTCAGGAGGGACATGGGCTCACTGTGCAAGACGATTTGCACTGCCCTTGCTTTTCCCAGCTTTCCAATCTGCTTTTTCCAGAAAAGTCTCACTGATGTCATCAACAGTGCCCTTACCCCTTAAAAAAATTCACCTCCTAGAGGGCTTCATAGATGACTTTAAAACATTTTTAGAAAAATACCTGGGAAGGAAAAGTTACTGGGATGTACTTCTTCGTTTACTGTAACTCAAATCTAACCCAGCATTTCTCAATCTTGCACTATGGTCATTTTGGACCTGGTAGTTCTTCGTTGTGGGGACTCTCCTGCATATTACAGGATGTTTGGCAGCACTAGATGCCAAAGTCACCCACTCCAGTGGTGACAATCAAAAATGCCTCCAGACATTACCAAAATTGCCCCCAGTTGAGAACCACTGATGTCATCCAAGAGGACGAGGTCCATTTAAGAAACGTACTTGAATCTGTTTTTCAGTCTAAATCCTACCAGCTGTCGGTGTAAAATAATAAATGAGTCTAGTGTTAATTTTCCTGGTGAAAAGAACTCTTTCCCCTTTCGGCATGGTATAAAGGTGCCCTTCATGCACTGCTCGTGGCCTCTTCCGGGTTCCCGCTGCCATGCACTTCAGCCACACCCTCCTAATGTGAAAGAATGAATTGTCCACACAGATTCTCAGACATCACGTGACCATCTAGTTGAGTGCATGCAACATGTTTCCAGAGCTTTCTAAGCACATATTTCACTTTTTTTCCTAAGCAGAAAAATGTCCAGATTCGGGGAAGATAGTCAAAGAAAAAGTCAGTGAACCGACAGTGACAGGTTTCCAGTAAAAGTCTCCCTGAGCTATTATTCCCTTAAAGACTTGCTTTCTGGAGAGGTAGGCTTCATTTCTAGTCTCCTCCCCCTCACTGGCACACCCTAGACAGCCAGTTGCCACTGTGATCCTATTCTCTGCTGAATTATGTCGTCTTTATTTTAGAAATCAACTATCAGATACATATTGTGAAAGCACTGCAAGCATCCACACAAAAATAAATCCCAATAAACAATCTAAAACCAGCAAAAGTGGCTGGGTGCAGTGGCTCACACCTGTAATCCCAGCACTTTGGGAGGCTGAGGCAGATGGATCACTTGAGGACAGGAGTTCAAGACCAGCCTGGCCAATAATGGTGAAACCCTGTCTCTACTAAAAATACAAAAATTAGCTGGGCCTGGTGGCATGTGCCTGTAATCCCAGCTACTCGGGACACTGAAGCAGGAGAATCGCTTGAACCTGGGAAGCAGAGGTGGCAGTGAGCCGAGATCATGCCACTGCACTCCAGCCTGGGTGACAGTGAGACTCCATCTCAAAAAAAAAAAAAAAAAAAAAACCATGAGCAAAAGTGTCTGCTTTATGAGAAAGCATTGCCCACCTTCAACCTATTATATCACAAGCACCCAGGACAGTGTGCCCAGCATAGAGTAGGCACTCAGTAGAGACTTTCAAATGCATGGATTTTTCAGACATTCTGAAATGCTTACGGATCCAGTTGAGTTACGCAACCCCCACACCCACCCAGCCCTGTAGAGTAATGTGAATGTTCTTTACAAACAGTTCCTTCAGTGGGCATTTCTCTTGTGGCAATGAATGTGAGCAGAGGCCTGCCTTGGCCAACAGGCACACTTTCTGTTTTTAATGCATCTGTTAGGTCTGATACCTTTATCAGGGCAAATGTTTACCATTGAACTCAAAGTGATGGCAGGGGTAGGGAGATGGGAACCATAAACTATGGCTGATGTTTTCTAATGGCAAGGGTGGTATTTCTGAATCAGGCTAATAATATGCTTATCATTAAACCTACTTAGGGAATTTCCATGGCTAAATGTTATTTGATTATGCCACTAGGTCACATTTTTCACTGATCCTGTAGTGCTTTTGCAAACACTTTTCCTGGGCCAGACACATTTTCTGTAAGAAGCTGTCCTCCGTGGAAGGCCAAGAAGTGCCGTGAGGTTATTCATGGAAATATTCTGAGGATTATAAAACAAAGCCAGTGTCCTAAAATAGTGTCCTCTGCATCAGTGACATGCTCCTCCATAAACGCATTGCTAAGGAGCTTTCAAATGTTGCATTTTCCACAGGCATTAGATGGCTTCATTATCGCAGTGACAACAGACGGCAGCATCATCTATGTCTCTGACAGTATCACGCCTCTCCTTGGGCATTTACCGGTGAGTTTCCACTCCAATGGCCTTTACCGGTTCACGTTACCATGTTTCTGTTGAGAATCATTAGATCTCAGATGGAAGGTGGTGCAGGTGTCAGGGGGCTGCAGGTGAGAAGAGGGCGGAGAGTAAAGGACTGCTGAGTTTTGGGGACAGGACCAGGCCGAGGTCAAGGTCCCAGGAGCCTTCCAGGAAAAGGGCAGATGCAGGCGTGTGCCATCCTGGAACAGGCAAGGCCTGGAGTGGGAGCTGTGGCTACAGATTCTTTTTCTGGGTCAGAAATGGGGACTGATGAGAGAGTCACAGCACTGTTAGTGGAGCTCAGAGCCATCATGGAGGCTGACAGACATCCAGGGTCACCTGACAGCTGATCAAGGGAGAGGACAACAGATGGCTTGGGTTGAAACACGGTTTGGGGCTTACTTGGGACATGTCTGAGGTTGCAAGTGGGTAGCAACACTTAGTGGTGGTAAGGGTTTGGCAGCAGGGCCGGTTCCTGGGGGTTGAACTGCTCTGGGAAGACTGATGTCTTGGAAGACCTTGGGGAGTGAGGAGTGTCTGGGTGGACCAGGAGAGGGTCGGCTTTGCATTCCAGAAGTGCACGATGGAAGCTCCAAGGTGGCAGAAGGGGCTGTGGTATGGTCACAGGCCCTGACAGATGTCCCTCCCCACTCTTTCCCTCCGTTCCTTCCCTTCTTATTCCCTCCTCCCTCCCTCCCTCCTTCCCTCCCTCCCCCCTTTCCTCCCTCCCTCCCTCCCTCCTCTCTGCATAAGCCTTGCTGGCTCTCTGGTAACCCCCAACACAGGATGAAGTGACTCATGGGTCTGCACCTGGCTGGTGGAGGACCCACCGTTGAGGCTCCCTCATGGGCATCTGGCCAGGCTTCCATCTCCTGCCACACCATTGCCTGTTCCTGTTCCTAGGCGGCAGCTTCGATCTGCACACAGCATCATTGTGAATGACAGCTGTACCAGGAGCAGCACGTGTGATGGACAAGAAAAAAACGTCCTCTCTCCGCTCTCCTCCCAGTGAGCCCAGCCAAAACCTTCCCCACCACCCCCGACCCCTGCTCATCCATGGATAGGTGGCCAGTTTATGTGATGAAAAGAGGAAGGCTTGCCCTGGATTCACACATAGGAAAGCTTGGGCCAGGATGATGCTGGAGGACCGCGGTTCCCTCTCCTTAGCTGCCCCTGCCCAGGGAACAGCGTGGCCTTGTTCCATGGGCAGCTTCCATCTGCCTTGGGGTGATGAGCCCAGCTCTGCTGATGGCCCAGGGCTCCACATCATCCTGGGTCATACCTTTCCCTGGAAGCCACTCCCTTATCCCACCATTAGTGCAAATGATGCTGTGTGCAGATCGAAGCCGCTGCCTACATTTTTCTTTGCATTCGCTGAGCGGTGGCCCACAAAAGCATTTTTTATGTTGCTAAGCAGATGCCTTCCCAGTAGGCCCTAATCTAACCTAATCTGTCTCCCCTTTGTGTTCCAGCCCATTTCCTAAAACGAGGGTGCATCAGGCTGGTGGTGGGGAGCTGGGGGGCTCTCTCCTCTTGATAGCCATCAGAAGTGGCTCATCCTCACTCGGCCTGAAGGAGGAAGCTGAGGGTGCAGCTGCACCTTGATTTTCATCTCTGGCCAGGAAGCTAGTGATGGGGCTGACACCATGAATACAGAAGTGATCCCCATCATCACCCCAGAGAAGCTGGGCTGATCTGAGGGTGTCTGAGGACAGAAGAGGAGCTGGGGTATTCTTTGGAGGGCGCTTGTGTTTTGTATTGAATGGCAAGGGCTCGGCAGTGGTAGGCACTGACCGAAAGCAACCACACGTGGCCTGCTTATTGACCTGGGAATGAGAGACAGGAGCCAGAACTGTTTGGGTAAACAGGATTTGCACTGTTCTGCTTTATGCTCTTGTAATTATCTGATGACCCAGTTGCTGTACGTGGCAGACGGGACTTAGAAAGTAAGAGGGAAATTCTTCTGACTTGAAATTATGGAGCAATTTAGGACCACTTTCATAAATTATTTTCTAACTCTACAAGGGCCAGAAATGACCCGACTCTAATTTATCAATGCTGGACCCACTTGAATGCAAACTAAGACTCTGTATATATATACCCATGCCCAGACACATACAGTGAGTCAGCCCTCAACTCCCTGGTGCAGGTGAGCCTGGGCCAGGCAGTCCCCAAATTTAACTGCAATTTACTTTCAGCTTTCATTATCCAGTTTTCACCAGGATCTTCCTTTGCAAGTGGGTAGGCAAAGGCTGCTGAGGATGGAAACTTCCCTGGTGCAATCAGCATACAGCTGGTTGGGCAGAGGAGCGGATCTGGGAGTCAGACCTCTATGACTTCCACTATGGGGAGGAAGCCCCAATGGCCCAGGCAGTGAGAGGCACAGTGGGGCTTACCCCAGGGGTAGCTGACTGCAGAACCCAGGCTGGTCACCAGTCTGCTCTGGTGTCTTTCTGGTGCCCAGGATTTGGGTCATAATTTAGGAATTCTGATTTTGGTTTGGTTTACTTAGATGCATACTTAACTATTAAATATCACTCCTTGTGAGCCCAGGTCCTTTCCACAGATGATGCAACATTTCAAAACTTGTGAGGTTGTCTTTCCTTTTGCAATTTTGTTGAGAGATTTTACCCATTAAACCTTGGGTGACTAACACTGAGCACTTACAATGTAGCAGGCACCATTAAGAGTCACTCACATGCGTTAATATGTGTAGGCGCATAGAACCGTGCCTGGCCCAGAGCGAGGCTGTTTTATATTTGCTCTCCTTATCCTTATGGATCCTATGAAGTACATAGTTACCCAGTTCACAGATGATGAAACTGAGGCACAGAGAGATTGAATAATTTACCCAAGGTTCCACAGCCAGACAGTGAAGAGCTGGGATTTGAACTCAGGCACTTTGGCTCCAGAGCTTGGTGCTTAACCACTCCTCAGAATCCTATACGGGACACAGTAAAGCTGAATGTTCTCAGAGTGTGGGGCTCAGAAAGGGAGAATGAGGAGCTGAGAGGTGGTGGTCGCTCCTCGAGGAAGAGGCGGCTCTTGAGGTGGAGGTCGGGACACAGGGTAGTCAGGGGGCAGGAGGCTGTGGGCCCCAGCAGCAACGCCCCTCTTGGTGTCAGGCCAAGCACAGGCTGGCCTGCTGGGGTCCCCTCCCATGCCCCTTGTGTGACTGGGGATTGGAGAGCCATTGTAAGGGGGATGAGAGCAGCCAGAATTCCTTCCCACTTCTCAGGCTGTGGGGCTTCAAGTCTCTCTCTGTTTCCTTCACACTGCCAACATCTCAGATGTAACAGAAGCTCATGTGATAGATTTTCGTACAGCAATTTCTGATGAAATAGCCTAGAACTTTCTTTACCAAATTGGCAGAGAAAAAAGAGAATAAAATAGCTGAAAGTGAAAGTGATTTTAAGATGAGAACTGGCAGGCGCGGTGGCTCACGCCTGTAATCTCTGCACTTTGGGAGACTGAGCTGGGTGGATCACTTGAGGTCAGGAGTCCAAGACTAGCCTAGGTAACTCAGCAACACCCGTCTCTACAAAAAATCCAAAAATTGGTCAGGTGTGGTGGCGCATGCCTGTAGTCTTAGCTACTTGAGAGGCTGAGGTGGGAGAATCGCTTGAGCCTGGGAGGAGGAGGTTGCAGTGAGCCAAGATCACGCCACTGCACCTCAGCCAGGGTGACAGAGTGAGACCTGGCTCAAAAAAAAAATAACAATAATAATGAGAATTGTTCAGCAGTGGCAGCACCAGCACATTTTGGTGTCTAGAATTGACACAGGCAAGGAACATGAGCAAGACAGACGTGCATACAATGGAGGCCAAGGGCTCACGGGAGCCTCTGGAATGAAAACCTTGCGGGAGAGATCCAAGGGGCATGAGTCACGTGCCTTGGACAGAATGGGGAAAGAGTACGGCTGAGGCAGAACCAAATGAGAGACCAAAAGTAGGCATAATCTGTGTTTCCTGTTTGGGCTTTTATTTGATGTTTTGAAAGTTAGCTTCCTGGGTTACTTTCTGATTTGTTCCTAGATGCAGTGTTGCCTAATGAGCTGGATCGTGCTAAGCTCTTAAGGCAGACATCATATCCCCAGCCCTGAACATTTGCCATGTGCCTAAGTGTTCATTGAACGAGGGACTGAATTCATAACTGGGGTTATGAGCAACTGCAAGCAGCTTGGCACGGGTGGGGAGTGCCTTGGATGTGAGAACTATGTGCATGGATAACCCTACCTTCCCCAAAGAAAACAAGGCACAAGTGTTCATAAAACTGGAGAAATCTGCAGGCCAGAAAATACTTCTGTATCATGCTGGCTCGCCAGGTACAAGCCCCAGCGAGAAGAAAATACAAGACCAGAATGGGATATGGAGCCAAGTTCCTGTGGCAGGGGCACAGCAGGAGGAGATCCCAGGAAAGGAAAGCCAAAGCCCCTGGCCTGTGTTAACACAAAACACAGCAGCAAGGCCAAAGCCATGAGACACCTTTTCAGGAAGCATCCCTCTGCCCTTCCCACCCCACCCTGCCCTCACCTGCTGGAAGCTCCCATCTGATTGATCCACATCATTTTGTCAGAGGTGTCCCTGGGTCGGAGCAGAGCCCTGACAGGTGCAGCTGCAGCTTAGAGTTGATCATGGATTAAAAGATTCCAGGCCTCTAGTTAGATTTTTTTTATGCCTTTTGATTTTTATATACCATAAATACAGATGTGTGTATAAAACATATGTTCAGTATTAAATTGACCAAGTGAACATACATGCAGCTGTCACTGAGGTGAGCAAATAGAACATGGCTGGGACCACAGAAGCTCCTGTCTGCCCCTTTTTCGTCACACGTCCACCTTCCACTTGGAGGCAACCATTTTCCTGACTTTTAAGGTCATTGTTTGCTTGTTTTCCTTTGTAGTTTCACCAACTTTGACTTCACTGCTAAACTCTTTAGTATCGCCTTTTGTTTCACCGTGTATAAATGGAATCATTGAAAATGGACTCTTGTGACTTCTCCTTTTGCTCAACATCGTTTGTGCTTCGCATCTGCCTCACACTGGCAGATGTAGCTGCTGTGGGCTCTTCTTATTGCTGGGTGTGTTCCATCGTAGGAATGTGCTGCAATTCCTGCATTCATCCCAGTTAGGGATTCTTGGAAGGTGCTTCCATGAACATCCTGTAGTGTTTCCTGATGAACGTTTGCAAGCATCCCTGGAGGACTGACTAGATGTAGAATGGCTGGGTTGAGGGAAGTTCTGCCTCCACCTTTACTAAGTAACACCAGAATGATGCCATAGTGGTGGCACCAGTCTGCCCTGCACCAGCAAGGTGGAGACGTCGCAGTGCTGTGGCATCAGAACTTGGCATTGTCAGACTTCTTGTTTTTGTCAGTCTGGTACATGAAGGTGTCTCATGGAGTTGTACTTTGCTTTTCTCTCGATTACCAATGAGATTGAGTGTCTCTTTATATGTTTGTCAACCATTTAGATTTCATCTTTTCCGAATTACTTGCTCAGGTATTTGGACATCCTCTTTGATTGGGTTTTTTCTTGCAATTATGAGTAGGCTTTCTTTCCGCGATCTGGACACAAGTTGTGGGCAGGTATTGTTTTAATTACCTCTCATTCATCCCACCCTAGGGTAATGCGGATGTCTGAAGACTCCACAGCTGACACTGGATGAGGCCAACAGCAGTTAATTAGTCACAGATACTCACAGCCCAGATGAGGACCACACAGGGCCACAGGGGGCTGCACGTGGGAAAAGAGTGAACCAGCAGGGGCTATGGGAAGCAGGCTGTGCAGTAAGAAGAGGGTGAGGTGACCCCTGGTCCCCACAGGAGGACATGATTGACATGTTTGAATAATTCCACAACCTGCTACTCAGGGATGAGCAGAAACTGTACCTGTCCCCATGATAAGAGATGGGGGCTTGGCTGGGGGACCTCATCCATGGGTCTGTGTGGGGAGGGAACCTGCAGTTAGGCCATTTGAGGCCCTTCCAATTTTACCAGATGCCAAGGCAGCATATAATTTAGAACCTTAATTTTGGGCCATACCACAGACGTATGTGTTGCAAATACCCTCTCTCACTTTGTGGCTTACCTTTCCCCCTTTTTTAGGGCATTTTGATGAACAGAGATTCTTTCTGTATAATTGGTACCTTTTATATCTCAATTAATTCTTACTATTACAAAGTCAAAGCCATTCTCTACACTACCTTCTGAAAGCTTAACCATATGGCCGTTAGTTTGACTTTGAATCTAAACTGAATCTAAGTGGATCAAATATGCCTCCAACTTCCTGGACCTTTAGGGAGACCAAGGCCCCAGTGACTTCTCTTAAGCCGTTCTTTTCTCAAGGTGAAGTTTCTCCAGGGCTGCTCACCATTGCCTCTTCTCACTGCAGCCAGCACAGATCTCAAGCCAAAACTGCCAGAGCGCCTCAGGGACACTCTGGGAGGAAGTGTCCATCCAGCCTACTTCCAGCTCAGCCTCAGTGTGCTTTTAGTACAGGCTCATTTAACATAGCTGGGTGTCCCTGCACTGGTGCTGCTGGTTCAAGGCCCGTCAGGCAATTAGGAGAGAGGACTGCCCACCTCCACAGGCAGGTGACCTTCCCGATCGTGGGACTCGGCTGTAAAGACGGCTGTGGATGGCACATTCCCTCCCTTGTCTCCATAATTGCTATTATTTTAATAAACAGAACTCAGCTCATTCAAGGGACCGTTCAACTGCCGATGTAATTTTCTCACCTGTAAGCACTAGGGTTAAAAATTTCAAGTTATCATTGTTTGTGTTGGTTTTCAGCATGTGGAAGTAGCATAATAGCAATGTACTAGCAAATACATGCAAGAGCCAAGCACAGTCTGGGGCCCTTTCTGTGTGTTAATTCACCATCCTCGCAACCTCCCACATATCATACCTGCCCCTACTTGCATCCAGCGTTCGTCTTTATTCTGTGCAGAACCCGTGTCCTGATATTGGCCCTCGGACCTGTATCAGTAAAGTTCTCTCACACAGGTGACCCGGCCAGGCAGCCACTCAGCCTTGCTCTCTGCCACACCCACCGTCAGGGGAAGTGGCTTCAGATGGAGCCCTCCAAGAAGAGGCCATGGAGTCACTTAGTTTTCATTTTCAAGTATTTGAAATATCTTTATGAAGAAAGACTACTGTCATCTGTGAACATGAGTCATCTTCTAAAAAAACTAGAGAGAATGGGCTTAAAATAAAACCAGGAACATCCGAAGAAACTTGGAGAAAGCCAGAATGAGAAATGGTAGCATAGACGAGAGAGGATCCTGGTAGAGTTTCGTCCATAAAGATAAAGACCGGTGCGTCCGAGCCAGAGCCTGGAAGCCATGCTGAGTCCTTCCTTTCCCTCCTCCTGTCCTCCGATCAGCCACCAAGCTGTGTCCACTGTCCTCACACCCACCGGAACACTGACTGCAGGCAGGGAGGGGCTCTGCCTGCTTCCCAACGTGTCTTCCCCATGCCCAACAGCGGCTGGCACATGGCGGCCCTCAGCAAGTATTGTTTGGACTACGATATTGATGAGTTGCCTGGGACTCTGTCTGCTCCTCTCCACTCCTTCCCCTGTCTCTCTTGGGACCCTGGCCATTGCCAGCCTGACTTCCAGTGCTCTCTCCTTCCAGACTACAAGCAGGATCTCTTTAAAATGCACGAGCAGTTCTGCCACCCCCTTCCTTCAGGTTCTTCGTGGCTCCTCCTGGCACAGGGTCGAGCCCTGACTCCTCCGAGGCCTCTCTCATCTGGGCCCTGCTTCCCTGTGCAACCTCCTCTGTCATGGCTTCTCGCCCTCCCTGTTGTTCCCACCTTCCTGCAGTGCTGTCAGGGTACCCACCTTATGCCTCTGTGCATGCTGAGCCCCCTGGCTGGAGCACCTTCCCACCCTGTCTGGCAGACACTGTCTTGTCCCCTGGCTCCCACTCAAGGATTCCTCCCTCTGGAAATTGTTCCCCAGGAGTCTCCTCTACCCTTTCATTGTGGAGGCAGCACACCATCCACAGTGTTCTCCGGGCACCTTGTTTTAATGCCTGTCATAGTGCTGGCCACGCCATTCTTTCAGCTGGTCAGTTCAGTCACCATCCTGGACATCAGGGATGTGGTGGTGAACAAGGCACTGGGCCCTGCTCTCCTGAAGCTCCTGTTGGAGAGAGGGAGGCGGAATGCTCAACTCAGCACATAGCTGTACAGGAAAACGTTACTGTGGTGCAGGTGCCCTTGTAGTCATTCTGTAACTGGTCATTCAGTGCCTAATCGCACTTGGCATTTATTGAATGTCTGCCACGTGCTGTTTTATCAGCAGTGGAGGCAGGTGAGCTCATGGAACCTTCATGGTTTCCTCACCTTGCAGCTGAGGAAAATGCAGCATGGAGGGGTAGAACCTGCTTTCAAGCCTGGGCTCTGAGCTCTCACGCCTTGCCATGTCACCTGATGTCCCATCAAGGGGGTCATTGTCCCCTCAGAGCCCCTTAAATCATCAGTGGGGGTGGAGGGTGTCACCTGGGGCTTTCTCAGAGGAAGTGACTTCAAAGCAGGGACCTGAAGGTTGCACAGGGCTTCGTTAAACACAAGGGGAGGGTGCAGCATGTTCCTGCCTGAGGGAACAGCCCAGGTGAGGCTCGGGGAGAACAGAAGGCAAACTGGAGGAAAAAAGGCTCGGAAGGATTAGAGAAGTGCTGGGAGCTGGGAGAGGCAGAGGCTGAGCTGTGAAGAGCTGTGAAATTGTGTTGAGCAGTTGAGGCTTTGTTCCTGGAGCAGTCGGAAGCCAAGGGACAGTTGTGACTTGATCTGTTATGAGGCTCCTCTGACTGCTGATGGAGAACAAATTGCACAGGCACTAAAGTGGATGTGGGAAGACCAGTTTGGCCAAATCATTCCCAGGCAAGAGAGGATGGGGGTCTGGACTAGGGTGGAAGCTGGAGAAATAGAAGTGAATGGAGCAGAGAATTTGAGGGAGAAAAATGGGCAGTACTATGGACACTGTTTGGTTTGAGGGTAAGGACGAGAAGGAGAGAAGACAAAGGCGCCACCAGAGGGTCTGGGACAGGCAGATGACCAACTGATGATACTGTTGATGGAGATGCAAACACAAGGGTTGGAGATGATATGGGTGGGAAAGAATGCCGATGTTCAGGACATGTATTCATCTGTGGTCCCCAGGGAGCATCTGAGTGGCAGTTGGAAGGCTGAGGCTGGAACATGAGAGAGTTGGCTGGATATTCAAACCTGAAAGTGTATACAGATTGTGTTTGAAGCTGTGAGAGTGGATGGGTTTATTGAGGGAAACTGAGGAAGAGAGAGGTGCCTGTCTCCTCGGTCCACTGTGAGCTCCTACCTGCATATCCAATATGGTAGCCACTAGCTACATGTGGCTGTTTAAATTTCAATTCAAATTAAATGGGCCAGGCTTGATGGCTCATGCCTGTAATCCCAGCACTTTGGGAGGCCGGGGTGGGCGGATCACCTGAGGTCAGGAGTTCAAGACCAGCCTGGCCAACACGGTGAAACCCGTCTCTACTAAAAATACAAAAAATTAGCCGGCCATGGTGGCAAACACCTGTAGTTTCAGCTACTTGGGAGGCTGAGGCAGGAGAATCGCTTGAACCTGGAAGGTGGAGGCTGGCAGTGAGCCGAGATCACACCATTGCACTCCAGCCTGGGCAACAAGAGCAACACTCTGTCTCAAAAAAAAAAAAACAAATTAAAATTCAGTTCCTTGTTCACACTAGCCACGTTTCAAGTGCTCAGTAACCATGTGGCTAGTGGCTCCTGTTACGGGCAGCACAGATTACAGACCATTTCCATCATCACAGACAGTTCTATTGGACAGCACTCAATCTGAACTCTACCTTGTATTTATTTTGTAACCACAGTGCCAAGGCACTCAGAAGAAAACGTGCAGTTCCATAACTTAAAGACCTTTACGAAGTAGACTGGCAGCCCTTTGCTGCCCTAAGGGTCAGGAAAGGAACCCTGTGGGCTCTTTGGAGCCATTTAAATCAATGATTGGCCTCGCACTGGGCGTGCACAGGGGCCATGCTACCCCAGCCAAAACGCAGGAGTGTCAGCAAACAGCACTTCTCAAGCAACAGGAGGACTCAGTCCTTCCTACATTTGTCTGACTTCACTCTTAGTTCCCTCCTTGGCCCACAGACAACAGCACATATGCATTTGAACAAATACAGCCCTTTAGGTTACTATTTAAAACAATGGAGTGATAAACTGAGAGTGTCCACAGAAAATCAGATATTGAACTTTCCATTTCAGAAACCAGTTCTGCGTTGTTGTGAATGTTCAATTTTTGTTTTTGCTTCTGTTTTTCATCTTCGTTGAGGGTGTACCTTTGTCCTTTATTTTCTTTTTCAGTCGGATGTCATGGATCAGAATTTGTTAAATTTCCTCCCAGAACAAGAACATTCAGAAGTTTATAAAATCCTTTCTTCCCATATGCTTGTGACGGATTCCCCCTCCCCAGAATACTTAAAATGTAAGTTTAATTTTTCTGGTTTTACAAGCTAGAAAGATAAGAATTTTGCTTTTGAAAGGAGGTTAGAATGAATTAAGAAGGGAGAACTAATTTTAAGAATAATTTTCCTCATGACTCAGAACATTTCCAAGATCCTTAGAGGTATATTTTAGGTTTAAAGCTAAAACTGGAATTTGGAATATGTAAGACATTTGGCTTTTATGTGGAAAATTTGAAAGCAGAGAACTCAAGAATAATAATTTATTTTGTGTATATGATAAGATTTCTCTTTTTTTTTGCATGAGAGTCTTTTAGTAAGAAACAGTGCAAACATCAGTGAACAATCAGCTCATCATGGAGGATACTAAGATACTAAATTCATATAATATCAAGAAACCAACTGAAAACGGAATAATTAGGTCAAAAATCCAAATTCTGTCCTCCTGAGGCTCTCACCTGGTTATTTATATACATTTTTGTGTTCTGTGGAATTCAGACGTTTTTATCAAAATATTTGGCAACCTAGGTAGAAGGCTAACCTTGATGCCTCGTGAACCACGGGTCACTTAATGAAGCATACACAATTGCATGAGGTAGCAAAGCTGCTTGCATCAGTGCAAGCCTGTGTCCATTTTCCATGAATAATCTGTCCTGTCGTACATCTGATTTTACTTCAAAGCAAAGCAAAAAGATTAAATTAAAGGGAGCAGCTCTATATGAGCCGCTTTATTTTAACATACCATATGAAAACAGCCGGAACTAATCAATGCCAACATTACCAACCACAGACATCTGGGAGCAAATTAAGACTAATTGGGTCCATGTATGGAATGCAAAATATCTATGAACTATGGAAGGAAACCCCTGTGCAGCAAGGTTACAAACCAGGCCCAAAAGTCAGTCGTAGTGAGAGAACTAGCCTGGCCATGTGTAGACTAAATCCCATAAGAGTTTTCACAGAGACGCTACTTGTTTAGAGTCTGTGCAATGCTCACGACCCCTTTCTCTCCTCTTCTTCCTTTAACGGCCCAGCTGACAGCGATTTAGAGTTTTATTGCCATCTTCTCAGAGGCAGCTTGAACCCAAAGGAATTTCCAACTTATGAATACATAAAATTTGTAGGAAATTTTCGCTCTTACAACAATGGTAAGCTTTAATTGTCATATAATTGTGACAGTGTCTTTTCTCATGCAAACGTGCACATGGGGGCATTAAGAATCGCCCAGGGAGGAGGAGGGAGAACGCGTGCTTTTCACATTTGCATTTGAATTTTCGAGTTCCCAGGATGTGTTTTTGTGCTCATCGATGTTCTCTCCCATTCAAGAGGAACACACTCCCACACCTGTTTGTGCCAGTGCACACAGTCCCACTGAAACACACATTATTCATTTATTTATCTTCGGGCTGATGAAATAATTCTGTACTGTGAGAAACAACATACAGGGAATAAAGAACAGGCTCTGCCAAACAGGCCTTCGTGGTGACTTGATGATCCATAACCTTGCCTTCCACACTGTTTCCCTCCCGCTGCAGTACTGTCATGAGCGTATTTTAGTAGACCTGGTCCGTAGGTCTTCTGCTCACTGTGGCCCTCATGCACAGCAAAGGGGTCATTTTACAATGAGCCAGGAATCTGCATTGGATGAATTATCAAGCAGGATAAGCCAAGTAGCAAAGTCTTATTTTCTGAAAGTACCCGGTTACCTGATTAACCAAACTCTGGCTACAGAGACAACAACTCTGAACGAGACTAAAACACTTATTTTTACTTTTGAACCATGCAAAATGGAAATGCAGGCCTGAGGCCAGGAATTCAGAAACCAAGTCCTAAGCCAACTTGGTTATGGGCTGAGCTCAGCATGGCCTGCATTTTGTTTTCTGGGCTCCTCCAAACTCAACACAAAACAAATAACTTTGAAACAGCTAACATTTCATAAAGCAGCAAAGATGGAAAAAAAATAAAATAAAGCATTGACAGGGAATGGGGGAAAAAAGAGGAAATGAGAAAAATACCAAAGGAAACAAAAACAGAAAGATGAGCTGCAGAAATGAGGGGGAGATGCAGAGAGCAGATGATGACAGCATTAACTTCTGCTGCGTTCTTGACCACTGTTTCACTCTGGACGTGGTGGGTCTATTCCTTCAGTCAAATTTGTCCCAGGGTTTCTATTAGAAACAGCCAAAGTAATGGCACCAAGTCCTCACATCTAACCAGGATTTTTCCTTCTACCTCAGATGGTCCTTTGTTGTATGTTATTTGCATAAATATACATGCTTTGTTTAAAAGGCTCCAACTAGATGCTAAACCTTTAGTGTGATCCTGCCAGCATGATTTTCAGGTCCAGGGTGCAGGGCTTATGCCTGGATGGTGGGCTCCTTGGCTGACTGGGAGGCCTTTCTGGGAACAGACCCATCCAGGGCTTAAGATGGTCGGAAGTGGTGGGAAGTCCATCGTCCCAGGTGGGCCCCTACATCTGGGCAAAGTCAGATGAGGCCAAGGCCTAACCATGCCTCATCCTACTCATCTGAAAGGCTTGTCTAAACTTCATGAAATGAATGTTTAATGAACCACACAAAGAAGTAAATGGAAGCTCTCGTTGGGCTACTCAGTTAAAGAAACTGACCTAAGAGGCACCTTGTAGAGAACCCAGCATCGTACTAACCCTAGCGCAGTGGTTCTTTGGGTGAGGCAACTTATTAAAATGCAGACTCTCAGCCTTTGCCCTAAAGAGTCTAGCTCAGGAGATGGGAGGGTAGGACCCAGGAATGTGCCGTTGGGGAGTACTGTGGGGTTCTGGTTCCAGGGGCTGTGGACTTTGAAAAGCACTGTCCTAGTGTGATACCAGTGCCATTCTGTGGAGAATGCAATGGCCTTCCTCCCAGACAACTTTATCATTGAGTTAATGTAAACAGTGATTTGGAATTTGCTTTACGTGTGCACTGGTTCCTCAAAAGATTAAACATAGAACTAGCATATGATCCAGCAATTCTACTTATGGGTATGCACGCAAAAGAAGGGAAGACAGGAACTTGAGAGATATTTGCACACCTGTGTTCATAGCAGCATTATTCACAATAGCCAAAAGGTGGAAGCAACCCACGTGTCCATCAGTGGATGAATGGATAAAGAAAGTGTGATATATACATGCACTGGAATATTATTCGGCCTTAAAAAGAAAGGAAATTCTGACATTCTACAACATGGAAGAACTTTGATGACATTATGCTGAGTGAAATAAGCCAACAGCAAAGGACAAATATTGTATGATTTTACTTACATGAGGTACCATAGCCAAATTCATAGAAACAGAAAGTAGAATGGTGAGTGCCAGGGGCTGGAGGGAGGGGGAAATGGGAGTTGCTAAATGGGGACAGAGTTTCAGTTTTGCAGGATGAAAGGAGTCCTTGAGGTGGATGGTGGGATGGTTGCACAGCAGTGTGAATATACTCAGCCCTACTGAACTGTGCACTTCAAAACGGTTACGATGGCAAACTTTGTTATATGTGTTTTACCACAATTTTTAAAAAATGATGGCCAGGCGCGGTGGCTCACACCTGTAATCCCAGCACTTTGGGAGGCCGAGGCGGGCGGATCACGAGGTCAGGAGATCGAGACCATCCTGGCTAACATGGTGAAACCCCATCTCTACTAAAAATACAAAAAATTAGCTGGGCGTGGTGGTGGCGGGCGCCTGTAGTCCCAGCTACTAGGGAGGCTGAGGCAGAAGAATGGCGTGAACCCGGGAGGCTGAGCTTGCAGTGAGCCGAGATCGTGCCACTGCACTCCAGCCTGGGCGACAGAGCAAGACTCTGTCTCAAAAAAAAAAAAAAAAAAAAGATGTGCTTTGGCCATAATGGCAGCTACTGTGATAGCAACATACCCCAGTGGCCTCGTGCACAGAGGGCAAAGGGCAAAGGCACCCTGGCCCTCAGGGCACCAAGACTGTGGGAATCATAGGATGCTGCTCCCTCTTGCCCCATGACAACAGTGCACACACTTCGGGCAGATCACCTGAGGTCGGGAATTTGAGACCAGCCTGACCAACATGGAGAAACCCCGTCTCTACTAAAAATACAAAATTAGCCGGGCATGATGGCGGGTGCCTGTAATCCCAGCTACTCGGGAGGCTGAGGCAGGAGAATTACTTGAACCTGGGAGGCGGAAGTTGCAGTAAGCCAAGATTGCACCATTTGCACTCTGCCTGGGCAACAAGAGCAAAACTCTGTCTCAAAAAAAAAACAAAAAAACAACAACAAAAAACTAGCCTGTGATTGGCTGGCGAACAGCAGTTGTATCCTTTGTGAATTTACATTTCCATGATCTCATTAAGATGCTGCTGAATATCCCTTTGAAGCATCCTGTCATTTACCACATCTTGGAGGATTTCAAGGAAATAGGCAGGCTTCATTCTGAATACCTGGGACTTTTTTTTTTTTTAACTAGCAGGGCTCTACTTTCACTATGGGTTGAGATAGTGTTTGTTTGCCTGAAAGAATGTGTGGAAATTATGTGTGAGGTTTTTTTTTTTTTTTTGGAAACTATTACTGCTGTAAACACGCAGCACTGAATGTGGCAAATTTAAAAGAAAGAGTGCGGAGTGTCTTTTCAGAGTCTGTTCTACAAACCAGCATTGAAGAGGCTTTCTTGAGACAAGAGTTCCCCATGTAACTGTGGAGTACGTGAAATATCATTCTAACTGGGATTAAAATAGCAAAAATTGTCAGAGACAAATGAATTTCTCAGGTTAAACCCTATAAAGGCCAGATGCAGTGGCTCACACCTGTAATCCCAGCCCTTTGGGAGGCCAAGGCAGGAGATCACCTGAGGTCAGGAGTTTGAAACCAGCCTGGCCAACATGGCGAAACCCCATCTCTACTAAAAATACAAGAATTAGCCGAGTGTGGTGGCATTAGCCTGTAATCCCAGCTATCAGGAGGGTGAGGCAGGAGAATGGCTTGAACCCGGGAGGCGGAGGTTACAGTGAGTCGAGATCACGCCACAGTACTCCAGCCTGGGTGACAGAGTGAAACTCCATCTCATAAAAAAAAAAAAAAACAAAAAAAACACCCTATAAAATTGCCAACATTTAACCACCGTGACCTATGAGATATGCTTTAATATAAGAACTCAAATTTGACTTCATAGGTTTACTTCTGAATAAACATTGAACAATGAGGTAACAAAAAAAGCTCACCCTAGGAGTGCTTTCTAAGCACCCGGCCCAGAGTTCAGGCTTTGCATTGATCGTGTAATCCTCGCCACAGCCTTTTGAGGTGGTTTATGGCATCATCCCATCTTCACAGAGGAGGAAATGGACACGTAGAAGGGTTGCATCTATGATGTGTGAGTGGGAAGTCAGGGGCCCACATTCACAGCCAGACCCTCTAACCCGGAGCCCACACTCTTCACCCCAGTGCCTGCTGCCTTTCACACATCTGTGTCGGAATGAAACAGACACAGGCCCGCTCCGGCCTCCTGGCATTCTGCTGATCCATGATGCCTACAATGCCTGTGCATGTCAGATGCCCTGCACCCACATGCCAGGCTGTGTGAAGGGCACCCAAGATGTGTTTTAATCAAACACAAAGACACACAGTCATGGAAATGACTGTCATGAAGGGAAAGGTTCATGCTCTCGGGTCCCTGGGAACAGGAGGCACACATGGCCCACCATGCAGGGCCACACAGAGAAGCACCGGGGTTGGTCAGGAGGCCGAGGGAACCTTTATTGTCGATTCCAAGAGAAAGAATGGGTGAGAGAGAGTAGTATGAATAAGTGTAGTGGGATCTGGGAGGGAGGAGCTGTCCCTAATTATCTGGTGTCTGCCCGGGGATTGGTTAAGTCAGGGGACAGGGACCAGGACATGAGAGCCTGAAGGACCTGGTTGGGGTGTGAGCTTTAGGTGCGTTGCTTTGCATACGAAAGGTACCTGGAAGGTGAGTTGTTTGTCCTCTCTAGGAATTGGCTAACCCTGGGAGAGGCAGTCCCTCCAGCACCAGCAAGGCCCCAGATGTCAAAGCATCAAAAACAGAAACCAGAAAATGTGGGCCAGGCACGGTGGCTCACACCTGTAATCTCAGCAATTTGGGAGGCAGAGGCGGGCAGATTGCCTGAGGTCAGGAGTTTGAGACCAGCCTGGCCAACATGGCAAAACTGTGTCTCTACTAATAATACAAAAATTAGCTGGGTGTGTTGGCACATGCCTGTAATCCCAGCTACTTGGGAGGCTGAGGCATATGAATTGCTTGAGTCTGGGAGGCGGAGGTTGCAGTGAGTGGAGATTGTGCCACTGCACTCCAACCTGGGTGACATAGTAAAACTGTGTCTCAAAAAAAAAAAAAAAAGAAAAAAAAGAAAAGAAAAAAGAAACTAGAAAACATAGCTATTACACAAGCCTCCCCATACAACTTCTCCAACTCCAAGTTCCCAGGTGTGGTGACAGTTGAAAAAATAAGATGTAATATTAATAATAATAATAGGTAATATGTGTAGAAGAAAAATGACCACTAACATCATTTTTTTGTTTTTTTTGTTTTTTTTGTTTTTTTTTGGTTTTTTTGAGACGGAGTCTCGCTCTGTCACCCAGGTTGGAGTGTAGTGGCGTGATCTCGGCTCACTGGAACCTCTGCCTCCAGGGTTCAAGCGATTCTCCTGCCTCGGCATCCCAAGTAGCTGGTATCACAGGCATGTGCCGCGATGCCTGGCTAATTTTTGTATTTTTAGTAGAGATGGGGTTTCGTCATGTTTGCCAGGGTGGTCTCAAACTCCTGACCTCAGGTGACCCCACCTTGGCCTATCTGCTGTATTTTTATAGGACACTTGCTCATACCTTGATGAACTATTTAGGAAACCCACCTTGGTCCATTACTGTGAAAAGTCTTAGTGTTTCTGCTGGGCAGTTTAGTTAGTGGAGTGTTACATGGTACATTCTTATTTGATGCCTGTCCTTTTTATATATATGTATAAATAATGGAATGGGAAGGACAGCGACCCTTACTGTACCCGCTTCCTGGGCCTAGCATGGTCCTTACCCAGCACATAAATAAGCAGCGGATAAAAATAGGTTGACCTAAAGTGAGGCTTGATCTTGGCCCCGGGACACAGCTGGTGGAGGGCAGAGCAGGGTTCAGACCAGACTTGAGGCTTAGAGAGCTTCCCTAGGAGCTAACAGAGCTCTCTCCTAGACCAGCTCCACAATACACTCTGGGGATAGAGTGCACTTATATGCAGAAGAGCTGCAGTCACTTCTTTGGCCTTAAATCCAAAGTGGAGATTGAACACAGGTGGGTACGCACTGGGTAAACTGGATTGTGTCACTCCTGGTGCCTTGTGATTTGTCCACACTGAGGGCCTCTGAAGCAGCAGTGAGTGGCTGGGGAAGTTCGTCTGTGGGCTCTGTGCACTCCCCACCCACTCTGTGCCTCCCACCACATCAAGCCGCCTCCTCACTTCAGCTGCTTGGGTGTTTGGAGGCCAGTAGCCCCCTTACCTGATGTCCCTACTCAGGACTCCCCGCCCCATGCTCCTGACACCCTCTCTCTCTTTTGAAAATATTTTCAGTTTTTTGTTTGTTTGTTTGTTTTTTTGAGACAGGATCTCACTCTGTCACACAGACTGGAGTGCAGTAGCACCATCATGGTTCGCTGTAGCCACCACCTCCTGGGCTCAAGAGATCCTCCCACCTCAGCCTCCCGGGTAGCTGGGACTACAGGCGCATGCTATAACAACCTGGCTAATTCTTTTATGTTTTGTAGAGATGAGGTCTCACTGTGTTTTTCAGGCTGGTCTGAAACTTCTGAGCCTAAGCAATCCTCCCGCCTTGGCCTCCCAAAGTGCTGGGATTACAGGCACAAGCCACGCACCCGGCTTAACTTTTATTTCAGATTCAGGGGGTACATGTGCAGGTCTGTCACATGGGAACCCTGCCTGACGCTGAGGTTTGCAGTACCAATAATCCTGTCACCCAAGCAGTGAGCACAGCACCTGACAGGCAGCCAGCCCCTCAGCCTTCACCCCCTCCTTCCTTCCTCCCTCCAGCCTCCAGCAGCCCCCGGTGTCCACTGCTCCCATCTTTATGTCCATGTGTACTCAATATTTAGCTCCCACTTACCAGTGAGTGCATGTGGTATTTTGTTTTCTGTTGCTGTGTTAATTCACTTAGGATAATGGCCTCTAGCTGTATCCATGTTGCCGCAAAGGACATGTTTTCATTCTTTTCATAGCTGTATAGTATTCCACGGCTAACGCGCTCTCTTCTTGCTCCTCTGATCAACTGAGTTGGTCCAAGACTGAGAGAGTCCCTGGGCCACCACTCAAAAATCACATCAACAGGAAGCCTCAGGCCCCAAACCAAAGAGAGATGTGTAGGTTCCAGGGCAGAGGAGAAAGGGTGAGGCTGAGCTGGAGAGGGCTCTGTGTGAGCCTTGAAGCACACAGACGAGGATCCCATCTTGTTGTCTGCTCGCCCACATGGCTACCCGGGATTTGTCAGGCTCTGTACACAATGTGATGGGGCTGAGTTCGTAGGAATTTGAGGGGAAGGGAGGAACAAAGCCCCTTTGCTCTGGTGAACTAGGTGACGTTACACTCTCCAACTGGACATGTCCAGGTTCCCCAGTGGAGGATGCCCCCCTCTCCTCTGCCCCCATTCACTTTGGCAGTGTGAACACACCAGCCATTGCTCAGGTCCTTCAGCCAAGTGGAATTTTCCCCTACTTCAATGTTTGCACATTTTGGTCACTCCTTAGGGCTTCATCATTTGCCACAGATGTTCTGGGGGCAGGGGAGGGAAGACAGGACTTCACATCTTTAACCTAGATTTTTAATAAATGTGAAGAAATATGTGTCAGGAAATGGGACAAGAAAGTAGTCTTTTTTAGAAGAGTTTCACTTGAGGACAGTTTCTAACCCAGTCTGTGCAAAGCCTCTTGGAGGGCTCTGAGCTGGGATATGTAACCCCGTGTCCTATTCTCTTCCCCTGAAAAGCCCACGCTGGACCTGGCCAGCCAGCAGCACTGGCATGGACCACTGGTAGGAGCAGCCCTTTTCTTCCTCTAATCAACTGTTTCCAGAATAGAGCTTAACAAGATGATTTTATTTAGGGCTATGTTTGCTTGTAACAGATACTTTAAACAACAACAACAAAAGAGAGATGCTTTCAGACAAATACACAATTCCATCTCTTGCTTCTCCAGCGAAATAGTGCCTCCTTTCTCAAACCCCAGGTGCCCAAGTCCTGTAGCCCCACCTGACCACTCTTAGTGGAAAGAAACTGGCCGGGTGATTTTCAAAGGCATGGGGAAAGGTCCTGCCGGGCGCGGTGGCTCGCGCCTGTAATCCCAGCACTTTGGGAGGCCGAGGCGGGCGGATCACGATGTCAGGAGATCGAGACCATCCTGGCTAACACAGTGAAACCCCGTCTCTGCTAAAAATACAGAAAAAATTAGCCGGGCGCGATGGCAGGTGCCTGTAGTCCCAGCTACTCGGGAGACTGAGGCAGGAGAATGGCGTGAACCCGGGAGGCGGAGCTTGCCGTGAGCTGAGATCGCGCCACTGCACTCCAGCCTGGGCGACAGAGCGAAACTCAGTCTCAAAAAAAAAAGGTCTTTGCTTTACGGGGTCCTAATATGCAGGCTTCCAGATCCTGAAAGATAACTTCATGCAAGAAGGCAATCCTTTCTCTGAGCCTTTTTGCTCCTCCTCCAGACTTGGATGTAGATGTGTGTCTGACAAATCCAGAAAGCAGTATTTCAAAAGTTGCTGGTGTGGTTCCAAATAGGTCACCCTCGGCAAACATTCCACTCTGGGCTTTCCAGAAACCACACACCAGAGTATAAAAGTTTCCCTGCCCTCGTTTTACCTACTCGCCTCTAACCGCACAACCAGATTTGAAATACTGGCAGAAGTGGAGGCTTTTCAGCTTACAACACTCGATTTTGTATGTTCCGTGGGATTTCTGGAGGTTGCCTCATTTTATGGCTTTGGGGTGGTTTGAATTTTTTCCTTGCTGAGCTTAATTGAGATGCCTCAGTAAAAGGGAACAAAGCGCATGCACGCCAGACCTCACTGGGAATGGAGACGCGAGTGTGGACGGCTTCGTGGAAGGAGTGTCTCATCTACTCCGGACTCTAAGAGTGGGAAGCAGAGTGTCCCCTCCACCCAGCAAAGAATCAGGCCGTCCTTCCCCTGCAGGGGTCAGTGCTGCCAGAGAGATCGCAGGGGAGTTAAAATCACTGTAAAAAAATTGTGCCCCAGGAGCGTCATCCTGCACAGACACCTGGGGTTCATATTAAAATGGAACAATGAGGAATGGTCAGGCTTTTAAGCAACCTCATCTTTCTGCTCGTTTCAGTCTGGGAGTGGGGGGACCTTTCATACAAGTTGTCCCATAATCGTGATAAAAATGTGTGTGAGATATCCACTTTGAAGACAGGGGCGAGGGAAGTTCACTTTCCTGAACATACAAATAATTTGGCCCATCCACACCAACCGTCTAGTGGATATCTTCTCAACGCCATTACACTCTTCTGGCCCCTAAAAATACTCATTTTAATTAATAATTGCCAGAGGAAAGAAGAAATATTTGAGTAAGACATGTAGTTTCCCTTTAGAGTCATTTTTTAATCCAGCAAATTGCAAAGCCAGGCCAGGCACGGTGGCTGACACCTGTAATCCCCGCACTTTGAGAAGTTAGATAATTTGAGCTCAGGAGTTTGAGACCAGCCTGGGCAACATGGTGAAACCCCATCTCTTCAAAAAAAAAAAAAAAAAAAACAAAACTAAAATTAGCCAGGCATGGTGGCTTACTCCTGTGATCCCAGCTGCTTAGGAGGCTGAGGTGGGAGGATCAGTTGAGCCCAGGAGGTCCAGGCTGCAGTGAGCCAAGATCGCACCACTGTGTTCCAGCCTGGGCAAAGAAGGAGACCCTGTCTCAAAAAAAAAAAATTTTTTTGCAAAGCCCCAGCTCTCTCTTGTGGCTCCTGCCTTTTCTCCAACATTGCTCTTCTCTATGCAAAACACAGCTGAAACAAAGGAAACAGAAAGGAAAGGATCAAATATGCCCTGGGTAAGGTAGGCAGTGCCCCTGCCAAGAAGTGGGCAGGATTATCACGGTGCTCTCCTAGGAACCCAGCCACCTGGCTATTCAGAACACATTGGGTCAAGCACATTGTGAAGAGAGAAAAATAAGAGTCTGAAAATAGTGCTTAATTAGTGGGAGATGATTCCTCATGAATGTGCAGAAAGTTATTTTCCCCTCAACATTCCAAAGCCATAGCCTGAATGTTTTGGATGTTTATCACGATTGGGACTTAACAACTTTATTCTTCCTGGAGCGAAACCTCATCACTGATAGTTTCATATCTTCTCAGACACCTGTCAGACTTGTTTTTCATTTGTTTCGAGAAGTGCCGAGAAAGCTATTTGTCACTTCCTTGTGGACTATTAGTATGTTTTCCTCCAGCCATTGCAACTAATTTATCATAAGCAGGTCGTCTCTGATGAGAATACTTAATTGTTCTGATGACTGAGCTGGTAATTCAGTGGAACAGAGCCAGACATCTTTCTCCAGCTCTTTGTATTCTTTTGCTGTTAACTAATGCTATTACCATTTCTGCATCTTCCTTGCTCCTTCCTGAGCCCTTTGAAAAAAGTTCTCTACCACCTGAGATCTTCCTGCCCTCATAGTCATCTTTTTCTCCTCATCATGGCTGATTTGGGAGCTCACCTTTGTCATCAGACAGACTTGGAAGCCAACCTTGGGTGCTTCCAAATGAGGCAGACATGATTCATTCTGAGTCCCAGGGACTCTCCTGGTTTTGGAATCCCAAGAATACCAGCCCAAGACAAAACTTTCTCAGGGTCTTTGAAGTTACAGTGTAATGAAAGTTTCAGGACGTGATAACCTGTGGACTGTTTTAATAGAAAGACCATCATGATAGCACGAGGCCGGGCACGGTGGCTCACGCCTGTAATCCCAGCACTTTGGGAGGCTGAGGCAGGTGGATCACCTGAGGTCAGGAGTTCGAGACCAGCCTTGCCAACATGGTGAAACCCCGTCTCTACTAAAAGTACAAAAATTAGCCTGGCATTGTGGCACATGCCTGGGGCACAGAGCAAGACTCTGTCTCAAAAAGCAAGCTAGCCCTGCATCTCCGCAAGCAGAAGACCACGCCACGCACCTGCTCTGTTTTCCATCACAGAGTGGTGATTGCCGTATGCTGATTTGCAGCAGTTTCCCTGACTGCAGCAGGCCTCCTGCTGACTAGTGTTAATGTATCAGTCGGGCAGTGAGCTCACCTGCCTGCCAGTGGAACCCAGGCCATGTGCTATGGGCACCTCCCACAGCTGGCAGAGTGAACGGGCCACCAGCAGCACCAAGGTGGGTCACACTGCAGAGGGGAAGCCACCTTGGGGTCCCAAGGTCTGTGTGCTAGTTGCTGGCAAGGATGAGATGGTGTCTTCCCGAACTGGACCTTAAGCTAGGATTTGGAGATGAGCCGGGCCATCTCATGGGAGAGTCATCTGATAAACACATGTTGAGCACTTGTTGTGTGCTCAGAGGTGGAGACAGAGAATGAGCCCCAGTTCCTGCCATGGGGAAGGCTATATATTTAGCTTTCGGCAAGAGTAAGGTCAATTTTGAGTAAGATGACCCTAGGAGGGAAAATGTAGCAAGAATGAGTTGCTTTTCTCTATATTGTGAGTGGTCAGAGATCTGAGCAAACAGGGCTGCTCCTGCAGTTAGTGGGTAATCCTGAGAGTCTCAGGAAGCCAGTTGTAATTAGATATATTCTTTCTATTACTTAAATTGAAACAACTAATTGAATCCTTAATTAATGTCTTTAAACTACCTTGGGATACAAAGTGCCAGAGAAGTTATTCTAAGTGCTAAATATGACTAGGAAGTCCCAGGGAGCAGTTTGCACCTGTGTTGCCTCTAGAATATGCAAGAAGACTCGTGCTGCAGGAAAAAGTTATTTCAAATGCAACTGGCAAAATGTTCAAAGTATCTTCTTTGCCTTAGTTTTCCCCAAGGTTTTCTCCTTGGCCTCTATTAAAGCATTCATCCTTGATTTATTATCACCCTTGATCATGCCCTCAGTTTTTTTAAGTTTTTTGGTGGGAAAGGCATATTGAAGAGAGAAGTTGCCCCGTTCTGGACATCTGTAAAATATCTAGCTCATCAAATGCAGGCTACAAACAATAATGAAACTTCCTTTTGGGGGGTGCATTTTTATCTTTAAAGACTTAGATGCTATAAAAGGGCAGATAAAACTGCATTATGGGGGCAGCCAGGCCAACAGTAAGCTCTGCAAAACATCCACCTAATGTCCATGGTCCAGGTCGCTGCTGCCCTCGAAGAAGCAACCAGGGCCTCCCACTTCACAATCTTTTTCTGTCCCCTTCTCCTCATCACAGTGAATCAGGGGAAGGCATTTCTGACAGAGCACAGGAATGTAACAGCTGAAAGATCGTTCAAAGATGTTGCATCGTTTAGAGATAGATTAAGGGGGAGGCCTTCTCTTAAATTCCTGGGAGGCCCTCAGAAGTTTGTTTGGAAGGTCTTGGTATTCTGAAAGAGTCAGAATTTTATTAGTCATTATCTGGCTGGGTAATATGTCTTAGATTCTAGCAGAGAGAGTATTTCACATCTGGGAAGTTTTCAAATGTCTCTTTTTTTTAATTATGCGGATGTTCACATCTGTAGAACCGTCCCTTATGTGGAATTGTTTTCCTTCCCTTTGATAAGTTTCTTGGCTCATCTTACAAATTCATTTGCAATAGCCTAAGCCAACTTGTGACAGATGTAAGCTCTCCAGAGACCACTGTTTTTTATTTTGCCCACTTTATATTCATGTTTGGAAACATTAGTATTTATGTGAATGAATTCAGAGAATATGTTTGGTAAAATGAATTTATTCATGTTAGTGGAGAGAAGACCACATTATAGAATCTTTTAGAAACCTATAAATATATATATTTAAAAAAATGATTGGAAAGCTAAAATCCAAAGAAAATCTTGCAGATTTCATTTTATAATGATTTAGCTTTCTGATGCTCGATATGTTCCTCATTAACTTGGAGAACATCATGATATTCCAGTTCAGAATGTGCAGGATATAATTGTGAAAAACGCAGCACAGATTATCAGCCCTGGGATCCTCAGCCTGGCTGCACACTGGTGAACCTGCAGAGCCTTTGAGAAGGCCAGTGCCTGGGCTTCACCCCAGAGTTTGTGAATTAGCTGATCTGTTTAGGGCCCAGGCAGCGGTGCCCAGGGTCCCAAGGGAACCCCACCCGTGGACGACTTTGAGAGTTCCACGTACGTAGTAAATTGGCTTTTCTCCTATTTAACAGGGTTCTTTATCCCACCTAAAAAACTCCATCTAAAAGTAACTAACTTTTTCTCTGGCCCAGAAGGTCAGTCCGTTCTCCACAGTTGCCCTGGAGGCAGGGACCAAGTCCCACAGAGAAGACTCTGCCGAGGCTACTGCAGGTGTGAGACGGCATCATGATGTGGGCCCATGGCTGTGGGCCTAGGACAGTCCCCCCTCTGCCCTGTTAGAACCCTGGGCCTAGAGCCCAAAAACTTGATGGCATCCCTGCTGTTATTTCTGAGTGACCGTGGTTAATTATAGAACCATTCCGGGCCTAGGACAGTAATGCCCTCCTAGATGTTTGAGAAGATGTAAGAAGATGCGTGAGAGCAGATTTTGTCACCTGGGCCACACTAGGGAACTAGCAAGTTTTGTTGTAGGCGTTGTGTTCCTCTGGGGGTGACCCCTAAATCCTGAGCCCTGTCTCCTCAGTGGCCCAGACCCAACCCCTGTATCAGCCTGGGCTCCCAAGGGGGAGTTTCAGGACAGAGGCCCTTGAACCCCAGGTATGCCAGCCAAGACAGGGGCAGGGAAGGGGGTGTCAATGATGCCGAGACACCCCTACTTTCCCTGGGACCATCAGTATCAGGAACACTGATTATAGAATTCACCTTAAAACACTGGCTGGAGTATTCAAACCGTTACTGCAGAATGAGGCTGTCTTCTCTTTTTTTTGTTTGTTTTGTTTTGTTTTGTTTTGTTTTGTTTGGAGACAGAGTCTTACTGTGTCACCCAGGCTGGAGTGCAGTGGTGCTAACTTGGCTCATTGCAACCTCCGCCTCCCAGGTTCAAGTGATTCTCAGCCTCCCAAGCAGTTGGGATTACAGGCACACACCACCATGCCCAGCTAATTTTTGTTTTTGTTTGTTTGTTTGTTTTTTAGTAGAGATGGGGTTTCACAGTGTTGGCCATGGTGGTCTCGAACTTCTGGCCTCAAGTGATCTTCCCGCCTCAGCCTCCCAAAGTGCTGGGATTACAGGCGTGAGCCACTGTGCCTGGCCTGTGTTCTCATTTTGTAGACTATTTTTCCCAGCATTATAAGCCATAGGGCTAGTGGAAGTGAGAGGCAGTGCTGAATGCTGGTGACCAGCATGGGCTCAAATCCCAGCTCTAGCAAGCTTTTTGGTCTTGCACAAGTTACTTCCCTCTGTTCCTCGGTTTCCTCTTTTTGCAATGGGAATAATAGTTGACCTACCTCATCCAGTTGTGAAAATGAAATGAGTTAATATACTCTACATAAACCCTGGGGGCAGCGCTTGGCTTACAGTTAAGTGCCAACTAGGGATTGGCTGCTGTCACCAGACAGGGCTAACCTATGTGTCCTCTTCTTCCCAACCCCCCAGTGCCTAGCCCCTCCTGTAATGGTTTTGACAACACCCTTTCAAGACCTTGCCGGGTGCCACTAGGAAAGGAGGTTTGCTTCATTGCCACCGTTCGTCTGGCAACACCACAATTCTTAAAGGCAAGTACCTGAGAGGCAGTTCATTGTGCGGAGCTGTTATGATTGACTCACATTTTGTTATATGTAATTAATGGTCTTTTGGGAGGGAATAAATTGCAGTGAAGTTGTCACTGGCTTTGAAAATCGAAGTGTCTGGCTTCTGTGCCTGCACACACGCCCTTTCCCCTGCCCCGTTTCCTGCAAGTGGTTCTCTTTGAAGGCAGCATCGCTTGCTGTTCAGCCCGCAGAAGTGCTGTCTGATAACTGTAAATCTTCCCACCTTTCACACCGGCGTTAATACCATGCAGGCCAGGCCTGGGTGAGAACCGAGTGTTGGAGCGCTGGGGGTTTGTCTGCCTTCTCTCATCTGTGATTGCTTCAACATCGATGGCATGAATGTTGAGTTAAATGAGTAATTCAGATTCCGATGAAAAGCCATTTTCCACATGTTTGCCACTTCTCGATAATGGGAAGGGATGGTGTGACATTCTGGCTCCTAGGTATTTTTCCCTAGCTTGTGAAATAAATTTAGTATCAGCTAATACCGAAATTAGCTACAGATGATGAGTTTCAGTCCAACACGACTTGGAGACTTGCTCGAAATGATTTTAACTTCTGTTACCCACCACGCGTTCCTCTTGAACAAACCTAGGGTGAGCATCTGGCACCCAAGCAACTTTTTTTTTTTTTCTGCTTCCAATACAGGAAATGTGCATAGTTGACGAACCTTTAGAGGAATTCACTTCAAGGCATAGCTTGGAATGGAAATTTTTATTTCTGGATCACAGGTTTGAGAAAAGAAAAACATATTTGGGTTGGGCCCTTCTCAAGTCTTGTTTGCGTGAGCCAGGCTCTCCTTGGGAGAGAAGAGTCGGCCCTGGTCCATTGAAAGAGGAGGACTCTCTGGCACTAGGAAAAGTCGTCCCTGCCAAGGGTGGGTGGTTTCCCTCCAACTTCATCTGCCCCATCGTGAATATGTTCTGTGTTTGGGTCTGATGGCTCAGCCCCGGGCCATCTTTGGGATGATCCTCACTTGAGGCCCTTCCCGGCTCCCAGTAAGGCAGCAGCAAGTGTGAGAGAAATCTCTCATCTCATTTTTTTCAACATCCTTTGATCTTTTAGCCCAATCTTTACTGTTTCTTTTGTAACATTATTTGCAGTTGAAGAACTCCAAATCTCCCCTCCCCACCCTTTAATTTATATTACACTTTGGTGTTGGGCTGATCCAATTTGTAGCTGTTTTTAATTACCCAGTAGTGATAAAGCTTATTGTTATTTGGGCCAAGTTATGCCAAGGGAAAGGAGTATCTATATGCCAAAAAAAAAAGCTGAGCCCTTTGGAAAACACAGCCTCTCTGATTTTGACCATTACAAAGTTATTTTTCTCCCCTTGTTCTTGAGAAATGAGGCCTCCATGTTGATCATTATGGAAAGGCATGGCCACCAGGGTGAGCCCTGCAGGGTGTCTCCTCCCTGATGACAAGTCCTCCTTGTCCTTGTGCAGAGCACCTCCAATCATAGGATACCTGCCTTTTGAAGTGCTGGGAACCTCAGGCTATGACTACTACCACATTGATGACCTGGAGCTCCTGGCCAGGTGTCACCAGCACCGTGAGTACCACTGCCCAGCCCAGGCATGGGGGCCTTGCGTTCACTCCACTGGGGCCCAGCAGCAGGGCTCTGGGACTCCAGAAGCCTCTGCTCGTTACCTGGTTTCTTTTTAAGGTGAGGAACTTGGTTTTCTCTGAGATGATCTGGGGGCATGGTGGAGGCCCCTTATCCGCGTCTACCCCCATGTCACTGGAATTCACTTGGCCCCAAACCCTAGCACCTTCCCACTGTCATCCAGATAGGCGCCCTGTTTAAACCTAATTAAGAAATTAAGGTGATGCAGGGATTTTTTTTTTTAAGTTATGCAATACATTTCAGAGATAAAATACCGAATTCTCATAACTGTTCTTTCATCAGCAGATAAGTATTGGTCACTAACCATAGGCCAGATACTGAGTAGGCTGGCATATGGGGATGATCAGTACCTACTTGCTGTCCCGCAGGGCAGGTCTTCTGGGAAAGCCAGAAATGGGTGACTTTGTGGGATGTGGTCGGTGCATTGAAGGGGATGTACACAGCATACTGGGGGACTCAAGAGGACCCTCACAGCTGGGGTTCAGGGAAGGCTCTTTGCCACATACGAGGCGAACACATTAGCAAATGTATGGGGGATGGGACTTACGATGTGGGGGAGTGAGAATTACAAGCTTGTCCGAGTTCTCACTTAGCAAGTGGTTTCAAGAATTAACCACTTACAGCTGTATTTTCAGTGCCAACTCTTAACTTGAAATAGGAACACTGACCTATTGATCCTAATGCATGAATCGACCACTAACATTGTGCTTTAAAAGATGCCTCACCTGTAGTACCCATTAGAACTTTTTTTTTTTTTTTTTTTTTTGAGACAGACAGATTCTCGCTCTGTCACCCAGGCTGGAGTGCAGTGGCGCAATCTCGGCTCACTGCAAGCTTCACCTTCTGGGTTCAAGCAATTCTCCCACCTCAGCCTCTAGAGTAGTTGGGATTACAGGCGTGTGTGCCACCACGCCCAGCTAATTTTTTGTATTTTTAGTACAGACAGGGTTTCACCATGTTGGTCAGGATGGTCTCAAACTCCTGACTTCAAATGATCTGCTCACCTCGGCCTCCCAAAATGCTTGGATTACAGGCATAAGCCACTGTGCCTGGCTAGAACTTTCTCTTCTGTGGAGAGGGAAGGAAGAATAGGCTTGAGTTCCATCTGGATCGGCTGTTAGAATTTAAAGCTAATCATTAAAACTGTAACTCCTTGCTCCTCAAAGCGTGGTCTAGGACCACACTGCATAGGCATCACGGGAAGTTTGCTACACTTGTAGAATCAGGCCTACTCAGAGTGTCTATTTTAACAAGATCCCGAAGTGAAGAATTACATTCAGCAATTGAAAGGCTTCTCCATGGCTTGGGCAAGACCTCCTTGCCCTGTGGAGCCCACACCCTCAATCTGCTGGGCTTATCTCCTCTTCAGATAATCACATTCTCCAAGTCAGTGTCCTTTTTTTTTTTTTTTTTTTTTTTTTTTGAGACAGAGTCTCACTCTGTCACCCAGTCTCGGCTCGCTGCAAGCTCCGCCTCCCGGGTTCACGCCATTCTCCTGCCTCAGCCTCGTGAGTAGCTGGGACAACAGACGCCCGCCACCACACCCGGCTAATTTTTTGTATTTTTAGTAGAGATGGGGTCTCACCGTATTCGCCAGGATGGTCTCGATCTCCTGACCTCATGATCCGCCTGCCTCAGCCTCCCAAAGTGCTGGGATTACAGGCATGAGCCCCTGTGCCCAGCCATCAGTGTCCTTTTGTAGCGTTAGTTTCCTAGTTGAGATTTCTCTTAACCATTTACCTAAAGAGGTGCTAAGTTCCAGGCACTATGGCAATAAAACCCAAATCATTCTTCTTCCTTGGATCCGTAGTCCATCTTTCTGCCCTGCCCAGGCTTGATACACCATCAGCATCCATTCTGCTCTGGACACCCCTAGAAAAGCCACCAGCAGACATCACTATGGGGGGGCTGCAAGCAGCTCTGGGGAAGGGGGAAGCCTGGGGTGGAGGCATCTGTCCCCGACTCTTTATTTGAGAACTGTGTCGACTGGGCATGAACTGCTGACTGGCAGCCACAGAATCCGTCCAGAGGTTGCTGGCTGGCAGGTCTGTTTTCGGGCCAATTCTGGATGCTCTCTCCTGGGCTCCTGCAGCTCCAAAGACAGCTCTGCCTGCGGCGGGAGGATGAGCACCAGGCAAACCTGAGCCTCTGTTTCATTAAACCTGCAGTTTGAAAATCTGTCTGCATCTGCCCTTATCTGAGGATCTCTTTAAGCGTCTGAGCATTTGGGAAAGTATATGGATCACTCTTCCACTGTTTAAGAATTCACGACAGTGTACCGTGATCCTGACAGTCACTTAAAATACAGGGCAACCGGGGAAACAAGCCATGTTTGGTATTGTCTTTTTTTTTGAAAGCTTATCTTTACAATAACTCTTGGGGAAAAGATCATTTTCATATTAACATTGGTTATATGCGGAATCCATTTTCTACCGACAGTGATGCAGTTTGGCAAAGGGAAGTCGTGTTGCTACCGGTTTCTGACCAAAGGTCAGCAGTGGATCTGGCTGCAGACTCACTACTACATCACCTACCATCAGTGGAACTCCAAGCCCGAGTTCATCGTGTGCACACACTCGGTGGTCAGGTACCGCGCACGGGCAGGGGTGCGGCTGCGTCCTTGTCGCACCTGGGGGAGGGGTGCAGGATGGCGTGGCCCCTGATGGCCAAGTCAGATCAGCAGTCACTCAGGTGTTCCCCATTTCGAAGATGAAGCCCAGGCCATCCCCTGCCGTTAACAGCACAATTCCCAGAGCTCAGCTCGCTTCCAGGCACCACTGGCTCTGCCCTCCCAGGGCTGAGACTCCTTTCAAGCTCTCAGTCAGGCCCCTTTGAACGCCTCATGGACTCTCGCAGGCTGCCAGGATATTACTTAGTAAGTGACTGCTTCACTGACCTACTTACATATTTTCCCATCTCTATCCAGCCCACAGCCTTCCCTTGTTCCTGCTTTGAGTAGAAAATTTAAATTTTACCTCTAAATAACTCAAACACATATTCCCCTTTATTTTTAATGCTTTAAAAACCCCTGCTGGCAACTGAGGCAGTGTTGGGAAAACAGCCTGGCTGCCAGTGGGCGCGGGTTCCTGGGAGGTCCCTGCTGGCCTCAGGGAGCCCTCCACCCAGGGCGGGTGAGCAGGACTTTAAAGAGACGCGGCATGCCCAGGGTTTCATAGATGCTGCCTTTGTGGGGTCACTGTTCCCAAGGATGAAGGGGAAAATGGTCTTCTCCCCGACTACGGAAATTTTAAGAACGTAAATTAGTTTTAAGCTGGCCTACAGAGGAGCCTTGGAGAAGGGCAAAGAAAGAAAAGTTGGAAGGACAGCATGCCTTTCTTTTTTTTTTTTTTTAAACTTTAAGTTCTGGGATTCGTGTACAGAATGTGCAGGTTTGTTACATAGGTATATATGTGCCATGGTGCATGGTGCCATGCACCTATCAACCCATCATTTAGGCTTTAAGCCCTACATGCATTAGGTATTTGTCCTAATGCTCTCCCTCCACTTGTCCCCTACCACCACCCCTGTCAGGCCCCGGTGTGTGATGTTCCCCTCCCTGTGTCCATGTGTTCTCATTGTTCAACTCCCATTTATGAGTGAGAACATGCGGTGTTTGGTTTTCTGTTCCTGTGTTAGTTTGCTGAGGATGATGGCTTCCAGCTTCATCTATGTTCCCGCAAAGGACATGAACTTATTCTGTTTTATGGCTGCATAGTATTCCATAAAATTAGAAAAACCTACTTGAAATTTCATATGCATTTCTTATATACAGCCACTTGCTGCTTGATGATGGATATGTTTTGAGAAATGTGTCATTAGGTGATGTTGTCATCATGCAAACACCATAGAGTGTACTGGACACACCTAGATGGTGTGGCCTACCATACACCTTGGCTATACCGTATAGTGTATTGTTCCTAGGCTACACACCTGTACAGCATGCTATTGCACTGAACACTACAGGTAGCCATAGCACAGGTGTAAGTGTGCACCTAAACGTATCTGAACACAGAAAAGGTACGGTAAAAATACAGTGTTCCAATCTTAGGGAACCACCAATATGTCCCATAAGCACATGACTATATATATGTAACAGACAGATGTAGACAGACAGACACTACACACACTCACACCATACATGTATCAGGTCACCAAATCAGCCATTCTTCCTTAACACGCAGAAGAGGGGAGAAACACTAGTTTTCAGCAGCAAATGACCCTGATTCTACTTGACCACACTTCATGCCTTCGCTCAGGGACTTGATCTTGGATTCCCAGCCTGCCACTGGGCGTGCAGCAGCAGTGGTCTCTGACTCCATGGCAGCCGCCTGTTGCCACCCAGCCTGGTCCTCTGCCCAAGGGCCCCCTACCCCCAGGGAAGGCTGGGCAGCACTCACCCCTCACCCTTCAGGCTGTGCCCTCTACCAGCTCTTCTTCTCCATCCTCCACCTCTCAAATCCTTGGAAGAAACTCTCAGAGAAAGGAGGAAGAGAACAGAGTGAATGAATCAGGTGGCAGGCGTTCCGGAGGCCCAGGAGCCACGTTGCTTTCCAAGGCCTCTTGCCCCAGGGTCTCCACACTCGGGGCAGAGGCACTGTAGGGTCAGCTGGGCGTCCCTGTGTTGAGTTGATTTACCCACACTGCTGAAAAGTGGGCCTGTGGGCTCATCTACAGTCTGGATTTGGCTAGTCCGGGTTGGTTTGAGAGGAAACTTTCTGAGAAATGTAACTACTAAAAAAGTTTTGTGTCACTCTTCCATATGCACGGTCCAGACTGAGCAGGTTTTAAGAAAGCCTTCTAATTATTTAAAGGCAGAAGCTTATCCCATAGACGAAAATGTGTTTTTTAAAGACAATTACAATTGGAGATTTCAGGGAAGTAAAAAGAATAGTAAATGAGAGGGGAATAAAGACATCCTGGAAATAAAAAGATTTTGAATGTAATATTATAAGTCACTCAGGTCGAATTTAAGGCAGAGAACGACGCTCATTCCTTCCAACAAGTCACAGGCTAGGCTCCTCTGTGTTGACTGTTGTGGGGGGCAGGGGTTACGTAGAGAACCTCGATGTACCTTGCTGTCTGTTCAGGTGGTGTCATCCCTTCCTGGAATGCCCCATCTCCACTGTGGTCTCTTAATTTCCTGTACAGTTACGCAGATGTCCGGGTGGAAAGGAGGCAGGAGCTGGCTCTGGAAGACCCGCCATCCGAGGCCCTCCACTCCTCAGCACTAAAGGTACGCCCATCCCTGCCAGATGGATACGGCAAAGGTTGGCTAGGAAGAAAATGCAGCCAACCAGTCTCTGAAACAAGGGTTTCTTTTCATCAATGGAAGGGTACAACCAAGCTATTCAGGAGGCTGAGGTGGGAGGATCCCTTGAGGCCGTCACATTGAGGCTGTGGTGAGCTATGATTGTGCCACCATACTCCAGCCCGGATGACAGAGTAAGACTCTATCTCAAAAAAAAAAAAAAAAAAAAGAGCCTGCAGAGCTGGGCTAGACACAGCCCCTGGACTCAAAGCACGGCTCGGCGACTTTCCAGCCTTACAAGCATGTCTCCAGTGAGTCCACTCGGCATCTCCTCCACAGATAAGACACTGGGGGAGTTCCTCCCTCCCCGGCTGGGTTGTGGAGGAATTCCAGAGTCCCTGGTCTTCCTTTGCTTGAGGGCCGTGGCACTGCCTCCAGGACCCAGGCACCCTATGGGGAGACTGCCCTCACGCCACTCTCCCTGTCACCTGTGCTTTCTATTTCTGTGTCCAGGGGTGTTAGTGAACATCATGCTGGAGCCAGCTCTGGGTCAGCGAGCCCTGCTGTAGAAAGGCCTTCCCTCCACAGAGTCTCTTCCATCCTTCCTTCCACACACTGAGCCCTCTACTCGCCTCTGCCTAGCCAGACGTCTCTTTGTCCCTGGTCCTGGTCCATCACACAGCTTCAGGGAACCTTGGGGATCATCTGCAAGTAGACCAGAGCCCTGTTCCTCGGAGTCCATTCTTAAAGCAGACACAAATGTTGGGAGAAAAAAAAAAGCAAGAAAGGGAGGGAGTGTTGTATTTCATCAAAGTTAAGGAAGGTGTCAACTGGAAGATCCATATGAATTTTTCTTTTTTTTTTTTTTTTGAGACAAAGTCTCACTTTGTTGCCCCAGCTGGAGTGCAGTGGTGCAATCTCGATCTCGGCTCACTGCAAACTCCACCTCCCAGGATCAAGCAATTTTCCTGCCTTAGTCTCCCAAGTAGCTGGGATTATAGGCGCCCACCACCACACCTGGCTAATTTTTGTGTCTTTCATAGAGACAGGGTTTCACCATGTTGGCCAGGCTGGTCTCGAACTCCTGACCTCAAGTGATCCTCCCACCTCAGCTTCTCAAAGTGCTGGGATTACAGGCGTGAGCCACTGTGCCTGGCCTCCACCTGATTTCTCCCACTGAGAGAAAAATTGCTGCCAACCAATCTCTGAAACAAGTGTTTCTTTTCATCAACGGAAGGACACGTCTTAATTTCAGAAGTGTTCAAATGTGAGTGCTGGAGAGGGGAGTACCTCTTAGAACTGGTGAAGCTCAACTTCCAGGGTGCCCAGTGACTGCGAATCCAGAGCCTTGGGCCAGAGGCTGGTGCCACAGCAATGGTCCAGTCTTTCAGGCTGTCTGTGGTCCAACAGAAGCATCTCTCACCCCTGAAGGGCCAAGTTGGGAGGAAGGAGAAATCACCTTTCAAGATCAGAGAGCAGTGGGTGCCTTGGCAGAGCCTCCCCGGCTGCTGTGCCATGTGGTGGTGTGTTCCATGGCAATTCATCACCAGCACGCTGATAGGACGCAGCTGACATTGTTTATTACCCAGCTGTGTCACACCATACATTATGTATCACGTCATAGAAGGGAATTCAGCTGCTAATAGGCAGATGTTAGACACACCATACATCATCGCTGAAGAACAGGTGTAGTGTGTATCATCCAGTCGGAAATTTATCATTGAGGTTTCTGATCCTTGGGGAGTCCTGGAGCCCTGCGAAAGAATGTCTTCTCATCAAAATGCATATATGTATAAATACAAACGCAATCGCCGGGCACGGTGGCTCACGCCTATAATCCCAGCACTTTGGGAGGCTGAGGCGGGCAGATCACAAGGTCAGGAGTTCCAGCCCAGCCTGACCAACATGGAGAAACCCCGTCTCCACTAAAAATACAAAAATTAGCCGGGCATGGTGGCGTGCACCTGTAATCCCAGCTACTCAGGAGGCTGAGGCAGGAGAATCGCTTCAACCCAGGAGGCAGAGGTTGCAGTGAGCCGAGATTGCGCCATTGCACTCCAGCCTGGGCAACAGAGCGAGACTCCGTCTCAAAAAAAAAAAAAATACAAACACAATCTTGGGCACTGGGTTAAGAAATCCCTTTAAAGTAAAAGCTCCCAAACTATCCGTGGTATTGAACCAGTTTGGTTTTTATAGCTTCGCTGTCTGTCACTGTGCAGTGCATTTGTAAAATGCAGATTCCCGTGTGTGGACGTGATGTGCAGAGATGTCAAATGGGCATCAAGGTTCCTCCGGGCTTATTCTCGCTTCCTGGACCGACTTCTCTGCTGACTAGGAACACATAATTCACAAACAGCCGTGGTCCAGGGACCCCGCTCTAAGGAGCCTGGTCAAAGGCAAACTGTAACCAAGCAGCAAGGTCCCCAAATTGCCATTTACCTCAGCACATCCAGCCACATCTGGTATTTCTGTTTTGCACAAAGGCCTGTAGGTCACATGTCAGTCACTTCATTCCTACTGTAGGTGTACAATATCCACCCCCACTGCAGCCGTGACACAAAAGACAAAACGGCCACGCAGACGCACGCATGGGATTTCATACCCAAGGCCATGGGACACAGACCAGCCCATTGACATAGCCCAGAGATGCTGGCAGTTTCCATTCTTCTAACACTAGCTAGGAATGCGGCTCAGGAGGGTAATCACTGTTTTGTTTTCTTCTTTAGCTTAAAAATTATCCCAACCTTTGTTTGGTTTATTATTATTTTTTTAGACAGAGTCTCACTATGTTGCCCAGGCTGGAGTGCAATGGCATGATCTCAGCTCACTGCAACCTCTGCCTCCGAAGTTCAAACCATTCTCCTGCCTCAGCCTCCCAAGTAGCTGGGATTACAGGCGCCTGCCACCACGTCCAGCTAATTTTTGTATTTTTAGTAAAGACGATGTTTCACCATGTTGGCCAGGCTGGTCTCGAACTCCTGACCTCAAATGATCCGCCTGCCTCAGCCTCCCAAAGAGCTGGGATTACAGGCGTGAGCCACCGCACCCAGCCCCAACCCAGCCCCTGTTTTCATGTGCCTATAACAGCTAAGCCACAGAGGATGGAAAAACGGTCCTTCGGAGTCAGACTGTCACAGCTGCTTTCTCGTCACACTGTATTTGAAGCAGAGACATCCTGGGAGCCAGGGTCAGTCAGGAGCGAGAGGTCGAAAGACAGGAGACCCCTTGCCCTCCCCGGTTCTCCACTCCAGGGGACACTGAGGCTGCAGAGAATGAGTAACAGGAGAAAGCCTGGGAAGGACCCAGGAAGGTCCAAAGGCACCTGTCCCAGTGGATGAGTTTACAGTCCACTGCCAGCAGCAACCTTATTTCTAGAACCTCCTTCCCCCTTCTTGGAAAGTCAAGATGCTGGGTGGTGAGGTGACAATGTTGAGGAAATAATAAAATGGAAAGTCAGTTACGAAAATGTAAATAATAAAAACAAAAGGCGAGAAAGGGTAATAAACGCTGCTTTTCGGCTGCAAGCCTCTCTGAGGCTTTAGGTTACGTATATGTATATACTCTACCCAAGCATCTTTGGAATCGTCCCCAAACAACTATGGTATTTGTCTCAGCAGCTTCTGAGGTTGTCGACATATTTAGAACTAAAGTCACGCCCACTGATTCTTTCCTCTTGATGCTGACATGAGGACTGTTTGATGTGTGTGTTTCAGGACAAGGGCTCAAGCCTGGAACCTCGGCAGCACTTTAACACACTCGACGTGGGTGCCTCGGGCCTTAATACCAGTCATTCGCCATCGGCGTCCTCAAGAAGTTCCCACAAATCCTCGCACACAGCCATGTCAGAACCCACCTGTGAGTGCGAGTCCATGGATGGGGAGTGGGATGTCCACATCAGACCAGAGGGACAGCCCCACAGAGGGTCCCGGGCCCAAGTGGAATCAGGGCAGTCTGTGCCTCCGACAGAGGTTGCCGTGCAGTTTATACTCCTCCTTTCCTTTCCCAGACTTCCCGCCTCCTGATCACCTCTCCACACTCTGGTATCCATTCATTGCCAAGCAAAGACATTGAGTGGGTTGTGCACAGATCTGATCCCTTGACTGCTTTTAGTAATTCTGGGGAGGCGTCTGATCAGGCAGCTCATTGGACCAAGCAGCCGAAATGAAGTTTAGGGAGTGTTTGTGGTGTCTCCTACCTGCTCCCAGGCTGGGCTTCTGTGGTTCAGCTCAACCCTGCATGGTGGACTTCCTTTATCAGAGATCCCAAGCGAGCTCTTGTACTGTGCACACCACGGTCATGGGTCCCCTCTTCGGATGAGTACATGCTAAGTACATGGAAGTTAGAAGGTCATTCGTTGCTTTCTTACAGCCACTCCCACCAAGCTGATGGCAGAGGCCAGCACCCCGGCTTTGCCAAGATCAGCCACCCTGCCCCAAGAGTTACCTGTCCCCGGGCTCAGCCAGGCAGCCACCATGCCGGTAAGTGTGTGACCCCAAACTCCTCCACGGGTGTACGCTACAATGTGGTGGGGGCTGCAGAGCCAGGCGATGTGCTGCGTCTCCCCAGAGAATCCGTTTTACTTAGGGATTGAGAGTGTAGGGTGGCAGATGGGGGTGGGAAGTTAAGTAATTTAATTGGCAACTAATTTTAAACATTTGCATGACAAAATTAACATGGATGCATATCCATTAGAATACAAAATCCAAGTGAATTTTAAGGATTAAAGGCAAAACTGCAAACCCGGGGTCATACCCTCATACCCCCAGAGCCCCTGGGGCTACACAATTAGGATTCTTCTGTTTTGAATCCCCTTTCATGCTGGTGAAAATATTTGAGCAGCTCAGTGTCAACAAAAATGTACCTCTGCACATATCAGGTAGCGTCCCCAACATGTGCCAGATCCTTCCAGAACATCGGGATGTATGGCCCTGGCTATATGTAAAGTCACTGGCATGCACCACTCTGGTCATCTATTGCCAGGTAGCAAACTACACCTAACTTAGTGGCCTAAAGCAACCACATGTATGAAGTTCATGGAGTCTGGGTCAGGAATTCAGAAAGGGCATCATGGGGATGGCACTTCTCTGCTCCTTGGTGTCGGGGATCTCGTGGGCCTAGGCTATGGAATGCACCCACCAGATGGTGTCTGCACATGAATGTCCAGCAGCCGGGCTGGGTGGCTGAGGGCTGGGCTCAGCTGAGGCCATCCGTCATTGACTTGCATGGGCCTCTCAAGCCTTAGGCTTCTCCTGGCATGGTGGTGGACTCCAGGTTCCAAGAGGAGACACCTGGAGACGCAGGCAGGAACCATGCAGACCTCTGTGACCTAGCCACGGAAGTCATATAGTATCACCACTGCCATACCTCTTGGTCAAAGCAGCCCTGAGCTCACCCATGAAGAGGGATATAGACCTCCACTTCTAGACGGGAGAAGTACCCAGGAATTTTAGGGGCCACCTCCAGATAGTTGCCAAACCCCTCCCACCCACACTTCACTGTCACTTTGGAGATGGAGTGAACGTGCCACCTTCCTGCTTGCTGTCTCCATAAAGGCTGTGCACACCCTGCTTGAGAAGCTTGGGCGATGCGTTTTATTTTCAAGTAGAATGTGGCAAAGACCACTTACTTTCTCTCCAGCCACCTCCAGATGCGCTTGCAAGCTGTGCCTGCCATTCTTCCAGACTCTCCTGTCCAGTGTGACTCACTTTGCCAACAACGGAGGCCCAGAGTGCTTCTGTCTCCTCCCAGCTGCGCAGGGAAACAGAACCCAGACCAGCTTCTGGATCAGCCCTGTGCCTGGGATTTCTCACTGAAACAAGGTCTCCTGGTGTCATTTCCTCCCAATGCTGTCCTGGGTGACACTTTCCATTTGAGCTGCTTTTTTATATAGGCCCTAGCAACTAGGGGCCGTGTCGGAATAACTTCAGACGAGTCCTTTCACTGTTCTTTAAAAAAAAAAAAAACCACTAGAAAACCACTAGCCCGTGAAGCAGAGTGTTTCATTTCTTGTTACTATACATTGTCTCCCCCACCCACCCGAGTGATCAGGGAGCGCAGATGTGACTCAGCTCACTTCCCAGGAGTCTCTTAAAAGGTTCTGGGCAGAGGCTGGTGAAACTGCCCCAGTCCTCACTGCCTGGATGAGTTCATGGACAAACATGCATGGCGTGTCTGTCCATCTGCATTAGCGCTGAGCAGAAAAGATACGGACGCACAGCAGCTCATGGTAGCAGTCCACGCACGTCGTCCTGCTTGATGACACCGCTAAGAATTAATCCATTTGGGAGGAGAGCAACCAAATCCACCCAGGGCGGAGTCCAGGACAGCAGGCAAGGGAAGGGAAGTAGAGCTGAGCTACCAGGCTTGGGCAGGTAGCAGCAGCCTGGCAGAGCACACTGTGGTGGGGTGGAAGCCTGCACCAGTTGTGCAGGGGCTCTGCCCTTGTGCCCTGCGTAGGAAGCAGTGCAGCCAGGGAACAGACACCTATACTTTCTAGAACTCTTGACTTGGAGCTGTTCACCCCAGTGCGGAACGCAGAGAACCCACCGGACCAAGAGACCACATCCCTGTCCCCTGGAATGGCAGAAGCAGTGGTAACAAAGCCCCTTTCTCTCCCACAGGCCCCTCTGCCTTCCCCATCGTCCTGCGACCTCACACAGCAGCTCCTGCCTCAGACCGTTCTGCAGAGCACGCCCGCTCCCATGGCACAGGTGAGTCTGGGACCCAGGAAAGGGCAGCCCCTCTCAAGCCAGAAGTCCGCAGTGTGCTGCGCTGATGGTCTTGTACACTTAGGTCCCAACCAAGGCCCTGACGTGGGGGAATGTCCCTCCCAATGTGTGTGTGGCCTGTGTCGAGCCATGAGGTTCCCCCCACACCCACCCTCTCGTCTCCAAGTTCTTTTTTCCAGTGTCTGGGGTTTTCTTTTTTTAAATTTCAGTAGTTTTGAGGGAACAGGTGGTGTTTGATTGTATGGATAAGTTCTTTAGGGGTGATTTCTGAGATTTGTGTACCTGTCACCCGAGCAGTGTACACTGTACCCAATATGTAGTCCTTTATGCCTCACATCCCCCCACCCTTGCCCCACCAGTCCCAAAGTCCATCATTTCATTCTTATGCCTTTGTGACCTCATAGTTTAGCTCCCACTTAGAAGTGAAAACATACGATATTTGGTTTTCCATTTCTGAGTTGCTTCATTTAGAATAATGACCTCCAGCTCCATCCAAGTTGCTGCAGAAGTCCAGAGTCTGTTTTTTTAATTCTTTTAACAGTCTCTGTTCACCTCTTTGCCACTTTTCCACATTCCTCTTGTTCTTTACGACTCCAAATTGGCCATGGTATTTTAGAAAAGGTCTGAATTGGGCTGCATGTCATAGAAAGACTGAAAGGATCTAAAAGCCGTGAGTCCAGCACTATAAATATCACATTTGTTTAAAAAAAAAGAAAGAAAGAAAGAAAGAAAGAAAAGAAAAGGATTACGGCTTTGCTGAGTAATTCCATCCTTGTTTCAACAACATTCGGTGAGTTACTATTTGGGTCAGTCAGTGAGCGAGGTGTTAGGGATGTAAAGATGTAAGTCAGCCCTTGCTTTTAGTTCTCAGAACTAAAGGGAGAGACAGGCATGTAAACAGAGACGCCGCCGTGGCAGGGCATGCGTTTTTATAGAACCGTGAAGGAAATATTCTACCCAGGGAAGTCTGACGTGGCTTCCTGGAGGAGGTGACGCTTGAGTTGGCCCCGGAAAGGTGGGTAGGAGGTTGCCAGATGGTTTGGCAGGGGGACAGCAGGGATGTGCTTCAGCAGGGAGTTCTGAACACGGGGAGTGACAAACCCTGCCCAGGCCTGAGCTCTGACTTCAGTTCCCTCATAGGAGACTTAGCTCTGCCCAGACCATGGCCACAGGCTAGAGCTGCGTCCCAGACGGCAGTTCAGCAGCAGGTGCCCCTCTCTGTCTTGGCACACATCTGTCACCACTGATGAAAACTATTTCGGAACATATGCCCTCTTAGTGGGGGTCTCTCATGCATTCCTGGAGTAAGACACATGCTAACGCGTGCTGCTTGCCAGAGTCAGGCTTGAAGATTGGTGTAAAAAAGCTACCCTTCTGGAATCTACTCATTAAAACTGCCTATATTCACCCTCATTAGGCCAAAAGAAAAAAAAACCTGAATACTGTTTTTCTCTTTAAATTTCCAAGGCCTATTTGGTAAGAAATTAGTAACCTTTTAATCCAAAGGGGCATAAAATGAAAATGTCTTTAACTTCTGGGTCTTGCATTATGAAGAATGTCTGTGTTTACAAGACACGATGGTGTGATGCAGTCTCTTTTGGAATTCTGATTTTTCATTTATTGAACTTCTTAGTCTGTCATGTGTACTATATTTAATAATAACTATATATATATATATATATATATTTTTTTTTTTTTTTTTTTTTTTTTTCTGAGACGGAGTTTCACTCTTTTTGCCCAGGCTGGAGTGCAATGGCACCATCTTGGCTCACTGCAACCTCCACCTCCTGGGTTCCAGCGATTCTTCTGCCTCAGCCTCCCAAGTAGCTGGGATTACAGGAATGCACCACTACCAGGAATGCACCACTACACCCAGCTAATTTTGTATTTTTTGTGGAGACGGGGTTTCGCTGTGTTGGCCAGGCTGGTCTTGAATTCCTGACCTCAGGTGATCCGCCCACCTCAACCTCCCAAAGTGCTGGGATTACAGGCGTGAGCCACCACGCCCAGCCAATAACTATATTCTTTAAGACATCCCTGCATAATACTGACTTTCCAAGTCACACAGTTCTTCCCACTTCATGTGAAATACCCACTTCATGTGAAACAACGAGATTCTGGGATTTTTCTCTCACTCCCCTCACCCTTCAGGGAAAGAAGGGAAAAATGAAATCCAAAATCTGAGGAGCGGTTATCTGGGTAACTGGTGGTTTTCCAAAAAAGCCTCTTTCTTCATACTATGGTTCTAAAATGTCTTTAAATTAGAGTAGCTCTCTTTATCAAAAACATCACCATCAAGAAGGTAAGGAGGGCCTAATGATGGGGTGTCTGGGAGGCCTTGAAAAAATCCGAATAACGTGAGAGGCAGCCACCACCTCCTAACCCAGCCCATCGCCACTCCCTTTCCAAGCCAACTGGGCACCGATGAGCCGCCTCCACTGCAGGTGGAAGGGGCAACGCTGAGTTTCCCGACTTCGTAGAACCTGCCAGAGAAGCTTTTGTGTTTCGTTAAATACTTGGAATAGCTCGTTTGCTTTCTCCGTTGAATTCCCTTTCAAAATCCTCACAGAGTGGTCTGATTAGTCACAATCTGACTGGGATTTTTGTGAGTCTGGGATAGCGCAGGGTTTTTTTTAATTTTTGTTATTTTTGTTTATATATATATTTTTTGAGACGGGGTCTCACTCTGTTGCCCAGGCTGGAGTGCAGTTGTGCAATCTCGGCTCACTGCAACCTCTGCCTCCCGGATTCAAGCAATTCTCCTGCCTCAGCCTCCCGAGTAGCTGAGATTACGGGTGCCCACCACCACGCCTGGCTAATTTTTGTATTTTTTAGTGGAGATGGGGTTTTGCCATGTTGGCCAGGCTGGTCTCAAACTCTTGATCTCAGGTGATCCGCCCACCTCGGCCTCTCAAAGTGCTGGGATTACAGGCATGAGTCACCGCCCCAGGCCCAGCACAGGTATTTTTAAATGCATGGGTAGCAACAGAACCTTCCTTTTAAAGGAAGTCTGAGGTCAAAGCCACTCTGGTCAAGATGGGAGTGTCTTGTGGGCAAAACTTCTTGGCCTTGCTCAGCTCCTAAGACTTGGGATTTACATGTTGGTGCTGCCACCATCTCGCTGTGTGATTTCCAGCAGGGTGCAGCCTCTTGGGGTGGCATGGGCTCGTCGTGAAGCACAACACACGTACCTCTACTTGCCTGGGGCAGCAGCTGGCACCTGAGGGTCTCTGCACATGTCAGCACCTGCTATTCTTACTCTTACTGGTTCTTTTTATTATTATTTTGCTGCTTCAAAAGCTATGCTTTCAGTTATTTCATCCTGTTTCTCAACTCTCCTGCTCTCCTTGCCTCCCTGTGTCTGGGAGGTCAAAGGGCAGAGGAAAAGAGAGAGGCCCTGGGGGCATTTGCAAAAGACAGCGGGCAGGAAACAGACTAGGGAGATTGTTGGGCTAGAGATTGAGGGAGTGGAGGTTAAATCATGGTAAAAAGGGAGAAAGAGAAAAACAGAATGAATCTAGCAAACTCATTTGCCTCAAGATATGGGAGTCATAGCCCCGAAGAGCCCAGAGCAGGGGCTGCAGGCCCCTCCTGCCATCCCTCCCAAACAGTGTTTCCTGGAAGCGGAGGAGCCTGTGTTGAGGGAGACGGGACAGGAGGCAGAGACTACCTGCAAGTTTCCTAAGGCCAGCCTCCTTCCCCAGAAAGGATTAAGGGTCCAAAGGAAGGGGAGACCCAAAACAATCACCGTGTCTTTACCCCGAGGTCAGTCACACTGGAGAGGGGGCCCTCGGGGCAAAGACTGGGTGATTGTTTTGTTCGTTTTTTGCACAGATTTCCGAGACGTGCATAGTAGCAAGTAAGGCTGGAGAGGGGAGGGTGAGGGGGAATGAAAAGTTCTTGATGATCCCAGGCTGTTTTGGAGAGAGCCAGGATCAGATTTAGGATAACGACCGGACCCAAAAATGCCTGTGAAGCTGTCACGTACAAACTGCTATGCCCTAAATGAGGGGGAAAAGGGACTCTCTGATGTCCTGCTTTTGACATTCATCTCCAGAACCATTTGTTCATCTCTCTAAATTTGGAATATCAGTTTGTGAACATTGCTTACAAAATCCTGTCCCAATTCTGTGGCCCTCCCGGACTGCAGGGCAGTAAGTCAGGTCTGCAGATTCAGGTGGGCCTGCTGTCATAGCCAGCCTGAGAAAGACTGGTGCAGGGGCCCCCAGGATGCCCAGACCTCATCTGCAGCCCCTGTTCACTGCCCAGGACCCAGCCGTGGGCTCCTTAGGGATGCTGGGAAAGACGGCTAAGGGACGGAAATGAAGTGTACAGACCGAGCAGCAGCAAGATCTGCCTGCAAGGCTGAAATAACTCTTTCATCTGATTATGTTTTTCGGCTCCACCTTGAAGTTTTCGGCACAGTTCAGCATGTTCCAGACCATCAAAGACCAGCTAGAGCAGCGGACGCGGATCCTGCAGGCCAATATCCGGTGGCAACAGGAAGAGCTCCACAAGATCCAGGAGCAGCTCTGCCTGGTCCAGGACTCCAACGTCCAGGTGATCCCCTTCCCGGGCTGGCCTCTGTCCCTGCTGCTGTGTGGGAAGGGGTCCTGCCGCCATTTCCGGGCAGCCAGGACTTCCTCCCAAGCCCTGTGAACTGCCCTGCCAAGCCCCATTTGCTTATGAAAGCATATTGCAGTCTCTGCAAAGGACAAGGAACAAATCCCGGTCCCCATCCCTGCCTCCAGGCCACACCCCTGATGTCCTCTTCCCTCGCCCCTCACTCTGACAGGCACATCTGCTCACTGCCTCCACCTACGTTTGCACTTGTGCACTTGGCGTTGGATTGCCCTGCATGGATGCCTGCCTCGGTCCTGGGTAGTACCTCCCTGCACCTCTATAACTTTGCTTTCCTAGCTCCCAGCCCAGGCTGCCATCAGGAGGAGATGGAAGCAGCTCTGTTGTTTCTCATCCAACGCAGGCATCCAGGGAGATGTGGGAAATGATGATATCCATATCACAGCCTACTGGAGACTGCAGAGGGAGCTGGGTGGCTCCCCATTTGTGGTGTGCCAGCAGGGAAGCTCTGCAAAGCCTAGCAGCAGCAGCTCTCACTGTGACCCCCAGATATTAGAATTGTTTGGAGAGGTGTTGTTTTGTTTTGTTTTTTGTTTTGTTTTGGAGGAAAACCTTTACATATTGGATCTCTTTTAATAATATATAATGTTTTACTTACATTAGTCCAGGACTGTGTATCTTCAGAAGTGCCTGATTCTGACCCAGCCTTTGATTGTAAATGTAACTCTAGCTAACCTTGGCGTCTGCCCTGGGAGCACTAAGCATTTGGAGACCCTTAGAAGGGACAGAAAGAAGCAGAAATAACATCTCTGCTGGAGCACTGTCCCTGTTGCTTCCCCCATCACCATCTACGCAGACCCTCCCCTGGCCACACAGCTTCTGAAGTGCAGCCACACCTACCATAGGTGACAGGCGGGTTCTGTCGGGGCACAGCGCCGTGAGCCGGTGCACGCTGAGATTAATACACAGTGGTGCAGGTGTCTGGGGGCTTAGGGAGATGCTCATTTGGCCATCCTGCCTCGCTGAGGTCCCAGCAGCTCCGCCTGGCCCTCAGGGGCACTCCTGGTGGCTTTCTAGATGCTCACTGTCCCTCCCCTTCCTGCCCCTGCACAGGCCTCTCAGAGGTGGCTGCTCACCTTAAAGAGAAGAGCCCCGCCCTGGACAGGCCACCTCCCCACCTGCTCCCCTCAAGACACGGCGTGTGCGCCTTGAGCAGGCTTCACTCAGACAGCCTGGGCCATGCCAGAGCCCTGCTGCTCTCCCCACCTCCTCAGTGCACCCTTAAATTGACCAGAAAAAGGCTCGGCCTTCTCGTGAAAAGAAATGGAGTCACCGAGCTGCCATTCCACCTTTTACCAGAATAGGTAAAAAGTGGCTTTTGACTTACGCCTTCCCAGCTGGAATATTTTTCTCACTGATCCAGGGCCTGACTGGGAGCCCAATGCTTGCCTGACTCCAATTACTTTAATGGAATTTTTACACTAACAGGAAGGGGGAAATCGAGCCAGAAACTGCTAAAATTGAGGTAGGCGTATGAACATCCCCCTCAGTGCCTGGAGTTTTTCTACTTCCTGCCTTTTCTGAATTTTAAAATAACAGGCAGCAAGGTTATCGCTTTCACTCCTGTTATAACAAAGTATTTTTCCTCCTTGTGACCTATGCCTTTGGTTAACCCCAAAGTACCTATGCCACAGTGCACTGAGGGATGTTCTGAGCCGGCCGGCATGGGAATTGCACCCTCCGGTGCCTTCCTGCCCTGTGTTCATTCCTGAGGCCTTATCTTTGCAGTGGAATTTTCCAGAGATCATGGAAATCCACAGATAGTCGAGACAGAGGATATTTCCTCAAGGAGCCTGCCTTGTTTTTTTGTAAGACTTAAAGAAATATGTTCCAAAATGTGATATTTGTTTTTTTTAAACTAAACTGTGTGATTCAAGTGTGAAGAATAAGCAAGTAGAAATGACTCCAGCCCACCCCCAAAAGTAGAGGGATAGATAAAATAAGAATGACAAAACACTGATGATTGTTGAAGCCTAATGGTGATGCCAAGGTTTCATTATATTACTTGTCTATTTTGTATACTTCTAAAATGTCCTGTAATGACAAGTATTTGTAGAAATAAGCAGATAACACTAATGAAAAATCATCTGTGAGTGTAGGATTGGTTTGTTCTTGAAAATTAGAAGTTGTTGGTTTGTTTTCTCTGATAACTTTTCCCACTTGGAGAACTTTTTTTTTTTTTTATGTTTTCTATAAAGTTGACCTCAGAGCCCTTTTAAGTCACCATCTCCTTAAGCCACAAAATTCTACTTTATTGTTGATAAACAGAAGTACGGCTGTGCCCAGCAGCAAACCAGGAACCAGTCCCCCACCCAGTGGCCTTTATCCCAACCTCAGTGGACTTGTGATGCTTTACTTCATTGCTTCAAAACTTTCGTCGAGGCTATATGTGCCTGTGATGCTTACTATTTTTTTTTTTCAAAAAAACCTTGGGTTATGAGGAAGAAGTCCTGAAGGGCTGTTGGTGTTTGCACCTGGATGGGGTCATGAAAATGGGGCTACCTGGACAAGAGCTGTTGTGCTGAAAGGCCCATCGCCCCCTCCAAGGCTGCCTCTTGCTCTTTTTGAGAGCATGCGCGCCCTCTGCTGGCTGCTCAAAGGAATGCCTAGAAGGACACCTGTAGCAATGGCAAATGACGTGTTCCTCAACTGGTTCATCCATCCATCTATCCATCCTTCCTTCCATCCAGCCATCATCTATCCATCCTTCCATCCGTCCTTCCTTCCTTCCATCCAGCCATCATCTATCCATCCTTCCATCCAGCCATCATCTGTCCATCCTTCCATCCGTCCTTCCATCCAGCCGCCATCTGTCCATCCTTTCTTCTGGCCACCCTCCCTTCTATACATCCTTCTGCCCGTCCTTTCTTCCTTCCATCCATCCTTTAGTCCATCCATCCATCTGACAGACACCCTTTATTTACCAGGCACGTGGTTAAGCACTGTGAGGATACAGAAAGATAAACAGGGCAGGGTTTCTACTGTCAGAGGATATACATCGATGGGACAGAGTAGCACACCTTGCTGTTACAGTCTGTTACATAAATAACACCAGCAGACATAGTTTGCCCTTCTCTGAGTGAAAGCACCATTCATATGTTTATTCATTCATACATGCATTTATTCCATTCATTCATTTATCAAACAGTTTTTATATGCCCAAAGAGGCGAAGGAGGAAAAAGCTCCTTTTTTCATTTTGAATGTTATTATCTGACATTCATTCAGTACTTACTATGTCTCAGGTCATTTATATGCATTAACTTCATTTAGTCCTTAATAAGATATATGCTCTTAATGTCACTATTTTTTTTTAATGTCACTATTTTTTACTAATGAGGAAACTAAGGCTTTGAAAAGTTATTAAAATTGCCGAAGGCCATACTGCTAGTAAATGGTAGGGTGGGAATTTGAGCTAAGATAGGTCTGCTTTAAGGTAAATTATACTGCCTCTCATCAATAAAGGTTGGATTTATTCAAACTCTAATCAAAAGGTAAATTGTGTCCTACCAGAAAAACGCATGGTAATTGGGTTTGACTACTAGGTTTTTGCTGAAGTGATGAAGTATAGGTTGCCCTATGTGCTATAAATGAGTCTTATTTTAATAGGGAGCTGGGATTGCATGAAACATGAATCCTCAAAATGTGTAAAATGATGGATACCCAGAAAATTCTTCTTAATTTCTAAAGTGACAAGGAGTCCTCATTTCAAAACTGCAGGCTTCTCTGTGGTGGGTGGGGCATGAGAGGAGTTTGGGGAGGTCCCGTGGGATGGTAGAAAGATCAGAACCCAGCCCCAGCTCAGCCACCTGCCCATCTCGGGCCTCTGGTAAGTGGCTCGACCCCACCCATGAAACAGATGCTTGAGCGAACTGATCCGTAAGTCTCCCCAGCGCGCCTGCATGGTGGGATCCTCGCCTGCCTCTCCAAACCTGCGCTGACACTCAGCAGATGTCAGCCTGTCGGTCCTGTACTGCATATGAGGTGGGACTGCACTGAGTACAGGAATGGGGTGAAAAACGTCAGATGCTGGGAGCCAGAGAGCCTTCCCCCTAAAGAACTCCAGGCTAAGGGCCTGATGGACTGGAACAGTGTATGTTGAGAATCATGATAGACACAGTGCCATCTGATGTTTTTAATACCCAAGAGGTACTTTTGTTTAAAAAGCCAGTTTCAGGTCTGTCATTAAATTATTATTAAAATTACAAAAGTTGTCTTTCTTAAAACTTTAGAGTCAACTGACAGATTCCGTTTTATTTATGAATCTACTAATTTGGTCTAAAAAGAGCAATGCTCTAACTAGATTTTTATTTATGTTCAATTAGTTGATAGGTTGATTGTGAATAATCAACATTATCTACCAAAACTATTCATTTACACATTTAATTTATCTGAATCTTTCAAGCATTTTATGTACCTAACAAGGCAGACTTATAAAGCTAAGAAGTAAAATCTTTCTAAGCACCTAAACAACTGTTTTATTTATTTATTCATTTTTAAGACAGAGTCTCACCCTGTTGCCCAGGCTGGAGCGCAGTGGCACGATCTTGGCTCACTGCAACCTCCGCCTCCCAGGTTCAAGCAATTCCCCTGCCTCAGCCTCCCAAATAACTGGGATTACAGGCGTGCGCCACCATGCCCAGCTAATTTTTATATTTTTAGTAGAGACAGGGTTTCACCATATTGGTTAGGCTGGTCTCAAGCTCCTGGCCTCAAGCGATCTGCCCGCCTTGGCCTCCCAAAGTGCTGTAATACAGGCGTTAGACACAGCGCCCAGCGTAAACAACTGTTTTAAATCAAATACACCAAACTTATTTGAACTAAATCAGGATTCTCAAGAACACCTCAAATTCTCTTAAATCTTTCAAATTAAAACCACCAAGCTAATATCCCATGGCCTTTTAAATGTCTCTGAGACACCTTAGGTAACAAAACACAGAGATGATCATGATGATTACAAAACTTGAACATAATTTTAAAGTGCATGGACTTAATGTTATGTGATCATATCCATGTTATTGGCCTGCCTGGGTATGTGGTTCCTTAATTAATGACAGATCTGCCATCTCAGCTGAGAGCACTGGATTGAAAATTCTCAACAGTAATGTGGGTACAGACACGAGTCACTGGTCAGAGATTCAAGGGCAAACACAGAGCCTGGTCCTACTGCGAGGGCAATGTGGCCCATGCCACAGGTGAGCCATCCCTCTGCCCCTATATCATGAGGCAATATTATCATGACTGCATCATGCATTCCACTCACCAGGTATTTCTCCCTTCTAGGAAGAAGCTGGTAAGCCAACCTCGACTCTAAACAAGTACATCACATTATTTAGAGAACATCTGGGTCTAAACAGCTTTCACATTGTTAGGCCTCAGTCACTTGCCTGTAACCTTCATGAAGGCAGAGAGAGTGTCTCTCCAGCCCATGGCTCTGTGGCCAGTGCCTGACACTGAGCTTGGGGCATCACAGGTGCTCCATGTCCACCAGTGGAGTAAATGAACTATTTCTAGGCAGCTCAGAGCAAGAAAGTTCTTACTGGCACAGGGAATGCAAAGGAGGTGCACACTGGTGAGGTACCCATGACCCCAACTTCACAGGCATTTCTATTCTGCTCCCAGATGTTCCTGCAGCAGCCAGCTGTATCCCTGAGCTTCAGCAGCACCCAGCGACCTGAGGCTCAGCAGCAGCTACAGCAAAGGTCAGCTGCAGTGACTCAGCCCCAGCTCGGGGCGGGCCCCCAACTTCCAGGGCAGATCTCCTCTGCCCAGGTCACAAGCCAGCACCTGCTCAGAGAATCAAGTGTGATATCAACCCAGGTAAATGTGCTCCTTGCCAGCTTCACTCCTTGCCTCTAGAGCAGACACCCTCTTGCAGTTTGGGACATACTTGATTCCTGCAGCCTACGTGAACTGAGGCCTACTGCCCTGTTCCGTTATGGACTGAGGGTAGATTTGGGAGTGAGCCTTCTTTTCCTTCTTCTGTTAAAGTCACTTTGAAACCCCAAGTTGTATTGGCTTCCTTCTGTGTTTTATAAATGTCCACCTCAGTCCCTTGCTCTCGTGCTTAAAGATATCACTCGGCTGAAATGTTCACCTTTGATGCTGACTTAGGGTTGGAGGCAGATATGGCCATCCCAGAGACCCACTGGCAGCTGAATGTCCCAACACTCAACGTCCATGGTCCCCGCCATCTACTCTGGTTTTAACCATTACCCACATGAGCAGCCACTGCTGTTCACTGTCCCTTGCCCCAGGTGCCCCCTGCTCCTCCAGGCGCCCCCTGCTCCTCCAGGCCCCCACTGCTCCTCCAGGTCTCCCTGCTCCTCCAGGCCCCCATTGCTCCTCCAGGTCTCCCTGCTCCTCCAGGTCCCCCTGCTCCTCCAGGCCCCCACTGCTCCTCCAGGCCTCTCTGCTCCTCCAGGCGCCCCCTGCCCCTCCAGGCCCCCACTGTTCCTCCAGGTCCCCCTGCTCCTCCAGGCCTCCCTGTTCCTCCAGGCGCCCCCTGCTCCTCCAGGCCCCCCTGCTCCTCCAGGCCCCCACTGCTCCTCCAGGCCCCCCAGACTCTTTGCCAAACCCTTGTAGCCATTTCCACCTATTCCAAGCCACCAGTGACCTTGCAATTGGACAAAATCGCCAGCAGATAAATGGCACTCAAATGGAATGGAATTCAGAAGTCTGGAGCAGGGCTTCTGGAGGATAACAGATGGGAAGGCAGCCTTTCCTCCAGCCTCACATTCCCATGCCCTCGTGGCTTTGGTAAAGTCAGCTGAGCTCCTGGAATTCACCAAGACCCAGGGGAACAATGATGAGCAAGAGTTGTCCTGGGCCTCGAGGAGCCTGTAGTCCAGTAGAGAATCTGGGAACTTAGATAACCTGCAGTACAATACAGATAAACACACATATGGAAGTGTTTAGGCCATCTTTCTTCAAATGTAAGGGTTTTGCTTGAAAATACAGCCTTTTGATTTAAAAGGTCATCAGAAAAATAGGTGAGAAGAGCTAAGAAAATTTTGGAAAAGAGAAAACTGAGGAAGGATTTATACTATCTGATATTGGAAAATTTTGTAAAAACTAAGAATGAGAGCACTGTGTTATCGGATGAATGGACAATCAGTGAAATAGACAGAAAACCCAAAGCAGGTGCAAGCCCACTTCCTCACTCATTTATTATTTCACTCAGCTCCCTGCGTGCCAGGCACTAAATTCTGAGCACTGAGGGAAAGCAGTGAACAAAAAAGAAAAAAGAATTTCTGTTCCAAGTGAGGAGAGAGACGAACATGTGAAAATTATAGTATGTGCAATGGTACAGGAATGCTGGTGAGGGCCAGGAATGGCTGGAGGTGTAAAGAGGTAGCCAGGTAAGGCCTTTTGAAGAAGATAATATTTGAGTCAAGACCTGAGGGGGTGAAAGAATGAGCCATGTCAATGTCAGGGGAAGAGCATTCTACAGAGCAGTCAGCTCGTGCAAAGGCCCTAGGGCAGGAGTAGGCCTGGTGAGTTGGAGAAACAGCCAGGAGGGCCATGTGTCTGCAGTAGAATTTGAAGCAGAAAGTAGTTCAGTTCAAGGCACATTTGCTACTTGCCTGCCTAGAGTCCGGCACTGTCCTAGGCCCAAGGGATTCAAATACAATCCAATGGGGAAGACAGTCACAGATCAAAGTAATTCAGTAGTTGGGAGGTTCTGATTTAGAGGAAAGGCAAGGGTAGGTAGAAGGAGGAGACACTGGGAGGTTTCCTGGAGAGATGGCCCAGGGTTGAGTCCAAGTCTTACCTTTCTCATTGAAATGATGCTCCAGGGTCCAAAGCCAATGAGAAGCTCACAGCTAATGCAGAGCAGCGGCCGCTCTGGAAGCAGCCTAGTGTCCCCGTTCAGCAGCGCCACAGCTGCGCTCCCGCCAAGTCTGAATCTGACCACACCTGCTTCCACCTCCCAGGATGCCAGCCAGTGCCAGCCCAGCCCAGACTTCAGCCATGATCGGCAGCTCAGGTACGAGACTGCCCTTGTTTAAAGGATAACCCAGGCATCATTTTACCCCATTCATTTCAGCTCTACTTTCTGCTTTAGACGGAGGCAGAGTTCAGACAGATTCTAAAGTGTCCACAGTTGATCTCAGCTAAGGAAGCAGAGGACAGGGCTTGGGATCCTGAGGTCCAGGGGAGGTTACCCGCTGCGTCCATCATCCTCAGAGAATGAAGCCAGGAGAGTGGGGATTAGAGTCAACCATAAAGGGTCCAGCCAGGCTGAGCAAGTGCTGCCACGACCAGTGGGTCTGTGGTTCAGGTGCTGATCAGTTTCCTATTTCCCCACCTCTGCTTAAAGGCTGTTGCTGAGCCAGCCCATCCAGCCCATGATGCCCGGGTCCTGTGACGCAAGGCAGCCCTCGGAAGTCAGCAGGACGGGACGGCAAGTCAAGTACGTGGACCCTGGCGGGAGGCAGGAGGCAAGCGCTGGTGGAATGGTTCCAGGCTGGCCAGACTCACCCGCCTGGGCCAGCAGCACTCACATGAGCCTTGCGCTAAAGGCAAGGTCTGAGTGTGCCCACAGCTGTGAAGGGGACGCTGCCCCTCAGCTTTTCTTCTACCGTGTCCCAATTAAGCAGAAAAAACTCAGCGCTCCATGCTTACAGCAGCACTGAATGAAACAATTCACACCCCACCGTTTGCCATCATCTTCCGACTTCCTTACACCTGTAAAGCCCTCTAAAGCCCTCACCCCTGGAGACATCCCCCTTCCCAAGGACCCTCCCCCAGGCTCCAGCTGACATGCCGCAGGCACACTTGGTGCTCCGTGCTTCTGGCACCGTGCTCGGGCCCGTCTCTCCCAGACAAGCAGCCCCCTCTCTGCCTTCCCCAGCCTCCTCTCCACTAGCACCGGTAGGACCAGAAGCAGCTTTACTCAGCTACTTAATTACTAGGGACAACGGTTACTGGAGACACGGGGAATAGTTTAAAAGCTGCTGGAAAACAGTTTCTAGCCCTTGGGAATGAGGCAGAAATAGAGCTATCACACAGACATCTCCTTCATGTTAACACTGGTTGACTTTGTGTCCAGAACTAACCAGGACAGTGCTAGCCGATCAGGCCTGGGATGCCCTCATGTAGAAGCCTCGCAGGCACCCCCAGGCCCCTCTCCCTAGAAGTCCTTCTTCTGTGCCCTCCTTCAGCCAGGACAGAGAGTAACGGCAGATGGTTACTGCCTTTCTGAGGGTCAGGGTCTGTATGTTCATTATTTAATTTTATCCCGATAAAAACCCTAGGGTGTAGGCACATGCTCGGTCTTTTTTTGTTTGTTTGTTTGTTTTTTAAACCAGTGAAGAGGCTGGGCTTTAAAGGGGTTAGATTACATTCTCGAAGGCCACACAGTGCAGATGGTGGGGCTGGAGGCCAGCTAACTCCAGGCCACGGGCCCCTTGGGCTCCCTGAATCTTCAAAGTCCACCTTGTTGGCCCTGTCTGGGGTCTCCCTATGCCTCAGGATAACTTTCTAGGCAGCCTCTGCCCCTGAGACTTTCTGGCCCTCCCTTTGGTCACAGGAGGGTAAGGAGGGACCTGCAGGTTGTGGGGAGCCATCTGTAAAGTTCCGTTCATGTCTATCATTAGGTGGGAGGAAGTGGGCTGGTTTTGCTTCTGGATTTTACCTGTTCTTCCTAAATGATCCAAATAAGTGGAAATAGGCTGGGCGCAGTGGCTCATGCCTGTAATCCCAACACTTTGGGAGGCCAAGGCGGGCGGATCACCTGAGGTCAGAAGTTCAAGACCAGTCTGGCCAACATGGTGAAACCCCCATCTCTACTAAAAATACAAAAATTAGCCGGGTGTGGTGGCACGTGCCTGTAATCCCAGCTACTCAGGAGGCTGAGGCAGGAGAATCACTTGAACTTCAGTGCTCTGTTGGTGGGAACTGTCCAGTGCTGCAGCCACTGTGTTAAATGTCGGCTCTGTGTCCCCACCAAAATCTCTTGTTGAATTGTAATCCCTAGTGTTGGAGGTGTGGCCTGGTGGGAGGTGATTGATCATGGGTGGGGACTTCCCCCTTGCTATTCTTGTGATAGAGTTCTCCCTAGATCTGTTTGTTTAAAAGTGTGTAGCCCCTCCCCCTCGTTCTCGATCTCCTCCCGGCCATGTGAAGTTACTTCCTGGTTTTTTGATAATCACCATTGTAATGAGTGTGAAGGGACATCTCATTTTGGTTTTGATCTGCTTTGCCCTAATGGAATGGCTACTGATGCTGAGTATGTTTTCATGTGTGTGTTGGCCATTTCCAGGTTCTCTTTGGAGAAATGTCAGCCCCAATGCCCATTTTTTGATTGGGTTGTGTGGGTGTCTTGTTGTGGAGTTGTAGGCATTCTTTATATATTCTGTTATCGGTCTCTTATTAGATATGTGATGTGCAAATATCTTCCCCTACTCTGTGGGCTGCCTTTTCCCTCTGTTGATAGTGTTGATAGTGTCTTTTGATGGACAAAAGTTTCTTTTTTTTTTTTGCTTTGAGACGGAGTCTCACTCTGTCGCCCAGGCTGGAGTGCAGTGGTGTGATCTCGGCTCACTACAGTCTCCACCTCCCGGGTTCAAGCTATTCTCCTGCCTCAGCCTCCCAAGTAGCTGGGACTACAGGTGCCCAACATGACACCTGGCTAATTTTTATTTATATTTTTAGTAGAGACGGGGGTTTCACCATATTGGCCAGGCTGATCTCGATCTCCTGACCTTGTGATCCGCCTGCCTCGGCCTCCCAAAGTGCTGGGATTACAGGCATGAGCCACCGCGCCTGGCCAAAAGTTTCTTATGAAGTCCAACTTATTTGTTTTTTCTTTGTTGCTCGTGCTTTTGGTGTCGTATCAATACTGCTTTCTTAAAGGACCTGTTTTCTCCTTCCCACGTGAAACAGGTACGCCCAGAGCCAGACCGTGTTTCAAAATCCAGACGCACACCCCGCCAACAGCAGCAGCGCCCCGATGCCCGTCCTGCTGATGGGGCAGGCGGTGCTCCACCCCAGCTTCCCTGCCTCCCAACCATCGCCCCTGCAGCCTGCACAGGCCCGGCAGCAGCCACCGCAGCACTACCTGCAGGTGGGTGCCACGGCCCAGGGGGCCCCCGTGCAGGCCTGGGAGCCGGGCCACGCTCCACACCCGAAGTCTCAGAGATATTTTATTCCCTTGCTTTCAAGGTTGTTCTATCCCTAGTATAGAAGTAAGCCCCAGAAAGATTGTTATTTGATTGTTTTTCATGCTTAAAGTTTATGAAGTCTATGTCTACAGAGTACATGAAATTACGAGTCGGCTATTATGCCTTATGTGGTTATGTGCTAAAAAGGTTCTTTTTTAAAAAAGTAGTTTCTACTCAAGGATTTGCATCTTGATATGTTCACAGTTTTTAGAGCAAAAGTCGAAAAACATTGATGACTATGTTGGACTTTTCAGTGTGTTTATAAAGTCCTATATAAACATAAAGTTAAATCACATTTAGTTAAAGATCCATTAACCTGCCTTCATAAATACAGTGATGTGTGAAATTGGGCTTGCCAGGAAAATTTGGAGCTCATTTACATGTGGTCACTACTTCGAAGGCAAAAATTACTTCAAGCAAGTGCCAAGTATGTCAAAAGCAGGGAGGGTGAGAGCCACTGGTCCGCAGGTTCACGTGGGAGCCACACGTCTGCGTCTGCCAAGCTGCAGAAGGGCCTGGCCTTCCCTCACCCATGTGCAGGGTGCCCCTCTTCACCCCAGCCCTTCCCTGTCCTGGGGGGGCTTCCTCCCTGGCCTGCAGCCCCACCTGCACCTGCAAAGCCATGGAGAATGAGCAGTAGCTGAGACCTCTTGAGTACTGTAGATAGTGATGAAGATAGCTGTCCTTGAAGTTCTAGAACGTAATTTAATTCCAGTGCCGCTAAGCCATCTGTGCTATAATTTTCAGATCTCCCTGACCCCACACATAGTGGGAGTCAACTCAGACTTTGGCTTTGCAGATCTTGTCAGTTCTCGAGACCCAGAAGTGATTTTGGATGGGAAATGAGCAACAGACAAGTTTGCATGCACCTGTTGCAGACAAGATGCAGGCTATGAATACAGAGAGCGCTTCGGCCCACTCACTGCCCTTAGGGGCTTGGGGTGGGGTGCAGAGAGGTGGGTTAGCACAGAATGCAGTCAGGCTCGGATTTGGGAACAGTGGGAGTGCTGTGGTGGGGAAGCCTTTGTGGAGGAAGGGACTTGAGGAGAGGGAGGGCTCAGAAGGCACCCACTGCAGAGTCTGATGTCCAGGAAATGCCCGAAATGTGGGTGAGGGTGAAGATAAAGGGACAGTGTTCCAGCCAGACAGCCTGAGCAAAAGTTCAGGGCAGCTGTGCCTGGGCAGCTTTGAGAGCAGGGGGGTGCTGGGTTACTTGCAGGAGGAGATTTCATGGAAGGGAATAGTGGGTGATAAGACTGAAGTTTCCAAAGTCAGGCTTTGGTCAGTCAAAGCTTCTAAACTTCCAATCAAGATGCTCCTAGTAGGTGCTGGTGAATCTGGAGGTAGCTACGGGATCAGGGACCAGCAGTGAAAAGTGTACAAACTGTATGTGTGTTTGGATTCTGCCCTGTCAACTACCTGCATGTGGCCTCAGGTTCCATCATCCAAAAACATTGTGGCTACATGTAGATCATGTGCACGTGTTTACGAAACCATTCCCCATAGCCATAGCCACAGGCCTCAGTCGATTGGGCCAGAAGGTGCCCCCACTATTGGCGGAGAACTTAGCTTCAGAATTCACCCTAAGGTTCCCTTAGTCCCCATCCCCACCACACCCCCAGGTCTTGCCAGAGCCACCTCTCCCCACATGACCCCCCAAGAAAGACAGCCCTGTAGTCTAACTCAACCTGCAGCATGCCCCGCACTGCCTTGTAAGACAGTTGAGGAGCGGACATCAGAACCACCTCTGAAGCCCTTTGTTCTTTTTTTTCTAGGTACAGGCACCAACCTCTTTGCACAGTGAGCAGCAGGACTCGCTACTTCTCTCCACCTACTCACAACAGCCAGGGACCCTGGGCTACCCCCAACCACCCCCAGCACAGCCCCAGCCCCTACGTCCTCCCCGAAGGGTCAGCAGTCTGTCTGAGTCGTCAGGCCTCCAGCAGCCGCCCCGATAATGCCCCGGCACTGAAGTCGGGACACAATCAGCTTTAACCAATGGATGAGGGGGGTGGCCACAGGAGATGGGGAGAGGAGTCTGAACTAAACCCCTGGCTTTTGTGCACACTGCATACGTTTCAGAACTCCTGGATGGTAACCATCTCTGGAGTGCAGCGCTTGCTGCAGTGGAAATGATCAGGAATACTGACCGTGTTTCTCTTGCCTCCGAGGTTCTTGGGCACACTCTATAGCCATACTGGACAGGAACCAGGTGCCCCGTGTAGGCATCGTCGGTCGGTTTGCCGTCAGAGATGGCGCATCTCGCTGCATCCCCCGAGAGTACACCGGTTGCTCTAGCCACCTGCGGCCCGCCCATCTGCGCTAGCTGGCCTTCACGCTCTTGATCGTCTTTCCTTTGTATTGGAGAAGGACTGGGTCAGAGATCTGTTGGAGAGAGAGAATAAAGAGATTATTTTTCATTATTTTTAAATGGTTGTTTTTGTTTTAATTTGCACAGCTACACAGAGGAAATAACTTAGGCACTTTCTGTTTTTTTTAAAAAAATAATAAGGTCTCATGGCTTCATTTAGAGACCACAGTAACAACAGCAGCCCACCAATCAGAGAAGCTGGTTGTTATTAACCAAGCTACAGATTCACACTTTCTGGCCTAAACCCTAATGGGATGAGGCTTTTCACCCCAGGCCATGCTGGTGGTGATTTTTTAGCCCCTAAATAAAACACTGGACTATTTCCTGTTTACTTCATTGATTGCAACTACAAAGGTGGACTCAAAGCAAAGCACAATCATGCCAGCCAACATTCCAGAATTCTGCTGAGAACTCCAAGTCTGTGAGGGGAGAGGTTTTACAAGCCAGACAGGCCTGGGGGACTGCAGTCCCCAAGGAGACCCTGCCACATGCTGGCCCTTTGAGTGAGAATGCTGCATCTTTCTACATATCTTCATGAGAATACTGAGAATTGGATTTTCCTTTTCAAAATGCACTTTGCTTTTTTTGTATGTTTTGTTATGTTGAGATGTTTCTAAAGAAAAGATTTTATGTAATTATAAGATGAAGCGTAGTGAATTGTACAGCTGTTGTAATAATGACCTATTTCTATATAAAATAAAATTGTATGGCTTATGTGTAAATTATTTTGTATCTGAGATACCAGTTCCTTTTCCCAAATATAAAAGTATAAAAGTTTTCTTGTGTTTTTCTGTGAGTGAAAATTTTGTAATAAATTAACAAATTTGTACAATTTCCTCTGTCCCTTGTTATACATCCCTGCATACATCTTTTCACCAGTAATTCTTTTTTTCTAATTTCAAGATGTTTGAAGGATAATCAAAGATACGGAAAAGATGAAAGCAAGCCATCAGCTTTTTGAGCTGCAATATGTGCATCGGCCTATCAGGTTCTGATCTTTGTGTTAAAGTTTGTGCCCGAAAAACAAATGGTTTACTGTAGAAGTGACAGCAAAACAAAACAGAAAAAGTTTCTGGAAACATCTCAATCTTTTTTTTGTTTGTTTGTTTTGAGACAGCGTCTCTCTCTCTCTTGCCCAGCCTGGAGTGCAGTGGCACAATCTCGGCTCAATGTAAACTGTGCCTCCTGGTTCAAGTGATTCTCCTGCCTCAGCCTCCCGAGTAACTGGGATTACAGGCACCCACCACCATACCCCACTAATTTTTGTGTTTTTAGTAGAGACGGGGTTTCGCCATATTGGCCAGGCTGGTCTCGAACTCCTGACCTCAAGTGATCAGCCCACCTCGGCCTGCCAAAGTGCTAGGATTACAGGTGTGAGCCACCACACCCAGCCAACATCTCAGTCTTGACACAGGTAAAATCCATGGAGGTGACCAAGACATTCTCCACCAAAGCATTCATTTATAGCCCATCATTAAACTCAGCCTGGAATTACATGGGGTTTCGCCACCAACACTTAGATATCAGTGATGTGGGCAGCGTATGTGTGTCTCCATATAAGATGTGTGCACATATGCCACGTTGAGGGTGGGGGCATAGCCGCAGCATCTAGAAGATTTCTGCCAACTACAGACAGCCACCCCATCATGAGGCTTCATGGGCTGAAGGAGGGTACCCTGGAGTACTGTGGTTGAGAACCACTGCAACGGCAATGCCCCTTCCAAAAGCATTGGCCCAAGAGAGCAAAGTTCCTTTCCCTGCTGCATTGCTATGGCTCTCTGCTCCTACTCCTCCCATGTAGAATGGGGATGGCTCTTCCCAGTTCTATGACTAGGATCAGTTTTGGATGGCATGAGAGGGTGCCATATAAATACATCCAAAAAGTTTTATTACTCACACAATTGTTCTATTCCTGAGAAAAAGGTAAGTGAAAATATTTTGCACGTACTAAAACACTAACTCTTTAAAGGAACCAGAAATGAACCCCCTTCTTAAAAATGCTTTGTGAAACTGGATTAACTATTTTTAAATGTTTTATAAATTCAAAGGTTTCTAGATCTGATTTGCCTGTAATAGAATTTGTAATTTAATTTGCTGTCAGCATTTTTTTAAGCAGAACAAGATTTTTAATGGACAGCATATTTATTGTCCTAGGATTTTCTAGCTGGAAGTCATTAAAAAAGGGCAGAGTGTGCCTTGCTACTAATTTGATTTAGCTTTGCTTAAATCTTACACTTGTTCAGAATTTGGATAAACTCAGAAAACGCGTGTAATATTTCTTTAAACCCACATGCGTCATGGGAAGTTTAATCCCTAAACTTTTGATTCATTAAAGTTTGCTCATTAAAAGGCTATTTTGCAACCCTGTCCTATTTCCAGAAAAACCATGACCTTTCTGTTTGTAAAACTATAAAGTCTTGGCTCATGTGAAATGACTGAAACGCGAACCCAAGTACACTAAGTTTATGATCTTTTCAACTAACTCAGTTTACTGTCTCTAATTCAACTAAAATTCATTACATTAATTTTAAAATGTTGTTTGTGCATGCGACATGGGGAACTAGCCAACTGTTCTAAGCCATGACATTTTACACTCTTGTCTAAATTATCTGGTAAAATTTGTTTTGGTACAAGACTGCTTTGGTTTCTCTCTTTACTTAGTGTAGGTACAGCCTGAAGGTCTCCAAGTCTGCCATTAATGTCCCAGATAAATAACTAATTTGGATCCTCTAGAGATACCTGTTAGCAGCTTTTTGGGCAGACATGCATTAATTTCACACTATGCATACAAACAGCTTTATTTTTCTGGCAAAAAAAGCTCACTGGAAACACAAAACAACTCTCGTAGGATTTTTCCCTAACCACACTTAGGCACATCTATGATATTGATTCCTTTTTAAAATTACAATTATCTTTTTTATATTTCGTGTTTTATTTTAAGCATGAAGTTAGGAACTCATGGCCTTTTATGGACTCAACTTTTCTAATTGACCATTGTTATTTATTTCATGCTCAAATTGGTACAACCCGGCCAGTGAGAGCCAGCTCCTGTGTTTGGCTCTTTTCTCTTTTTAGCATTGCCCATCAGAAATCAGATTCCAGATTTCCTTCTGGGAACAACACAATCAAGGCCCATACTGATTTATTTATTTATTTTATTTTTCCTCTCTCAAAGCATGCAGGCGACTACCCTCCAAGGAGTCCTGATTCCTTTTAATTAAAAAAAAGAGATTAAAATCTGGACACCTAGAGTAAGACTAAGAGCTGGTATTGGGTCAAGCGCTGCCTCTGTTGCTGTTATTGGGTCATCCTGTTGTGATGGAGCTGAAAACATTTTCAGTCATGAAATCACATTGATTTCTGCAATGTAATATATATTATACCGTAGTCTACTTTTCTAATGTGATTTTGTTCAGCACTTTCTCCTAAACTGACATTCCATATGAAGTCAGTTATGAACTGTTGATTTTAATTTCAAATACTTCTTGTGCCATTCCTCTCCTTTCTGTCACATTAGTTGCTGCCTCATTTGGGCCCCATTTAGGCTGGGTCACAGAAACAGCCTCCACACTGACCTCCCAGGCCTGGTCTACCCATACTACCTCTTTAGCACCTCTTCACCACCACGCCTCTTTCCTTGTAAAAATCTTTCGGTGGCGCTTCTTGGGAAGTCCCATTGGACCTTCCTGGAGCTCAGTCCAGGATGAAACTGCCAAGGAGGACTCCTTTAGCCCCTTAGGTTTGTTGCCCCTAAAGCTGGTGGACAGGAATGCAACCTGTCTACTTTCTTGCTGCCCCGACAGGGAAACATTCAGATCTTGTTTCATTTTATGGATTCTCTGCTCATCAGTAAAAGTAAAAAGACGTGAGTGATTAGCCCAGCTAACAAACACCAGAGAGTTACAAAGTTCCTATTATATGGTTCTGGTCTCTTCCAGGCCCAGTAGTCACTGGCCTGGTCCCTGGGGCGTGGGAGGGAAACAGAAGCTGGAAGAGTCTGCAGAGCCCCAGGCAGGCAAATGATTTTCAGTCCTCAAACCTAACAGTCTTTATTATATGTCTGTTCAACCTTTATGTAAGGCAGGAGAGTTGACATCTTAGGGGGATGTTTTGTAGATTCCCACTGGAAGGATCTATTTATTTCAACAAGTGGTAGGATCTACTCACATTTCGTCAGTTATACGGAAACTTGAGTCAGCTGGCACCAGACTTCTTTCTGATTTATTACAGTAACACTTTTACTACCTCTAATGGATGGTACCCTAGAAAGCTGTCCCTTAATCCCTCTCTAGGTGCTGGGAGCCAGATAGAAGGGGCAAGATCACATCTTCAGAGTGTGATTGCAGGGAGTCAGGATCAGAACAATGATCCCAAAAGGGCCATGGGGTATGAAAGGCCTGAGGCAGGCTTTAGGGTGCCTGAGCATGAGGAAGAGGAGGCAGAAAGGAGATGAGAGCAAGCATCATTTGGTTGAAACAAATTGTGCCAGCCCCTCTTCTTCTTTGTTAACAGAACCCCACTTCTGTGCATTAAAAGCAACGTGTCTATCTTGTAATCCTAGCACTTTGGGAGGCCGAGGCGGGCGGATCACGAGGTCAGGAGATCAAGACCATCCTGGCTAACACGGTGAAACCCTGTCTCTACTAAAAATACAAAAAATTAGCCGGGTGTAGTGGCGGGCGCCTGTAGTCCCAGCTACTCAGGAGGCTGAGGCAGAAGAATGGCGTGAACTCGGCAGGCGGAGCTTGCAGTGAGCCGAGATCGCGCCACTGCACTCCAGCCTGGGCAACAGAGCGAGACTCCGTCTCAAAAAACAACAACAACAACAAAAGCAATGTGTTTAGCCCAGGCCACAAAATACACAACCCATCATTAGGCCAAGGTAATCGTGACAATCCCATTTGCTTTTGGCAGGCATGTGCTCTCCCAGCCTAACTGAAATGGAGTCCCTAGTCCTAACCAATGACAGGCAGAAATCTACTGGAGGTTTCTGGAAAGGCCTTTGGAGTCTGATAAGAGACATGGGGGGAGGCTTCCTTGTCCACCACCATCTCTTGCCTTTGAGGACTGCTGGGATACCTAGAAGTGCAACATCTACCCTGATACAGGATGCAAAGATTCCTCATGAGATCAGAGTCCCTGTTCCAGCCCTGAAATTGCCTGCCTCCAGTCTCGTCTGTGAGGTCTTGAAACATGTCCATTGCTGAAAACCCTGTTAGTAGGTTAGGGGTGACTTGGTCCGGGCATTTTCCCATTCACCAAAGTGCCAGGCATTAAGTGGGCCCTTTCAACTTGGAACATCAAGCTCCTTCGTTCTGGGAAATTTCCTTAAATTCAAGGTACCATCGTCATGAAATTTCTGAACTTTAAAGAGAAGATCCTAAAATCTTTCAGAGAGAAAAAAATGACGCATCACTTCTCACCACACTGAAAAACTGAAGACAATGAAGCCTGCCTTCAAAATGCTGGGGAGAAATTCTTTTCAATCTAGAATTCCATACAAGCCAGAATTTAAATTTGAGGGTTGAATAAATACTCAGGTATTTGAGGGCTCATAAACTTTTTAGCTAGTGTACTCATCTTAAGAAACCACTAAAAATGGTGTGCTCCTGTGAAAGAAGGGAGTTCGACAAGAAAAAGGAAGACATGGGTCCATAGATCCAACTGTCTCCGAATCTCTAGACTGGTGACACGCAGTTCCCAGTTCTCTGGGGACCTCCTCAGATCTCCCTGTCGTGTCATCTCACATCTGTCATCTCTCAGGTCATATCCAACACACTGGGCCACCCACGCACAGGGACGACGCGACAGCCCTGTGGCTCCACCGCACAGGACAGCCACGACTGGCAATCCTGTGCCGGCCCTGCTCGACGCAAGCACCTCCAGCGCCGGGTTGCGTCTTAGTGACCCTGGGACCGCCAGCCAGGCACCGCGCCCGACGCAGGCTCAGTCAGTGTTGGTCGGATGCATGAATGAATGGGAAAAACGAAGTCTCTCTCTCCCTGGCCCTGCTCCCATACATCTGTAGGCCTAGGTCTTGGTTTTATCCGAAGACTTAGAGAAGGGACGCAAGTTCCTTCGCGGAGCCAGAAGGAATCCGTCGAGAAGCGGGACCTCAAGCTCGCGGCCCAAAAGCGCGGCCCCGCCACGACGCCTGCTAGCTGGCCCCACTTCGGCGCGCGCCGCTTACATCATAGCTCGCCTCTCCCCTTCCCTAGCCACACCCCCTTGCCTGGCGACCCGGAAGTTGTACTTGCAACTGCGGCTTTCCTTCTCCCACAATCCTTCGCGCTCTTCCTTTCCAACTTGGACGCTGCAGAGTGAGTATGGGTGGCGGAGTCTGGGCTCCTGGAATCCAGCCCCATCCTCCTTTGGGATTGTGCTAACTGGGACCGCAAAATCTCTCCCGAGCCAGCCCGGGGCTCCGGTTGTGGGGAGATGGGAATACACCCTGCTTTTAAAGGCTCCCAGAGCCTGAGGAAGAAAGTGACCAGGCTTAGGGGAGCCGGAGCGGCAGGGATTTCCGGGTCGGAGGCATCTGAGGGGCGCAGGGGCGCGGGTGCGTGGGCCACTGGGTGACCGACTTAGCCTGGCCAGACTCTCAGCACCTGGAAGCGCCCCGAGAGTGACAGCGTGAGGCTGGGAGGGAGGACTTGGCTTGAGCTTGTTAAACTCTGCTCTGAGCCTCCTTGTCGCCTGCATTTAGATGGCTCCCGCAAAGAAGGGTGGCGAGAAGAAAAAGGGCCGTTCTGCCATCAACGAAGTGGTAACCCGAGAATACACCATCAACATTCACAAGCGCATCCATGGAGTGTGAGTATCCCTCTAGCCGCCCTGGGTCTCGAACTCACGCGTCTGGTTGTTACCGAGAGATGTGCCGAATCACCTCCACCCCAATCTTTTCCTCTTGTGGCCTTCCCTGTTTCATTCATTGGCAATTTAACAAATCCTGTGGGCTCTACCCTCCGAATACATTCACAGTCTGACCAGCTGCATTGGTCTTTCTGACCGCCCCCATTATTCTTTCTTAGCCGAATGCGGACAGCAGCAGCTCCCTACTCCTGTTCCCTTCCCTACCCAAACATGCGTGGTCTATTCTCAGATCCTCCATCGGCCTTCTATCTTAGGTTAGAAATCAAGAGTTCTTGCCATGATCCCACATTGGCTGACCCGCTTAATCATACCGGGCATGCTTTTGTTTCAAAGTAGCTACTTTGTTGAATTTTTACCCTTTTTTTCCCTATGCCTGAATGTTTTTTCCACAAATAAATGCTTCGTTGCCTTCAGACTTTGAGTCCAATATCACCCTGGCCATCTGTTTTGTTTTGTTTTGTTTGAGACGGAGTCTTGCTCTGTCTCCAGCCTGGAATGCAGTGGCGCGCTCTCGGCTCACTGCAACCTCCGCCTCCCGAGTAGCTGGGATTACCGGACCCCGCCACCACACCTGGCCCACCTTGGCCGTCTTATAGAAACTTGCAGTCCCCTTCCCTAATGCTTTATTTTCCCTGGTTTGTCTTTCTCTGTAGTACTAGATACCATCTGATGTACTCAATAGGTTGCTTACATAAGCTGTGTGAAGAACAAGGGATTGCCAGCTGCTGTTATTTCTAGTACCGTTTACTTCTGGATGTTTTAAGTATTTAAGTGAAGTGAGCTTGCTTGATGGGTTCATAGCGCTAACTACTGCCATTCATCATACTCAAGAAGCGACCTGCCTGCACACTTCAGGCCCCTGCTCTTTAAGCATAGATGAAGTCAATAGCATTGAATGATCTGTTCCAAAAACATGTCCTGTCTTAAGACATGACATTTAATCAAATTTAGTATTTTGATTGAGGACTTCAGAAAGTGGATTATGCATCTTCTTGTCCTAAGTGTTATGCTAATTGCTGGGCATTGCACACTGGTGGGAAAAAAGGATTGTTACTGCCTAGTTTAAGGGTTGGTTTAGGCTGGTTTTAGGAGGACATACCATCTACAGTAAGTCTTCACTGAGCTTTAAGCACACTGGCCTACTGTATGCTGTAAAAACTTGGTTTTGTTACATAAGACATTGCTTAAAGTCAGTTTCCAGGAGCCTATCATCGACATTGAGGATTTCTCACATGTACCTAATTTAGTTTTGTGCTCCTTTAATTTGTTCACTTATGTTTGAATCGTAGGGGCTTCAAGAAGCGTGCACCTCGGGCACTCAAAGAGATTCGGAAATTTGCCATGAAGGAGATGGGAACTCCAGATGTGCGCATTGACACCAGGCTCAACAAAGCTGTCTGGGCCAAAGGAATAAGGTGCTAAAGTTATCTGTATTCGAAGGTGAACTTTTGCAATGACACCAGCTTCACTTAACCCTGCAAGAGCCCATATCAGTTCAGTAATTTGGTTAATGCATGTGGAAGTATAAAAAAAAAAAATACTGTGACCGTGACTTAGGGTGTGTAGTATCTGCAGGGAAGCCCCTTAATTTAGTGGCTTATGAACTGAGACCCAAGGGAAGGAGCCAGCAGTGTAGGGTGGGAAAGAGCATTGCAGAGAGAGGAAGCTTGGCAGGATCTGGGAGCGGGGTGGTGAACGCAGGTAAAGTGGAATAAATCACTGTGAGCCCAGTGGAGGAGGGAGGGGTGAGGGTCGCTCTAGACATCATGGCAAGTCCACCAGGAGAGAAGTGGTTCTTGGCCTGCGGCAGTTTTACCTGTCCTTCCCGGGGTTGTGGCGGGGGTGGGGGGCAGTGTTTTTTGTCACTACTGAGGGATACTGTGGGCCAGGGACTACTAAACATCCTACAACTCATGGGGCTGCTCCCTCAACAAAAAATTGCCTAGCTCAGATGTTAGTTCTCATGTTGGGGGACCCTGCTCTAAAGTGGAACCAGAAAGCAGGGGAGGCTTGTGCTGTAAAGGACGTCATGAGGTGCCAGAACAGAAGTGGAGTGAGGGGCAGCTAGAGGAATGATGACAGTGTGGACTAGTTGATTCTGGAAACGGGTTGGGGGAGGACTGTCTGCATCTGTGTGGTATTTAAACCTTAGGATTAAGTGAGATGAACAAGACAGGGACCTGAGACCTAGCTCTTCTGTGGGTGGACATTGAAGGGTGCAGCAGGAGAGGTGTCCTCCGATGCCTGCCTTGGGATAAGAGGAATGGGATTACAGGAGCCAAGAGAAGTCCTGAGTTTATAGGAATCGGGGCCTAGAACAATACCCGGCATCGATAGAGGAAAGAGAATCAGCTGTGATGCTACGGAGAGGGTAAGACAGGACAAGGGGATTGCATGTGGAAGATAGAGAAATAGAGTATGCGCCTGTGGCAGAGTTTTTAACACTGTTTTTTGTTCGTTTTGAGATGGAGTTAATGTTGCCCAGGCTGGAGCGCAATGGCGTAGTCTCAGCTCACTGCAACCTCCACCTCCTGGGTTCCAGCTATTTTCCTGCCTCAGCCTCCCAAGTAGCTGGGATTACAGGCAGCCGCCACCACGCCTGGCTCTTAGTTTTGCATTTTTAGTAGAGAGGGGTTTTACCATGTTGGCCAGGGTGATCTCGAACTCCTGACCTCAGATGATGCACCCACCTCAGCCTCCCAAAGTGCTGGGGTTACAGGGGCAAGCCACCATGCCGTTTCTTCATATTTTAATGTAACAGAAAAATCACGTAACAAAGTTTCTGGTGATAGACAAAAGACTAACACATTTGGACCATTTGGACCCAGATATCTGCTTAGGATTAACCGGTTGGGTATCAATGGTGGCTACCTTAACATGTCTTCAAACAAGCATCCCTCCTGTGGTAACAGCATTTAATGTTCACCTGGGGGTTATGTTTCATTTTCCAGGGAACTGTAAGTTCTAGGTTGGTCAGAGTAGAGCAAAGGACAGCATTAGAAGCAGGCATATGAGATATGTGAATACAGCTAGTGGCTGCTTGGTTGAAAGGAGGCATTGACTTCAGCAACACAATTATGTTTTTATTAGGAATGTGCCATACCGAATCCGTGTGCGGCTGTCCAGAAAACGTAATGAGGATGAAGATTCACCAAATAAGCTATATACTTTGGTTACCTATGTACCTGTTACCACTTTCAAAAGTAAGTTCTCCATCCCATAAAGCCATTTAAATTCATTAGAAAAATGTCCTTACCTCTTAAAATGTGAATTCATCTGTTAAGCTAGGGGTGACACACGTCATTGTACCCTTTTTAAATTGTTGGTGTGGGAAGATGCTAAAGAATGCAAAACTGATCCATATCTGGGATGTAAAAAGGTTGTGGAAAATAGAATGCCCAGACCCGTCTACAAAAGGTTTTTAGAGTTGAAATATGAAATGTGATGTGGGTATGGAAATTGACTGTTACTTCCTTTACAGATCTACAGACAGTCAATGTGGATGAGAACTAATCGCTGATCGTCAGATCAAATAAAGTTATAAAATTGCCTTCATGTTTTTGTTCTTTTTAGTTGCAACATAATGTACTTGTATACCCTATCCTAATTATGGGATCATTTGAAGAGCTTTTCCCAAATTGATGGCCTGTGCTGCCTTCTCCCCATCCCCTGGGGTTTTAAAGTGATTTCAAACTGCAACCTAGTTTTAGAACCACTGTTCTGGGTAGTTGGGATACTGAAGGCATATTGTTAATTATTCTACTTGTATGTTTTGCTAATTCTAAGATAAGCATTTTTCCAGAAACCAGGATGTAGAATCCAGTTGCCATTGACATCTTAACATTTTAGGAAACAACTTTAAAATGATATACTATCTATCTATCTATCTGTAGCATCTTAAAGGTAATGAAATTAATGTGGCAGTAGGTCTTTTAAGCTTCTGCCTACATCCATATTGAGTATAGTTGTTGTCTTCTAAAATAATTAATTGATTTTTGGTGAGATAACCAGATTCATATTTTAAGCCTTTTGTAATGGCCCCGTGGTACCTGGAGTCAAGGTTCAGAAGTAAAAAGTTCCTTAAGGTATCAATAACAAAAATTTGTATTAATAGTTCAGTCCTAAAGCAGTGTTGCTGAGATTATGTTTCACCAGCATTTACAAGCTGTATGTTAAATGCTGCCATAAAGAGGTCTCTGAAGCCGTAGGGCACACCCAAGGCAGGGCTGAGAAGTACCTAGTAGTGTTGCACCACCCAAAAACCATGGATGGGCAGCAGCAACATCTCCAGCTTACCCATTCACTGCCACAGTCTACAGCTTAAGACACTTAACTACAAGGTAAAAGAAAAGGACCAAGTAAATACAAAAAGTTTCTTATTAAAAAACTTGGAAGCCAACATTGAAAGCATGGTTTGTACACAACAACATTTTTGGAAGGACATATAAAGTGAATACAACCAAATATATTAAAATGGTTTCAATTACCAGCATTGAAACAGTGCAAAAAAAAGCCAAATACAATTGCACAGATAGTGGACTCCCTTAGATCTTGAAAGTGAACTTGATTCCTGACCTCTCCCATTGTCACTCCAAGTGAAAAATGAAAGCATGGGGCTTTTCTTGCTTCTTGGTTAGTATGAGACATTGTGTTCATCTGAGAGCAAAATCAACACTAGCATCACAGCAGAAGTGCCCATTTCAGCAAATCCGGTAAAAATTGTAAGTTGGCATCAAGGGAACCAATGGATACCTTAGGGCACTGACAATTCTCAATACATAGAAATGCTTGAGGGTTGTGTCGGTTCCCCTGGCCACAGTTTGTCAGGTTGTTTAGCCAGATGCCCCATTGGTAAGGTAGACTGAAATCTCGGTTTAGGGCTGACCCCAAGAAACAGTCTGGTTCGTGCTTTGGTATGGTGGACTCCAGTGTGCATAGCAGCTGCTGTCTTGCTACAAGTTACTCAGCTTAAGTTCAGATTGTGATTGGTGGCTCATTTCAAAAGTTTTGAGATTGTACTGATTGATCTTGGCATTTTCAAGTTTGGATTTCATGTCCAGTGGCTTTTCAAAAAAGTTGACTAATGACTGTTCAGTCAGAAGTGAAGCTAAAATATGTTCAAGGGAGACAGTCCAGTCCCTTTCTGCCGCCTCTGGAAATGCCTGGGAGTCCTGGGGCGTCTTCCCAGTGTCTGCAAAAACCGAGTCCTCAGGAGAAGGAGCTGAAGCCCGCAGCTCCTCCCCACACTCCTGGGAGCAGCTTCCAGAGCTGCTGCCTCGCTGCCCCACCTCCCCGATCTGCAGCAGCAGTGTGGTGACTGTGGCGATGGCTTGATACAAATCATTTTCTTCTGGATCTTCATGGAACATACTGTACAGAGTTTTACAGAACTGGATAAATTCTCTCTGAAATTGAAATAAGTCTTAGGTAGCAGCAGAACCAGGGTGGAAGTGTCATTTTTTTTTTTAAACATACCTGTGAGCTTTGAGAAAACGACACAGTATTTTTGAAGACACAGAATATAAGAAAAGGTAGTCTCTGCCTTTCCACTCTAAACTATTAACAGTGGTGATTCCTGGGAATTTCAGCACAGACTTGGAAATGGGTAGACCTTCCTAGAGGATGTGCACACCCTTTAACAAAGCAATTCAAGAAACCACAGCAGGCTGGGCACAGTGGCTCCCGCCTGTAATCCCAGCACTGTGGGAGGCCGAGGCAGGCGGATCACCTGAGGTTGGGAGTCAGACCAGCCCAATCAACATGGAGAAACCCCATCTCTACTAAAAATACAAAATTAGCCAGGCATGGTGACCCATGCCTGCAATCCCAGCTACTTGGGAGGCTGAGGCAGGAGAATCGCTTAAACCCAGGAGGCAAAGGTTGTGGTAGTCAAGATCACACCATTGCACTCCAGCCTGGGCAACAAGAGTAAAACTTTGTCTTAAAAAAAAAAAAATGAAACCACAGCAACGTACAGATTTATCTGTAGGGATCTTTAAGCTAGAGTTTATAATAGGAAAATGCTGGAAACAGCTGAAACGCTATAAAGTTAGGGCATGTTCCTCTGGTGGGAAGGCCATGCAGGACCTAAATGTAAAATGAAATGGAAGAGTGATGCCTGTTGTTTTCTCAGTGTAATCTGAGACACTGCTGCTGAAATTGAGAATACGTAATGTGAGGACAGGTGCTTCAGGTGGAATCTAGCTACACAATTACTCCAAGAATAGAAAAATGGTTGGGTATGGCCGGGTGCGGTGGCTCATGCCTGTAATCCCAGCACTTTGGGAGGCCAAGGCAGGCGGATCACGAGGTCAGGAGATTGAGACCATCCTGGCTAACACCTGGCTAACATGGTGAAACCCTGTCTCTATTAAAAATACAAAAAAAATTAGCCGGGCTTGGTGGCGGGCGCCTGTAGTCCCAGCTACTCGGGAAGCTGAGGCAGGAGAATGGCATGAACTTGGGAGGCGGAGCTTGCAGTGAGCCGAGATCGTGCCACTGCACTCTAGCCTGGGCGACAGAGTGAGACTCTGTCTCCAAAAAAAAAAAAAAAAAGAAAAATGCTTGGGTACTAATATAACAAATATTTATTTGGGGGAAAAGATCCATGGTTATTCTGAAAGGAAACCTGAGTATGAACATGGCCCGTTTTGTTTGAAACATCATCTATAGAAAAAAAAAGGTTATGTGTATCAGAATGTTAATACTGATAGCTCTGAGTGATGAAGTTTAACTCATTTTGATCATATATCCAGAGAGTAGAATGAGCATCTGAGAGCAATTCCCAGCACAGTAGACGAGCAGCATTTCTCAAACATGCTACGAAACACTAATCCCACAAGATGTTTTGTGGTCAAAAGAAAAAAAAGACTGAGAAACTGCATGCTAAATTCTACTCTTGAAGGGTCGTAGTCCACAGCACCAAAATGACTTAAGTCCTATAAAAAAGGAGCTTTTTCTTTTTTTTTTTTGAGATGGAGTCTCGCTCTGTCGCCCAGGCTGGAGTGCAGTGGTGCGATCTCGGCTCACTGCAAGCTCCGCCTCCCGGGTTCATGCCATTCTCCTGCCTCAGCCTCCCGAGTAGCTGGGACTACAGGCGCCCGCCACCACGTCCAGCTAATTTTTTTTTTTGTATTTTTAGTAGAGACGGGGTTTCACCATGTTAGCCAGGATGGTCTCAATCTTCTGACCTCGTAATCCACCCGCCTCGGCCTCCCAAAGTGCTGGGATTACAGACGTGAGCCAAAAAGGAGCATTTTTAACTTTAAGCCTACATTTCCTAAACATTGGGAGGAACCATTTTCAAAATGAAACAAACCATATGGAACCTGAATATGGCACAACCCTTTTCTGGAAGATGCTCAGAAGTTTTAGAGACTCCTCTATCAGTACTGTGTATCATGCAGCCAGTGATTTCCCAGGAAATGGAGCAAGCACAGTATTTTTGAAGGGAAGAATGCTGTATCCACAGTGGCCCCAAATACTTCTACCTCCCAGAGGAATAAATCTGTATCACAACCTGGATAAATGAATTTTATACAAAAACTCCTCAAAGATGTGAAGTGTGTGGCAGCCTCCTGTTTTGAAGCGATTTGAATATCTGAAGTATCTTCAGTTGATCACAATTTAGTATTTCCAATTTAATCACTATGATGTTCCGCTACCTGGACTTTGCAGGTAAAGGGGCCCAAGCTTGATTCTCAGATTAATCATCTGAAAAAACAGTTAATTCTCGGTCGGGCGCGGTGGCTCAAACCTGTAATCCCAGCACTTTAGGAGGCTGAGGTGGGCAGATCACAAGGTGAGAAGTTCAAGACCAGCCTGACCAACATGGTGAAACCCCACCTCTACTAAAAATACAAAAATAGCCAGACGTGGTTGCACACGCCTGTAATCCCAGCTACTCAGGAGGCTGAGGCAGGAGAACTGCTTGAACCCTGGAGGTGGAGGTTGCAGTGGGCTGAGATCGCGCCACTGTACTCCAGCCTGGGCGACAGAGCGAGACTCCATCTCAAAAAAAAAAAAAAAAGTTAATTCTCTGCACTGAAGAAAGTCCATACCTGGCTCATTTTGGGCAATTCTTTCTCAGTTTTATCTTTTTCTTTGGCTAAATCCTTAATCATCTGCTTCAGCTGTTTCTGATAATCAACTGCATCACCTTGAAACAAAGGAAAACAATATGTGGTTTAATTTAAATAAATTCAGTGACAGCAAAAAGGAAACTATGTAGGAGAGAGGAGCAAGGGGGTGAGGAATTCCACTAAGCAAATTCCATACAAAACTGGAAAGCAAGAGATTCCCCTGGAGAGCCAGTGGGTGGTAACTGGGGGACTTCTGCTCTAAGAGGACCCGTGAAACAGCAAACAGGAGGAAGGAACTTGGTGGTGGGGGCAAGGGGCAGCCACCCAGCAACACCCCCACTAGGAGCACTTCTGTCCTCTAAAGGCAGTGAGTTTGGGGATAATTCATTGGACGAAGGGAAAAGACAAGGCTGCTACAAGAAGAGGGATGAGGGCAACCCCGGTGCCTCCCGCCACTGCAGTGGTATGCAGGGGAAAGCAACAATGAAAAGAGGTACGTGCCATTGGGTTTCCCGAAAACCAGGGGTCTCGATGTTGACAACAGAGGATTCCTCAACGGCGACTGGCTGTCTCGGTCATTTTCAGTGAGTGCTTAAAAAAAGATGAGAGGTTTAAATTAAACAAATTTTCTGCCTTACCAAAACTGACAGTAATGTAGCTTTCTAGGCAACTAAAGGCTAAGCCAGCAGCTCCCAGCCTGTGGACTGTAGTTTTTGCAGGGTCCACGAACCCAAATGCACACCAAGCACTGTCTGGATACCCAGAGAAAATAAAATGTCCCCCACACCAAGTGTGCCTTTTCCCAGAGGTATGTGGAGACTGTTGTAATTAACAACATACACATTCATAGAAGGACACTGCTAATACTGATTTGGAAAAAATGTATGTAGTGAAATCCCATTTTGTAAAACTGAAATATATCCATGCACACATAAAGTACTCTAGAAATAAATACACTAAATCTCTGGGTGGTGGAGTAATTGGTAATGATGTTAAACTTTTCAGGATAGTATTTCTCTACAATGAGCACATACTGCTGTACTTACACGATTTCTTTTAAAAGTTGAAGAAAAGCCTTAGTGAATTCAAAGCAGCATCTTAGTATTAGGAGTGTTCTTAAGGATGTTAAAAATAAAACTGTCAGAACCCTCATATATTGACGATGGGAATATAAACTGGCTCAGCCACTTTAGTAAACAGTCTGGCAGTTTTTAAAAAAGTTAAAGTTACCATTTGACTCAGAAATCTCACTTCTACATATACACCCAAGAGAACTGAAAGTGTTCACATGCAAACTTGTACACAGATTGTTCACAGTAGTATTGTTCATAGTAGCCAAAAAAACACCCAAATGTTGAATAAATTGCTGAATAAACAAATCATGGCATACCCATGCAATGGAATATTTGGCCATTAAAAGGAATGAAGCACTGACGCATGCTACAGCATGGATGTGTCTTGAAAACATCATGCTAGGTGAGAGAAGTCGAACATGATACAGCAACTCCATTTATATCAAATGTCCAGGACAGGCAAATCTACAGAAACAGAAAGCTGCCTACGGCTGGGGAAAATGGATACACTGGTAGTGAGAGCTAAAGATATGACATTTATTTTCAGGGTGATGCAATGGTCTAAAATTGATTGTGGTGATCGCTGCACAACTCTGAATATACAAAAAAAAAAAAACCCATTGAATTGTACGCTTTAAACGGGTGACTTGCATGGTGCGTGAAATATATCTCAATAAAGCTGCTACAAAATAACAATTATCGGGGATGACAGGGAAGGTTCCCCATATTTTAAAAAGTTTGGAACTTATTCGTAAACCATTTCACTGAAAATAAATCAAAGGCAAAATTCAGCTGTGATTCAACAAGCTTCCACAAGATGGCAGCAAAGCTTTGGAAAGCTACCCTTACTTTTTCCAACTTTGCCCAAAACGAATTTTGTGCAGTGGCACATGTAAGAATCCACTCAAACTGAACAGGAGGAAAATTGCAAACCGTGAATGGTACCTGGGGCAGTCAGGATGGAAATGGATTTCCCAGAATAGTGCTGGGATGCCAAAGAACTTGGCGTACCACAAAGTAGAAATGTGTATACAAGTCACCAACAAAATGTGATGGGAGCCATAGAAAGGCAGCAATTAATCCAGGGGGTGGGCAAGTGTCCAGAAAGGAGGCAGGTAAAGTATTAACAGTGACAAGGAGCTGAGGGGCCAAACAACTCTCAGAGCAGAGCCTCCCAACCTCTGCCGTCACAGCATATGAAGAGAACGTCACCTGGACATGGAACTCACTGAAAATACTCATTCCACGATCTATTGATGATCAGAAGGATAGGATATTATGCATTATGGGAAATAGTAACTACTAAGAATGCATACAGTCTTTAAAAATCCTTTCAATCTTTTTACATGAGATATTTGGGCTGTTTAAACATGACCTTATTTTTCATTCCTATATATATGTAGCCTGTAATTCAAGCGTCTAAATGGATTGACAGACAATTTCTATTAAAGTGTTCATTGTGTCTCACTTCAAGTACTACCCAAGTTAAAATAAGATAAAGGATTTACATTTGGTCATCTGAAACCCTCATCTCAGACTTCTGTTTGAAGGTAGTAGGTAACTTCATTGCTCCAACAGATACCACCAGCAGGAAGGTCTCTCCTTTATAGCCTTAGGGACCTTCATTACACACTGTACATGGTTTCTATTTTCTATATCATTGTCATTGCCACTGCCATCTTCCTCACTTTCTAAATGGGATGCCTGTGGAGGCGACAAGCCAGTTCCACCATAAGTGTCTTCTCTGTAGTAGAATTCACATATGGCTTTGAACACAATCTGGCCTTCAGATGCAGTTGAGACATTACAGTAATCATCAAAATAATCCCATCTCCACCATGCTTATTTTGCAAAAGCAGTATAGGGCCTTCCTCTCATCCCTCCATAGTGGTTGGAAACAGCAATCAAATTATAGCAGCGAGGCCCTGCGCTTGGATTAATCAGAAATTCCAATACAGCCAAGTCATTGATAGGAAAATCAACTAAGTTATCTAACTTGTTTCTCAAGGATCTACTGTAAGAAAAATCACTTGAGATGCAACAGCTACTGGAGGCAGGGATCATACATCCAATTTCTTAGTGGTGGCTTCTTGACGATTTGGATACCAGGAATCTTTATCACTTAGTTTTCTTTTGTTGAAAAGGGTCTGAGGCAGTCTTTTAATTTCGCAAAAGTTTTTTTTTTTTCAAGGAAGTTTATATTCTATGTTTCCATATTTTTCAAAATCTTCTGTGGCATTTTAACTCAGGATCCCAATCCAAGGCCAGAATAGATCTTTCATCTAGCCCAAGCTGCCCATCATCGAATCAAACATGTCTGGTATCATTTCTGATGTAGCTGATATCAGGACTGCTTAACTGTTAAACTGGAGCTGATATCAGGACTGCGTGTTAAACTGGAATCTAAACTACCATTTTTTGTGCCCTGTGAGATGCTGACCTTTGCAAATTTCATCAACACATCATCCCTTTTCAAAGTCATTGTCTCCTCCAGCTAAATCTTTAGAATGACTGTTTTTTCCCTGAGGGAGGCTCTTAATCCTGGCTGGATTCATCATTTAGCCAATCTGCTTCCATTTCACCTGGTGAGCCTTCTTCCCCTATGCCGTTTGGGCCATTCCCATTATTAGTTTGGTCCTTAGAGCAGTGTAAGCATCCCTCAGTTTCTTGGGTTCCAGCAGATATCTTGACATATTGGCACGTTCTTAAAAGCAAGAGCGTACAGAGTTATCTTCAGTATTGTTTCTTAGCATAGCCGTAAGAAAAGCCTGACCAAAAAGTGAAGAATCAAGATAGTGGGTATAACTTGAGTGCCAAACTTCTCTCTTAGACAACCAGTAGTCACATGCTCTCTATCTTTGGTCCTACTGATGTTAATTTTAAACACCTCCCATTCCATAATGCTTGTAAGGTTTTTCTCCACAGCAAATATTCTGTGAAATCTATTATTTTATAGAGTCATGTGTCAATGAGAGGAATACGTTCTGAGAAATGCATCATTAGGTGATTTTGTCATTGTGCAAACATCATACAGTGGACTTACACGAACCTAGATGCTGTAGCCTACTACACACCTCGCCTATAAAGTCTGTTGTTCCTAGGCTACAAACCTGTACAGCATGTTACTGTCCTGAATACTGTAGGCAGCTGGAACACAATGGTAGCTGTGTATCTAAACTATCTAAATGTAGAAAAGGTGCTATAAAAATATGGTATAAAAGAAAAAAAAATGGTATACCTGTATAGACCACTTACTATGAATGGAGGTTGCAGGGCTGTGGAAGCTGTTCTGGGCAAATCAGTGAGTAGCGAGTGAATATGAAGGCCTAGGACATTACTGCACACTGCCATAGACTTTATAAACACTTAACTGTACTGAGTTCATTTTAAAAATATTCTTCTTCATCTTCAATAATAAATTAACCTCAGCTTACTGTAACTTTTTACTTTATAAACTTTTTGACTCTTTTGTAATAACACTTGCCTTAAAACACAAACACATTGTACAGCTGTGAAAAATATTTCCTTTATATTCTTATTCTATAAACATTTTTCTATCAAAAAAATCTTTTTAACTTTTCTGTTAAAAACCAAGACACCTAAGCCAAAAGAACAAAGCCAGAGGCATCACGCTACGTGACTTCAAACTATACTACAAGGCTACAGTAACCAAAACAGCATGGTACTGGTACCAAAACAGAGATATAGATCAATGGAACAGAACAGAGCCCTCAGAAACAACGCCGCATATCCACAACTACATGATCTTTGACAAACCTGAGAAAAACAAGCAATGGGGAAAGGATTCCCTATTTAATAAATGGTGTTGGGAAAACTGGCTAGCCATATGTAGAAAGCTGAAACTGGATCCCTTCCTTACACCTTATACAAAAATTAATTCAAGATGGATTAAAGACTTAAACGTTAGACCTAAAACCATAAAAACCCTAGAAGAAAACCTAGGCATTACCATTCAGGACATAGGCATGGGCAAGGACTTCATGTCTAAAACACCAAAAGCAATGGCAACAAAAGCCAAAATTGACAAATGGGATCTAATTAAACTAAAGAGCTTCTGCACAGCAAAAGAAACTACCATCAGAGTGAACACGCAATCTTCAAAATGGGAGAAAATTTTCGCAACCTACTCATCTGAGAAAGGGCTAATATCCAGAATCTACAGTGAACTCAAACAAATTTACAAGAAAAAAACAAACAACGCCATCAAAAAGTAGGCAAAGGATATGAACAGACACTTCTCAAAAGAAGACATTTATGCAGCCAAAAGACACATGAAAAAATGCTCATCATCACTGGCCATCAGAGAAATGCAAATCAAAACCACAATGAGATACCATCTCACACCAGTTAGAATGGCAATCATTAAAAAGTCAGGAAACAACAGGTGCTGGAGAGGATGTGGAGAAAAAGGAACACTTTTACACTGTTGGTGGGACTGTAAACTAGTTCAACCCTTGTGGAAGTCAGTGTGGCGATTCCTCAGGGATCTAGAACTAGAAATACCATTTGACCCAGCCATCCCATTACTGGGTATACACCCAAAGGACTATAAATCATGCTGCTATAAAGACACATGCACACGTATGTTTATTGCGGCACTATTCACAATAGCAAAGACTTGGAACCAACCCAAATGTCCAACAAGGATAGACTGGATTAAGAAAATGTGACACATATACACCATGGAATACTATGCAGCCATAAAAAATGATGAGTTCATGTCCTTTGTAGGGACATGGATGAAATTGGAAATCATCATTCTCAGTAAACTATCACAAGGACAAAAAACCAAACATCACATGTTCTCACTCATAGATGGGAATTGAACAATGAGACCACATGGACACATGAAGGGGAACATCACACTCTGGGGACTGGTGTGGGGTTGGGGGGATGGGGGAGGGATAGCATTAGGAGATATACCTAATGCTAAATGACGAGTTAATGGGTGCAGCACACCAGCATGGCACATGTATACATATGTAACTAACCTGCACATTGTGCACATGTACCCTAAAACTTAAAAGTATTAAAAAAAAAAAAAAAAGACAAACACGCACATTAGCCTAGGCCTACACAGGGTCAGGATCGTCAATATCAGTGTCTTCCACGTCCACATCTTGTCCCAACTGAAGGTCTTCATGGGCAATAACACACACAAAGCTGTCCTCTCCTGTGCCTTCTGGAATAGCGCCTGAAGGACCTGCCTGAGGCTGTTTTACAGTTTATTTTTTTTAATAAGTAGAAGGAATGCATGCTAAAATAATGATAAATAGTATAGTAATTACATAAACCAATAACATTCATTATCATTACCCAGTATTAGGTGTTACATGTAATTTTATATGCTATACTTTTATACAACGGCAATAGAGTTGTTTACACCAGCATCATCACAAAAACATCAGTAATGTGTTTTGCTATGGTGTTTACAATGGCTAAGATAGGAATTTTTCAGTCTCGCTGTAATCCTATGGGACCACCATCATACATGCTGTCTATCCTTGCCCAGAACGTCCCTATGTGGCACACAACAGTATATATTTATCAGTACCTACCATCTAATCTGCAGATACCCTTGGCAAAGCAGACCATGCTGTGCAAAGATCTTGTGTATTTCCAATTGTACTACACAGGTTTGGAAAGCAGATCATTCTAACAGATATCCATGGTACATCACTTTATCACAGGCAAGATAGGGTCAAGTGACAAAAAGGATAAGATGTTACCAAAATCTTGACAAGCTCAGGACTTTTTAATATTAGTTTTCATACTAATACTAACAGTGAAGCAGCTACATGCAATTCCCAATTAGGTCTTCAAAACGATGATCTCTTCAAAACAGATTGTCACCATCAGTGAGAAACCGAACAAGAAGAGGAAAGCAAATGGCATTTTCTTCTCTACTTGGTGAAAAGTCATTATAGAGGATTCGAACGGTTCCAATGCTCGCAATTCTACTTCAAGCATGTGCTCATTCTACATATCAACCCCTTTTTCACTGACAAATGTAATGTTGACAATCTAGGCTAATGGGACTAGATTTTGAATCCAATCAACACTTTTTCATATAAAGTTTTCAGAATAACAAAGCTTTCCCTCATTCATACAGATATTGCTGTACTAATCTATAATTATGTTTTAGAATTCAAATTATAACACTGACTAAACATCACTAATGAAACATTTGTGACCTCCTTTTTTCCGAAGTTTAATTTTTGCTTTGAATTCATATTTTATCAGTATGTGTTAATATAATGTCATGTGCTCTTTCAGTTATCAATTAAGTTCATTCAGGTTTTCAACGTTTTAAGTGCTTTTTTTTAAAAAGCCAATAATTACCCTTAACCAACTGCAAATTGGAATTATTCAAAAGGTTTCTCCTTTTAACTCAACTTCTTGACAGAACTCATCCTTTAGACAGCAGATGTACTTGGTTATGTATAAGACCTCAGAAGGAAACTTCTATTCCTTCACAGAAAGCTGAACACAAAGACTGGAGCAGCTTCAATTTTATTAATCAACATTTTAAGGACATCCTTTAATGTGGATTCAGGCTGGCAGGCAAACATTTCAGAGAGCCTATCTGTGAATAAAATAGCATATTCCCTGAATCTCAGAGTTCGCAGAAGGAACTCATGATGTGAGGGGTCCTCATAGGTTTGCTCAGTATACAAACTTACAGAAAAACCTCCAAATTGTCTCATTTGTGTGTGTCCATTTTCAATATAACTTTCTCAGCAGTTTGTTATGTTTCTTTCCAAGGAAAATAAAGTTCTCCCAGGAAGTTCTCCTCTGAAAGTCCAATTAGTATAATTAACTAAGCAAAATGGCCAATATCCGTAGGTTTATCAATCTGCAGTGAAAACTGTTGATGTCCTAATCTTCTGGAATGCTCTTCGTCTGTGTGTTACCTGACATGGTACCAAATCATCTGTAATATTTCTGTGCTAGTTTCTGTGCTAAACAGTGTTACAGTCGCCAAGAGCCCATAAAGGGAGCCCTCCTGGAAGTGGATGAGGCCTTGGGTCTCGGCTCTTCATTGCTTCCTGAGCTGCAGCAGATGCCTTTACAACCAAGCTCACCGAGGACGTCTGTCTCCCATATTACCCTGGCAGAGGGCCAGGCCTGTTCTACACGGCCGGGGTTTCAACAAGGTACTGATGTCTTCTGCCCTTGCCTCTTCGACAGGCAAGTAATAAGACTTAAGTGAAGAGAATTCTTTAGGCACACAAATTCACATTTGATGTAATCTCATTATACTTCCTGATCTGTGATTGAAAACTTTCATTTCGTAACTAGTATGTCTGTCCCACCTTTAAAAAGTTTTTCATTATGAAAGTAAGTATTTGTTAGAATTAAGTCTATTTAAATGAAAAAAACTTAGATATGAGTCTGCATGGCCTCAGGAAAATGATGTTTTAAAATAGAGATTTTAGGTTGTCTGCACTCTAGCTTTTTTGTCGTTTTCTTAAGGCTTTTTTAACTGCATCAAAAATTCAGATACGAAACATACACTAAAAAATAATACATCATATCTTAATTTCCACTGAACTTGATTTAAATTCAGAGTTACACAGTATGAATATCACAATCAGATATGTTCAAAAAGGTCTGAACAATTGATTTTCTGAAACCATGAAGGACTACAAATGCTTCTAATAAATCAATGTAATTAAAATGTCTTTTAGAAATAAACTTATTTGGAAACAAGTAGTAATTCATTAGAAAGTTAGATGAAGAGGCTGGGCGCGGTGGCTCATGCCTGTAATCCCAGCACTTTGGGGGGCTGAGGCAGGTGGATCACGAGGTCAGGAGATCGAGACCATCCTGGCTAACACAGTGAAACCCTATCTCTGCTAAAAAAAAATACAAAAAATTAGCTGGGCATGGTGGTGGGCGCCTGTAGTCCCAGCTACTCGGGAGGCTGAGGCAGGAGAATGGTGTGGAACCCGGGAGGCGGAGCTTGCAGTGAGCCGAGATTGCGCCACTGCATTCCAGCCTGGGCCACAGAGCGAAACTCCGTCTCAAAAAAAAAAAAAAAAGACAGTTAGATGAAGAATCAAAAATCAATCTTAGATGATAATTCAAAAGCCAATTATAAATTTAAAAATATACCATGGTGAAATTCCATCTGTACTAATCTATGCAACTTTTCTATAAATCTAAAATTATTCCAAAATAATGTTTGTTTTAAAACCAAGATAAAATAATAGAGTAAAATAAAAACAATCATGTTCTATTTAAGAATGCCAGATATAGATAATGACAACTATGGAAAGATGATGATGATGATGATGATATGATGAAGATAAACAATTATGCATGCCTTCTATGTTAATAGAAAAACATTTGTGAAAAATAAGGATAAATTAAAACTCAATTTGTATTGGCATAAAGGGCAGAAAACTTCAGTGATGCTAAACAATTTGCATTTATGATCAGTTGACAGAGAAAGGGAAACCAAAAATAAATAAATAATAAACAATTTGCACTCAAGTCATAATAGTGCATATTGTCAATGAGAAGGTCAAGGAGGGACTGCGTGGCCAGCACAGAATGCTCACTGGGGAGAGCGTGCCTAAGGTATAAGATGCCAGTTCAGCAATGGCTGCATCTGGGAGGTAGACCCAGAAAGCCCACAAGTAATGTCCAGGTGCATCTTCAATGTTTGTACAGTAGTCCCCCTCATCCGAAGTGTTAAACTGCATGCTGCTCTGAGTAATATTTTGAAATCTTGCACTGTTCCACTCCATCCCAGGCCAGACGTGAATCCTCCCTTTGTCCAGTATCTGCACAAGGTCTACACTACCTGCCTGTTAGTCCCTCATTAGCCATCTTGGTGATCAGATTGAAAAAATCGAGTGTATATAGGGTTTGGTACTATCCACAGTTTCAGGCATCCACGGGGAGTTGGGGGGGTTCTTGGGACATATGCCCAGTGGATAAAGGAGAATGTGTAAGTGCACTAATAGTTGTAAAAGCCACCAGGATATCATGGCTCTAGAATCCCCCTCAGTGCCTACCAGCCTCCCCAGGCACCATCCAACACCAGAACCACAACCACAGCACTGGGGGGACAGAGCCCTCTGGGATTTCTGATTCATCTCTATTAGTTTTTAAGATCCAAGGAACACCTTTTAGGTTTCCTTGGTCTTGTTCCCGTCAATGTCAAGTCTGATCTCATAGATACCCAAATGGCTTCCTTTTCCTGGTTTCTAGTGCTGAAATTTGGAGAAAACATGGTCTGATGCACTAGAAACATGAAATGGTTCTTCAGATTCAGTAGCCTAAAATAACTATTAAGGTAATGAGGATATGGCTCTCACACACATTCCACAGGCCAGAGGTTGTGAAGGTGTCCTCAGACCCAGGGTGTTGGAAACCAGGGTGGGGGCCCAGGAACTTGGTTTAACAGGCCCTCCAGGCAACTCTGGTGCACACTCCAGTTTGGGAGGTCCTGCCAGAGCTGTGCAGCACAGAACTCCAAACCTGTGACCTGAAACCCCAAGCCAGAAACACCTGTTGCCTCAAGCATAAGTGAACTTTAAAAAGAGAAGAGCTTCAGAGTCATGCACAAAGCTGATACTGTGTTGAAGCAGAGCACAGTCTGATTTTGCTACTTGGACTTTCTTACCTGGAGGGATATGAAGCCTGTATAATAGTTTAATCTTCTCATTCATTTCTCCATTATACATAATATCTGCAAAAAGTTTAAAAAGAGTGAGTTGATGCCAATGCTGAAAGTCCATTTGTCAGGACACAAACTCACTGTGGAGAGAACACTGGGGAAGGTCAATACCTGCCACCCCCAACTCTCCTGCCCCAGACACACACCATGGTAGCAATGAAAGTGTTAAAGACTGGGCTGGTGACTATGTGAGCTCCACGGAACTTTGTGAATGTTGTCTGGCCTCATACCTTCCAAAACATTTTAATTTTATGGACAAAAGTTAGGAACATGGCTCCCAACAAGCCACCACCACATCGTGGATGCCAAGGAAAGCAAGGTGAACAGCCTCGTATGTTGAGAGCGTGGGCCCCTCTCCCATCCCCCTTCAGAAAGTAGATCCTGAGAGGGGCCTGCAGAGTGATATTTCAAAATCATAAGTTCATGTCAGGCCAGTCACAAAAGTGTTACACCATGTGCATCTGCCTGCTCCGAAGATCCACTTTGTGTTCTGCTCACAGACCCACACCCCAAAGCACATCACTGCGAAATCCCACAGAGGCATACCGAGGCAGCTCACAAACGCTTTGAACTCGATGAGCTGGTCCATGTTGTCATCCAAGAGCCTGAACGTCCTTTCGGCGAGGATCTCCGTGTGGGCCCCGCAGGTCCAGGGCGAGACTAGCTGAAACAGGTGTGCAAACTGCCGGGCATCTATGCGGTACTGCTCAGCATAGGGCCGGCTGGGGTCGTGGCGTGAGGCCATGGGCCTGGGCTGCTCCCAGTAACAGCTCATCATATGTTCTCTCTTCAAACAAGAGGGGGAAAGGGAGTTCTTACCACTTATTGAACAAGCCACGTTATTAACACAAACAAATACAATAATAAATTACTCACAATCTCACCACTCTAACTGGATACGTAAAAGTGTTCCCTTGTTACCCTGACATCCTTACCCACATGAACATGTAATTTTCACGTTGGTTTTTTTATTAAGGTTTTTTTCTTTCTCATTGTGGTAAAATATACATAACGTAAAATGTACCAATGTAACTATTTTTAAATGTACAGTTCAGCTAACATAGTTTTCATTATAGAAGACACACAATTTTTATTCTGATATTTTCACTTAAAATCCTACTTTTTTGGCCAGGCGTGGTGGCTCACGCCTGTAATCCTAGCACTTTGGGAGACCGAGGTGGGTGGATCGTCTGCGCTCAAGATTTCGTGACCAGCCTGGGCAACACAGTGAAACCCCGTCTCTACTAAAAAATACAAAACATTAGCTGGGTGTAGCGGTGTGCACCTGTGATCCCAGCTACTCAGGAGGCTGAGACAGGAGAATCGCTTGAACTCCGGAGGCGGAGGTTGCAGTGAGCCGAGATCGCGCCACTGCACTCCAGCCTGGGCAACAGAGCGTTTTTTTTGTTTGTTTGTTTTCCTTTTTTTGAGACGGAGTCTCGCTCGGTCACCCAGGCTGGAGTGCAGTGGCGCGATCTCAGCTCACTGCAACCTCCGCCTCCAAGGTTCAAACCAGTCTCATGCCTCAGCCTCCCGAGTAGCTGGGATTACAGGTGCCCGCCACCACACCCAGCTAACTTTTTGTATTTTTAGTAGAGATGGGGTTTCACCGTGTCAGCCAGGCTGGTCTCGAACTCTTGACCTTGGGTGATCCACTCGCCTTGGCCTCCCAAAGTGCTGGGATTATAGGCATGAGCCACTGCGACTGGCCCAAAATCATATTATTTAAAAATCAAAAAGGACTAGCCAGATCTGTAGGATACAGAAGGAACTAATAACCCTGGCTACCTGTGGGGAGGGCCCCAGAGGTGGAAGTGAGACTTTTTATTGCATATTTTTAATACTTTCTCAATTCTGAACCACATGAATACATTAACAATTTTTTTTAAGTTTTTTTTTTAAGGTGAGTTGAAGTCTTGGGAATAGACTGAAAACTAACAAAACCGGCCCCATCGCTGAGGACCAGGTGAGCCTCTTCAGAATGCATCATTTCCACCCATACTAAATGACTACATCATCTCTTTGGACATCCCAATTCACAAAAGTCTGAAGTAGTTCCCAGTAACTGCAGGGTTCTTGACCATTTCAATGTCCTCTGTCCACAGGATGGGACAAAAACAAGGGCAGATGCTGTAGTCTGCAAGCTCATATCCTCAAAGAGACCAAAATGCCATTTATAATTTTACTGTCATATTCACTGCAGCCATGTTATTTAAATAGTCATTACAGAATCATGAAAATAACCACAAGAACTTTTAAGTGTGAAATAAAGGTCTCATAAATTTCTGTTCCTTAAAACCCAAGGTACACCATGAATTTCTATGTATATTCATGTAGACTGTCACATCAACATCCCATAAAATGCAGAAGAAAATGGTTGTAATGCATATGCCAAGGACAAATATTAGTTTACATAGAATGCCACAGGAAAACAAACCACTATAAAAATAGGCAAAGGATATGAACAGGTGATTCAAAAGAGTAGAGAACTAGCCAATAAACATGAACTGGCACTCAACCTCATTAATGAGAAAACAAGTTTAAATTAAAATGAAATGCAATTTTCCACTGGACTAGCAAAATTTTAAAAGATCCATGATATTAAATGCTGGGTGGGTGTGGAGTGTGGGGAAATGAGTCCTCTTAGACACCATCAGTGGGACTGTAATTTTTTTTTTTTTTTTTTTTTGAGACAGAGTCTCACTCTTGTTGCCCAGGCTGGAGTGCAGTGGCACGATCTTGGCTCACTGCAACCTCTGCCTCCCAGGTTCAAGCAATTCTCCTGCCTCAGCCTCCCAAGTAGCTGGGATTACAGGTGCATGCCACCACACTCGGCTAATTTTTGTATTTTTAGTAGAGACGGGATTTCACCATGTTGGTCAGGCTGGTCTCAAACTCTGGACCTCAAGTGATCCACCCGCACTGGCCTCCCACAGTGCTGGGATTACAGACATAAGCCACCGTGCCCGGCCAGAACTGTAATTTGAAAAAATTAAAAAAGCTTTAGCAGTATTGACTAAAGTTGAATATATACGTCACCCATGACCCAACAGTTCCACCTCAAGGAACCCATTCTACAGAATCAGCAGCACTGGGGTCCAGGAAATGCACAGGTGCTCAGTGTCAAGCAGCAACGACCGGAAGCAACACAAATGTCACTCAAGAGATGAATAATTAAATATATCAGAGTTCGGCCCTACAAGGAAACTGCAATCACTAAAAAAGTATGAGAAAAGATCTATAGATTCTCATCTAGAACAAAGTTCATCATACATGGTCAACTGAAACAAACAAACCTGCAGGTATTATATATACCATAATCTCACTTCTATGTGGGAAAGAAAAGTAAGTGTGTGTGTATGTATTGTAGGCATGTGTGTATTTATAGATAGATACAAGAGGGAAAATTCTGGAAAGATACGCACATTGTTAACCGTAATTATCTGTACAGGGAGGGTAATACGGGCACAATAGGCCCTTTTTTTTTTTAATTTTTATTTATTTATTTTGAGACGGAGTTTCACTGTGTTGCCAGGGCTGGAGTGCAGTGGCTATGATCTTGGCTCATTGCAACCTCCATCTCCCAAGTTCAAACAATTCTCCCGCCTCAGCCACCCGCGTAGCTGGGATTACAGGAGTGCGTCACCACGCCCAGCTAATTTTTGTATTTTTAGTAGAGACAGGTTTTCACGATGTTGGCCAAGCTGGTCTTGAACTGCTGACCTCAAGTGATTCGGCCTCCCAAAGTGCTGGGATTACAGGCGTGAGCCACTGCACCCAGCTACTTTCCTTTCTTGCTTAGAAGCTTTGTTTTTCTTTTTTCAATGGTAAGAGAAAAAAATGGTTTTTTCTTTTTTTAATGGTAAGGTATAATTTTATTTAGCTTTGTGTCTTTCAATTAAACTTTGAAAATAAGTCTTACGCAGAACATGAAAGGAAGCAAAATAACACTGAAGAGACCAAATGCTCTCTAGAGCACAATAACCCACCAACACTGGGTGAATTTCACTGCTTAGCAGTAGGAACGCGTTTGTGGAATACACAAGGCGCCGTTTCAGGCCCCAATGGCTCCAGGAGTAGCTTACGCACCAAGTCTGTATTTATACTGTTCACATCCTACTTGCAGAGATAAAGTAATGAAGCTGTTCTCAATTTGACAGAAAAGGAGATATCACAGACCTGAATTTATGTGATTTAAAGAATGGCTTTAAACTAACAATAAAAATAAATTTCCTCAAGTACCAACCAACACTGTTGGTCCTTCATAGGAAGGATAAAAACAGGAAACAAACATGGTTGGCTTTGAAGGCCTTTTTTAATCTTTCCTATGAAACATGAACGATGTGGCTGGTACTTAACAAAATTTGTTTTTATTGTGAATTTAAAGCCATCCTTTAAATTACATAAATTCCGACATGCGATAGTTCCTATTCTCTCAACCTGAGAACAATTAGCCCTAAATAAATCAAAGTCTTTTTAAGGTAAAAAACACAAGCCAAAACTCACATAATTTGTTTGCCTACTTTTATGTTCCTGGTATTCCCTGTTTTCCTTCCTTGAAAGCCAAAATGAGGCGGGGGTTGGGATACCAAGTAACCTTTGACTTCATAGTTTGCCTTCGCACAACAAAGGAAACAATAAAACTTGCAAACATGATGTGTACGGGAGAAAGCGGCCTGCTAGTTCTCACCATACATCCTGCTCATTAGGAATGAGGAGTGAGGAACCTACTAACTAACCCAACAACCCTGCAGTCACTGACTGCGGGGAAAGGCCTGCTCCATGGCTTCCAAAGCCCTGGACTCTGCTGACTATCACTTCAATCGTGCTGGGAACCTGGGCTCAGGAGGGAAAGGGGCTTGGAGCCCCCACCAAGACGAGCTGGGGCAGCCACACCCCCTTCCCTGCCAGGCTTGCTTTCTGCAACTGCGCTTCCTCCCCGTCTCTGCCAGGGTAGCAGGAGTCCACAACGTGCCTGCCTCTGTTCCTAATTTCCATTTACTGTTTTGAGCAAGAAAACTCTAGTAATGTGCCTGAAGATGTTCTTTGCAGGATGATTCCAGGTAAATATCCAAATATTAAAAATCTCATTAACTATATTAAGTTTTAGCTATATGACAGATCACAGAGTTATTAAAAATGATTAAGACTATACGGCAACATGGAAGAATGTTAAGGAAAAATAGAATATGAACTTGAATGCATATCTGCCACACAAATAGGAAAATATGCATGCATGTACTGTGGTGTGGGATCACAAGTAATTAAAAAGTATTATCAGGTGATGATTTCAAAAAGGGTCACCGCAGGACCCAGAGCCCGCACTCACTAGAGCAGCGGTGAGCAGAGTAGATCACAGCACCGAAGCCCTCCCAGCAGAGTGCAGCAGCTTCAGCGCGAGGCCAGGCCTGCTGGGCTGCCCAAAGAGCACCCCAGCTCCCTCCTCCCATGTTCTAGGGTGGAGGGTGGGGAGAGAGGTTTCTGGGTAGAAGCAGGTAGGCAGGCTAAGACAGCTTCAAGGGGGGCAGCTCCGGCCTCTGCTCCACGGAGCCCTGCAGGCAGCTGCATGCTGTCCCCTGGGCAGGCTGGGCACCGCGGCTCAGGCCAGCTCAGGGCCTGGAACCCCTCATCTTCCCAGAGCTGCGTACCTTGAATAAGTCGTAGAGCTCCTCTAGGTCTTCAGGAAGAATTGAGACTTCCGGGATAACGACTCGAAGCTTGAGGAAAGAATAAACAGCAATGGCGTGAAATCTAGGCCTGCACCCCCAGGGGTCAGGGCAAGAGGGGACTCTTCCTCCTGAAGGGGACACAAGGAGCCCATGCACCAGCTTCTCTCCCACAAAGGCTCTTTTCTGACATAAAGATCACTTCCAGGTATCTTTCCCAGGTGTTTCATCCTTAGCCTCTTTCCAGTTCACACATCAGTGCCTAAGGACAAACCTACCGAGCTCTAATGGAAGCCAGGAAGCTAGCAGAGAAACAGCATGAGCAGGAGGAGCCTTCTGAGCGCCAGCTAATGCCCCTGCGGGCCCCCTGTGCTAGGCATTATAGACCCCAACCTCATTTAACTGCGCAGCAGGCACTGTTATCCCCATTTTACACGGGGGAAACAGGCTCACAGTGTTGAGTACACTCACCACCTGGCTCCAAAGCTCACATTGTTTCTACACTACTTCACCCTTAAGTTGTTAATGTAATCCAAAATATATATATACATTTTTCAAAGCTGGCATTCTTATGACCAAAAAGGATGCGCACTCCCAGGTTGGCTCCCCAATACCGTGATCACCGGGGTGAGGCGTCTGCTACCCACCACGTTCTGCTTTGTGGTGTCCTCGTGGCCTTGGAGGACCCTGATCCTGTGCTTGTAACGTAGGTGCTCGATCTGCTCCACAGACTGGTCTCCAAATTTCTGCAGGGAAAAAAGGGACCACTTGCTCAGTCCCCTGCTCATCCAAAGTGTGGAAACAGGAAGTGGCCCAGGAACCTCCTTCCACATCCATCCCCCAGTCACAATTCCCGGGGGGTTAGGGGCTGCAACGGGGCATGGGGCGGGGGTTCCCGTTACCTCATAGGAATCCCGGATCAGGTCCGAAATATCAGTCACAGGGTAGGGCTCCTGGTCGTCGGAGAAAAAGGCATGGTGGCTGCCAACTGGGGGCCCTGGGCTGTCCTCATTCTTAATGTGATCTAGAAACCTGAACACACCGCCCCGTCAACGCCCAAGTCCATCCTCATTCGGGTACCACAACACGGGCTGCCTTCACAGTGTCAGACATGCCAGGGCACTTCCAAACACCAACACCTGGGAGGAGGGCAAGGCTGCAGCTGCTCGGCTTATTTTAGAGAAGCGAGAGGCAGTCATGAAGCCCGGCTTGTGGATTGGGCTCCACAGGTGGCTTTCCAGGCCTGAAACTCTCCAGTGAAGTAAGCCCAACATTCTGCGCATACATGCAAGGTTAAGCTTCCATCATGCTCTGAAAGAGAACCCCCTCTTTCAATGTCATCTGACTTGCCCTCAGCTCCTAGAAAGCCCAGCTCTGGCGCTCAACCTAGTGGGCCTTTTCCCTCACTGCTGCTCACTAGCCTTATGCAGAAAATGTCTGCAACCTCTAGCTGGCTGCCTGATGCCCATGATGCCTGGTGTCCCCCGAGCCCTGTTCAAGGCCACTGTGAGTCCATCTAAATGCAAGACATTTAATCTTCTTAAAGAAAAGCATCTATGGCCCTGCTCTTCCTGGAGTTTCTCACTGTGGAAAGGAGTGAGGGACAATGGCACCCTTCACCCCATGCCTGGGACAGTGCCACATGGCAAACTGGCTTGGGAGGCCACAGAATGTCAAGAGGCTGAGACGAACAGAAAACTTCCACAGGGGCCAGGCAGTGGCTCACACTTGTAATCCCAGCACTCTGGGAGGCCGAGGAGGGTGGATCACTTGAGGCCAGGAGTTCGAGACCAACCTAGCCAACATGGTGAAACCCTGTCTCTACTAAAAATACAAAAATTAGCCGAGCATGGTGGTGGGTTCCTGTAGTCCCAGCTACTCGGGAGACTGAGGCAGGAGAATCATTTGAAGCTGGGAGGCGGAGGTTGTAGTGAGCAGATTGTGGGGTGCCACTGCACTCCAGCCTGGGCAACAGAGTGAGACTCTGTCTCAATAAAAAAAAAAAAAAACTTCCCCACCGATAGCCCTGCTGGGCACGTGCTGCTGCCTCCTCCATCTCTGGTTGGCCACAGAGGTGCAGCGGGGCCCACCTGCTGAGGATCATCAAGGCCTGGCCATCATCCTTGCTGCTGCACAGGTCCTCAGCATTGGCCTCAAGCACAGCCAGTCCCAGCTGGAAGATGGCTTTGATGCCATCATAGAAGAAGCAGTCTACCACATTCACCGCACTCTCTAGAGGCATGATGCTGAGGAACAGGGTCAGGAACCACGAGAGAGAGACGGACGCCAGGGCTGAGAGGTCGTTCATGTGCTCTGCCAGCTCTGGGAGATGACCCTTGATGAGCTCCTCGAAGACAGACTGGTCAACTTGTGCCCCTGGAAAAGAAAGGGCACAGGGCTCTGGCTGGGGTAGGACTCACTCTCTAAGGTCAGTCTGAAATTAAAATCACTCTGAGGTAACCAGAACAAAGAGATGGAATTTGAGTCCAGAAAAGCGTCCATGCTTAGTTCATTGATTCTGACTTTTAGACCAAGGTAATTCAATGGGTAAAAGATAGCCTTTTTAAAAAAAATACTGCTTGATCAGCTGGAAAGTGGCATGGGGGAAATAAAAAAGGAACACTAGCCCCTACCTCACACCATACAGAAAAAATATATCTGAAATAGACCATAGACCTACATATAAAAGTTAATACTGTAAAATTTTTAGAAGAGATTTAAGAAAAATACAACATTTCTTATGACATAAAAAGTACTAACCATAGAAAAAATTGTAAACTGGACTTCATCAAAATTAAAACTGCTGTTCTCTAAAAGACACCATTAATAAAATGAAAATGCAAGCTTCAAACTTGGAGAAAATATTTGCAATCCATATGCCTGACAGAGGTCTTATATTCAAAAGAAAGAACTCTTGCAACTTAGTAAGAAGGTAACAACCAACCTTTTTTAAAGAGGCTAAAGATTTAAACACTCAGAAGAGCCAATAAACAAATGGTCAGGAAGCAAAGAGACATCATTAATCATCAGAGAAATGCAAATTAAAACCACCATAATTATACCACTTCTTACCCACTAGATGCCTAAAATTAAAAAGATGAACATTACCAAGTTTTAGCAAGGATGTGGAGCAAGCTGAATTCTCCTACAATGCTGGTATGAGACAAATGAACATGTTACATCCACTCTGGAACACTGTGAGTTTCTTATTAAGTCATACATCTAACCTATGACCCCACAATTCTCCTAGGTAAATACCCAAGAAAAATGACAGTATATATTCATAAAAAGACTTATATGACTGCTCATTGCTACTTTATCATATTCCAAGACTGGAAACAACTCAAATGCGCATCAGCAGGTGACTGGACAAGCACACCAGTGAAATCCTACTCAGCAACAAAGAGGAGCAAGCTCTACAAATGCACCAACAATGTGGCTGCCTCTTACAGATGCTCTGCTGTGTGACGGAAGCCAGACACAAAAGACCCTGTCCTCCATGATTACATTTATACAAGGTTCAAGAGTAGGCCAAATTAACCCATGGTGATAGAACTCAGTACCAGGTGTTGCCCATGGCAGGAAGGGGGCAGAAGAGAACTTGCTGGGGTGATGCATGTGTTCCAATGGTCCCCTCCTGTCTTGGGGCAGTGTCCACACAGGCACGGGCACTCTCACAGAAGGTCTAGCTGGCACTGTTGCATATGAGCTGTCACATAGCAACAATCATCAACAGTGGCTTTGACAGCATGTCCCTCAATGACGCCGAGCTTTTAATTACTCCTTGCTACTCTGTTCCTTACACCACTTCCCACAACACAAAGTAAAAAGGGAAGCAAGCCAGCTAGCCACTCAGGCACACGAAGGAGCCGGTGTGCACGGCTGAAGGCTCAGGAAAGGGTACACCTGGGCCAGAAGGCACAGAGCCATCACTGCCTTCCCAGCTGACCACACCACCCACCTGCCCCTCCTTATTCCTAGAGGCCACCCTTCAGTCCTTAGGACACAGTCTTCAAGGGCGCCTTCTTCCCGCCTTGCTCCTATATCCACTCGGTTGCTAAATTCTGTCTGAAGTTGGTTCTGTTCCCAGGGCTGCCACCTTAATTTTAGGCCAGCTCCATCTCTCATCTGAATTACTAAGAAGAGTTCTTAAGAGCATCACCAGCCCAGAACCATTTTTGTATTGTTTACTAGGAGGTTGCTGGACTACAGAGACAGCACACATTTAAATCTCAACCACATGAAAGTCAGGTACCCAGTGCAGGAGCGTTGCAAGGCCACAAGTTACCCAGAGTCCAGATAGCAGCCAACGAGCTTTCTTAAGATGTCCTTATGGAAGTGGAGGACTTTTCCAAGTCTGCCCTTTAACTGACCACATGGGCCTTGAGGGTCTCTAATTCCATCCCACCTACCTCCTCTCTCTAGGGCAACCGAGGGCCTCCTGTCTGAACAAGCTCCCTGAGCTACCGAGAGGCATCCCCCCAGGCCCCCACCCTCCCTTTCCAGGCCATGGCATCCATGTAAAACCACCCTGGTTTTCACTTTCTGACTTGTTTCTTGGGCCTTGGATCTTTCTTCCCTTCTTGTAAGTTCAGCTATCCATCTAAAATTATGTGTTTGTTTTAATCCCGACTCTGTAGGTCTTTATAGCAGGAATGTGTTTGAGTTTCTTTATTCCACTACATTGTCAGAACTGTGCAGAGAATGTCCCGAGTTAGTTTTGCAAATTCAGGAGTCAAACTGTGTTTGCAAACAGACTAGCTGAGTGGCACTGAGAGATTTTATAAACAGGACTGATGAGAAACATCCTGCCCAGGCTCTGTCACTCTTCCCCAGATACACAGGAGGAGGAAGGGGGTCTGTTTACCGATCACTCGGTGGTTGAAGTAATCGGGCAGCATCCGCTCACACACAGCAACCAACAGCCAGAAGGCTTCCTCCTCCTTGGTGTACAGCAGCAGCACGGAGGTCAGGATGTTCATGGACTGCTCGGGGGTCAAGGAGGGCAGTTACTGACTGGCCCATGTGATGCCACAGAGATGTTACAAGCATCCAAGCCCAAACAACCCACAAAAGTAAAGATTTCATAGGTGAGAGATCCAGCATACACCAACCACACTGACACTGTACAGTGGAATGACCGTGACAGCAACACAGTCCTCACAGGACACGCCCAGCTGAGCGATCGGCCACCACTCAGCTCCGGTCCCCATCTAGCAATGTGGAATTTAGCTGTGGTGCAAGTCTTAAGGTTGGTTTAAATCCAGCTATTCGCTGTTTGTTCAAGCAGACACACACATGCACACACGTGCACACACAAACTTAATTCGCTCACTGACTTTGCTTATTCACAGGAAACAAAGTTTGAAATCTTAAATTTTTAAATGTCAGGAGCTTCATTAATCCCGGCTTGTGCTGGGTTTGGCTGCTGCTTTAATGGACTAATTTTCCTTTTGTGCCTGCTGACCACACCCTCAGCTCGGGAAAGCTCAGCAGACATCTCACCTCCACTCATGTGTCCTAAAGGAAGGGGATTGGCCCTGATCATCATCTTCCTCCCCAAACAGCACTGCCATTTTAAATCCTGTAATTTCTGTAGAGGTCTAGAAATTCTATTAATGCCCTCCTACGTCTGAGCTCAAGAGGGGTGTTGAAGACTGAATCTGCCCTGCCACCAACAACCACTACACATGCACGTTTCTCTTTTCAGGCACTCGGTAAATTTTTTTTTTTTTGAGACAGAGTCTCGCTCTGTTGCCAGGCTGGAATGCAGTGGCATGATCTCGGCTCACCGCAACCTGCGACTCCCTGGTTCAAGTGATTCTCCTGCCTCAGCCTCCTGAGTAGCTGGGATTACAGGCACGCGCCACCATGCCCAGCTAATTTTTGTATTTTTAGTAGATGGGGTTTCACCATGTTGGCCAGGATGGTCTCGATCTCCTGACCTCATGATCCGTTGATTATAAGATGAGTAGTCCCTTTGGCCCTCATTTGATACTTTCTTTCCGGAAAGGGACCGAGTACAGCGCCTTCACACGACAACACTCAGGACCAGATGACTGGGAATGCAAATGAAACCCTGGGAAGGACAACATGAGACACCAACTAAAGACTCTCTGCGCCCCAGAGCACACCCCTTTCACCTGGCAGTATCCAATCTTGGGGTTCCGGTGGGCATAGGCCGTCAAGACTCTCCTCAAAGCAGCAATTCCCGTTTCGTTCTGGAAGGCGGGGTGCTCTGGCAGGGAGCGGTGCAGGTCTCGTTCTATCTCCTCGGTTACCAGGCAGCATTTCCCCAGGGACTCCTCCACCAGATTCCCGTAGTAACCAGGGTGTGAGGCAAGATCCGTCACCGCATCTGAGTTTTAAAAGCAATGTTTCAAGGGGGAATGATTACTAGGATGGTGTCATGATGAAGAAGATGCTGGTCCCATCAGGGGACCCCAGTGGGGTCTCGTTACTTACTGAGGGACAAAATATTGGCCGGGTGCGGTGGCTCACGCCTGTAATCCCAGCATTTTGGGAGGCCGAGGCGGGTGGATCACTTGAGGTCAGGAGTTCGAGACCAGCCTGGCCAAAATGGTGAAACCCTGTCTCTACTAAAAATACAAAAATTAGCCAGGCATGGTGGTGGGTGCCTGTAAACCTAGCTACTCAGGAGGCTGAGGCACAAGAATCCCTTGAGCCCAGGAGGCAGAGGTTGCAGTGAGCTGAGATCACACCACTGCACTCCAGCCTGGGCGACAGAGTAAGGACTTCATTTCTGCCATGTAGCCTAGTCAAAAAAACAGAAATAAAAGAAATAGTATGGCTTTTCTAAGAATAACCTTATAGAGCGAAGGGGAGAAAACTCATAATAGAAATAACTGTATTAATATGCTTTTAACACACTGTATTCCCTAGTAGCAGCAGTGTGCAAGCATGCACATACACACACGCAAATTTCATGCATTAATTCAACAAGAAATGACACCAAGCACTGATGCGTGAGGCACATCAAGGGGGCGCAGCTATGACAAAGCGAAGGGGCCAGCAGCACGGCGCCCACATGCAACTCTGAAGTCAGGTCTGAGATGCACAAACTGCAGCAGAAGTGCCCAGCCCAGAAAACTCCTGTGCCAGCCACCCACAGCCAGAGCTACAGCCCAGGCCTCAGCGGGCGGGCAAGATGAAGGGATGAATGCGTCCCTTATGAAAAGTGTGTGCAAGTGTGTGCACGTGTGTCTGTGCAGGCATGTGTGTGTGCACGTGTGTGTGCATATGCGTTAGAGAGACCTAGAGGAATGCAGACCTTGGGCAGTGACACGCCTCACAATCAGGTGGTGGGATTCTGAGGAAGGTCACTGTCTTTGCTCACTCCTCCATGCCTTTATTTTTCAACTATGAATGTATGTTGTCATTTTTATATACAAAAATACAGAAGACTTTTTCACTTTTAAAAGGAGGTGTTTCAACACTGCGCCTCTGGAAGTTAGCTGCAGAAGCCAGGAGGCAGGAAGGAGATGAGGGGCGCAGTGGTGCAGGCAGCATCAGTGACCACTGACCACACCCAACACAGTGAGTGTGCCAGGAAGCATGAAGGCTGTGTCTGGGCATCTCGGGCAGGAGGTTGGGGGCTGGGGGGGAGACAGGGAAGAGGAAAGTGAGGGACAAAGTTGGGGGATAGACAAGGAACCAGAAAGAGGCTGATAGTGAAGTAGGACAAGAGATGCTTCCAGTCCCAGGAAGAGTAACGGAGCAGGGCACAGGTACCCAGCCCAGCCTCCAGGCGCCTCCCTGCTGACAAAAGCGCCATGGGGTCATCTGGGGAAGGGACCCTCTCACCTGGCCTCCCACAGCACCCTGAGGAGCAGCAAAGGCACACTCCAATGGCAGGGCCTTCCCTTCCTACCCTCGGGCCCAAGCTCCTTTGCTCCAAGGAGCAAGTCGCTCACAGTTGATATGGAGGGACAGACAAATGCCTACCCAGTATGTCCCTGGGGAAGTTTGGTCCCAGGCTCAGCCCATCCATCATTAAATGTCCTGATGAGGGTTCCCAGGCGTTCCCCAATGGGTGCAGTGAGAGGCCCCGGGGCTCTGAAGCTAAAAGAGGCCATCCCTGAATGGGTCCAGCAGAAAAGAGGAAACGGAACAGAAAAGAAATCTGCACTTTTGCCTCTGGTGCCCGCCATGTGTCTTCACTGGAGGAGGGACTCATGGCAGCCACACTCTGAGGGATGTGTTTCAGCAGCCCAGCCAGTTGACAATGGATGAGGATGTTCTGTTTCATCTACTTCAGAGCTCACACACTATAGACACTTCACTTCCAGGGGGTTCTGAATAGAATTCTCAGCACTATGTAGAGCCTCGTGAAGGCATTTTTAAAAGAGTGGCCGTCACTGTGCCCAGACCTCGCATTTACCCAGTTGGACGCCACAGCCCAGAGGCCCAGGCAGCCTGACCCAGGTCCCACAGCTGACACAACAGGGAGTGGAAGTCCTCAGCTGGGAAATCACAGGAATGACTCAAAGACAGAACCATTTCATCTGCACATAAACACACGCGCTGCTCGGGTCCGGGCTGTTCCTGTGTCCATGACAAAAAGAACAATTAGCTTCGAGACACCAAGAGCGCTTACCTGAGAAGAGAAGCCAGAGTCTCCCTCGCAAAGATTCAGGGATGCCCATGGCTACGAGCTTCCGAATCTTCTCTGTGCGAAACATACACACGGTTCTGCCGTATTCCACAAAGTGGTCATTCCACAGGCTTATTTTTATCTGTTCTCTGGACTGGAAATGGGAATATTCTTAATGTACAAAGAAGTCTGTCCTCACCACCCCCCACCCACCGATGCACCGCTGGCAATGGAGGAAGTACTGCCCCTGCTCTCCGAGGGGCCAACAGCAACGGGCAAGGACACCTGTATTCAAGCCGCAAATATTTCTGAACCTTTACTGGGGGCACAGAGGATGCAAAGATGAATAACACAGGGTAAGGCCCTGCAGGAGCTCAGAGCCCAGTGGGAGCATTTATACAAATAAAATACGATTTCCTTAGCAAGGCTGATAACAAGGGTATGTGAATCCAAGTATTAAAGTAGCCCAAATCAGATGGGAGGGAGGGGTGGGTAAGGGGGACGCTGGGGGAAGCTTTCTCTGGATGTTGCATCTGCCAAAAAGACACTGGTCAGCTCAGAGGGCAAAGGGGAGTACAGGGGCATCACAATTTCCCCTGAGCTTCCTGACAGCCAGAGGGAAAACTGAAACCTGAAAAAAACTGCATTGTTCTCATTAACAGAAATGAGAAAGATACCATTTCTCTAGGCAACTGAAAATACTTGAAATTACCCCTAGGTGGCAGGAATGTTTAGTGCCTTTTAAACTAGGTATTTACATTTGCTTTTAATTATCTGTATTCTCCAGTAATGGCAGAAATAAATACATATATTTAACATTCTCATACATTTTGTCAACAAAAGTTAATTAAGGATCCGGGTGTAAAGCCTATGAGAAGGCTCAGTTTTGGATAAATAAAACCAACAATAGATTTTACAGGAGCCATTAAAGCGACCAAAAATAAGCTCGGGTTAACAGGTTCATGGCCACTGCCCAGTGCTCATGGTCCAGCGCAGCACCCTGCCTGCCATGGCCCCATTTCAAAGCACAACTTCCAGTATCTTTACCAGACTATACGTGACATTTCCCTCAAGTTCTCCCTACAAAGAGGAAATCTGTAAGTAAATATAGCAAAAATATTTCCAGTTTAGTAAAACTAGAAGACTGGTGACCTCTTCTCCCAGAAGACAAAAAAAAAGGAAAAAGGAAAGCTATAACGCGGGGCACACAGACAGCACTGGCTGGAAGGAGAGGAACCCATTCTGTGCCTGGAGACCCCCAAGGGGCAGCGCGGCCAGCTCCGCAGGCCCCACAGCTGAGAGCTGCGCGAGGTTTACCGAAGGGTGGGTGGGAGAGCAGCCCCTCAGTCCTCTGACCACCTCAGTGGTCACTTTTCACCCATGAGAACAAGACGGAGGAGGAGCGTTAGCTTCCCAAAGTCAGGTGCCACGTTCCATGGTGACTCAGACAGCTGGGCAACCCCCCCAAGCCCACGGCTCAGCTTTGTGGTCCAGCTTGGGCACCAGGCGTCACCCACCATTCGGGAGTCAGGGCTCTGGCTGCCTGACTGCTGGAAGGCGGTGACCAGGGCATCGGGGTGCATCAGCGGGCTCTTCTCTTTCTCACTCTCCTCGCTATTTTGAGAAGACATCATTTCAAGATCCCCAAATCTGTGGTCACTGCACATGCTTGTTGAATGAAACACGAGTGAAGCCTGCACAGCAAGAGAGACAGAGACAGAGAGAGAGAGGAGAGGAGAAAATCATGGCTTTAGTCGAGGGGACAGTCTTTGTTTTGCCTTTGGATGCACGGGCATAGCAGACTTCAATGACTCAGGGGGAAGACAGACTGACGCCAGACCAGACAGGGCTCCTAGGAAGACACAGTCCCACTGCATGCTCCGGGTGAGGCTGTCCCGGTCCCCAGAACCTGGGTCCGTATCTGGGTCCATATGCAGTTCCTCATGGGCAGCCCCAGCCTCCCCTCAGCTTATGGACAGGAGGACGGCCACCCTGAGAAAGCAGCCCTGGGGCTGAGAGAGGCTGCACCTCCTTTTCTCCCCATCACTATTTTGGGTGAAAAGAGGTTGAGAAAGAGAAGAGACATGAAAAAAGGAGACCAGGCCCCAGCCACCCCGGGACCACCTCTGCAGCTGCCCAACCTCAGGGCCGACAAAGCTCCTCTTTTAGCAGGTTACACGTGCCTCCAATCAGGCCATCCTCAAACCTCAGGAGCAGGGATAGCAACCCTTCTCACCTGTGAGGGGTGACCCCGTCACCCCCTCCAAGCTGTGGGGCAATTCCCCACACCCTCTCAGGACAGCCGGCACATCAGAAATGACAGCAGACCACACACAGGCCCCGCATTCTTCTCATCCCCACATGGCTCTCCCCATGTGTACTCCCCTTTGGAGACCACGGCCTGAGACATGAAGAAGGGGATCATCAGGGTCTGGAGGGACCATACCATGTCATCATCCGCAGAGGTGTCGTAGTGCACGGGGTGGTTGGCGTGGACCTGCTTCAACCTCGCAAGCAGCGCCTCCACCAGGCTGTCTCGGTCCCGGAGCTCAATGAACTGGAAGGCCACCTTGCTTCTGATACTGACAATGATGGGATGCGGCAGCAGGCTCGTGTCCTCCATCTTCTCGATGCTCACCACCTGCGCGAGAGGCAACATGCAGGGACAGAAGGGCGGGAGGAAGGTAGGCATGTTATTACATATGCAGAAGATGTCCCGAAACAGAGGGCAAGGCACAATCACTGCAGAAAGGAGATGATGCAATGGCGAGAAAGTGGCACTGCTCACCCCCACCACAAGGGGAGGCTGTGCAAGGCTGCATCAAGGGGCGACTGGATAGCAAAGTGTGGTCTATCCATACATCGGCGTATGACCCAGCCTTGAAGAGGAGGGGAATTCGGACAGAGGCTCCAGCATGGATGAGCCCCGAGGGCATTATGCTAAGTGAACAAGGCCAGTCACAAATATTGTATGAATCCACTCATATGAGGTACCTGGAGGAGTGAAATTCATAGATACAGGAAGTAGAAGGATGGTTGCTAGGGGCTGGGGGAAGGGGAAGAGGGAAGTTGATTTATGGGGACAGTGTTTCCATTGTCAGTGATGAAAGAGTTCTGGAGATGGATGGTGCTGGGTTGCACAGCAATGTGAATGTACTTAATGCCACTGAGCCATACACTTAAAATGGTTTAAATGTCATTTCTGGTTAGGTACACATTACCAAAAAAAATTTTTTAAGCATGTAAGTTGGCTCCTAGATTTCTTGCTCCACTAATAAGTAAAAATATTTGTAAAATGAAGACATCTACTACAGAATAATAACATGGAGTTAGGAGACCACAAGGAGTAATCCCAGCATTGTCAGAGGCCAAGTGGGAGGATCGATTGAGCCCAGGAGTTTGAGACCAGCCTGGGCAACACAGTGAAACCCTCCTCTCTAAAAAGAAGAAAAAAATAAGAGTTTTGAGTTTTTCCAAAGAAGAATGCTCAGTACGTTTGTTATCAGAAAGAAGAATCTGGAGGTCCTGACGTGTAAACAGAGTTGTGGGTACCATCTCACCAGAATTGCTGCCCTGAAGCCAAAGGACTGAGCTGCTCAGATCTGGAAGTAATCTGAGCCCCCATTTCCAAGAAGAGAATTGCAGAATTTTATAGGAAGAAGGGACCTGATCCCTGTCAATGGAAGCATTTTAAAATTTTTAACTGAAGTTCCAGGAGCATACAAAAGCCAGGCAATTTACCATTTATTTTTAAAAGGTGATGCTTTTTGTAGGTTGCTTTTTTTTTTCCTTTCTTTTTTTTGGTGAGTGAAAGGGGAGGATTCATTCCTAGGAGCTGCTGGAAAAATCTTTAATTGCTAGGTATGTACTTTTTAATAACAGCTTTATCAATAATGTGGAGGTTAGAGTCCCCTGTTTTCAGCAGTCACTTGTTGGCAAATTTCAGGATGCCATAGCAACAGCAGAAAAAGCAATGGCCGAATGGGTAATGGTCCAATTCAGGCCATGCCTCCCTCAAGAAGCCCAGCCTTGGAGTCATCCATCTTTAGATGGCAAAACTGTGCCGTCTGAACTTCCCCTCCCACACTCCATCTCACAGCCAGCAACCTTGTGTTCAAACAACAAAAGGCTGCTTCGGGAAGCAGACAGTAGGGCCAGTCTACCTCTCTGAGTGGCAGGATGATCTTACAGCAGCCATCTTCTCTGCTGGCAAAGCAGATGTAGCTGTCAGAGGCGAACATCCGCCCCGTGGTGTGACAGCGACTGAACGGCGTCCAGAGCGAACAGTCCACAACCGCGTGCAGCTTCTCCTTCCTCGGCAACCTGAAGAAAGCCCGGAAGAACTCATTCTGTGCTCTGGCTTCCAGGTCCCTGGGGAAGGACAGGGAGAGAAGAAGAAGAGATAGGAAAGGTGAATGGACAGCCAAGATTACAAAGGAAAATACTTTTCCTTTTTTGTTTCATTTTATTTTTGAGACAGAGTCTCGCTCTGTCGCCCAGGATGGAGTGCAGTGGTGCGAGCTCAGCTCACTGCAACCTCCACCTCCCAGGTTCAAGTGACTGTCCTGCCTCAGCCTCCCAAGTAGCTGGGATTACAGGGACGCGCCACCGCGCCCGGCTAATTTTTGTATTTATAGTAGAGATGGGGTTTTGCCATGTTGCCCAGACTGGTCTCAAATTCCTGACCTCAGGTGATCCACCCACCTCGGCCTCCCAAAATGCTGGGATTACAGGCGTGAGCCACCGCGCCCAGCCAAGAAAATACTTTTAAAGCCACTGGCACAATTTGTATTTAAGTGAGTGCAAAAAGGCACCATGCATGTCCTGTGCTGGTGCACGTGGGCATCCCACATTCTAACTGCATGGCCAACCTTCAGAACAAGGACGCAGAGCAGACGCGCTGTCTCTGCACAGCAGTAATTTAATAAACTCACAGGCCAAATAAGCATTCCTTCCTGGTTTGAGTAACACTGAGAATTACCAGAAAAACACTTGCTTAAGAATCCAAGTTTCAAAAAGTTTGATAACAAGTGGTGAGGAGGATGTGGGGAAATTGGAACCCTACCGCACTGCTGATGGGAATTAACATGGTGTGGTCATGTTGGTAAACAGTCTGGAAGCTCTGCAAAAGGCTAAAAACAGACTTAACACTTGACCAAGAAATTCCACTCCTAGGTAGATATACCCAAGAGAACTGAAAACGTGTGTCTTGCACACGAATGTTCTTAGCAGCATCATTTATGATAACTTAAAGGCAGAAATAACCCAAGTGTCCATTAACTGATAAGTGGATAAACAAAATGTAGTGTATCCATACAATCAAATATTGTTCAGCCATAAAAAAGGAATGAAGTACTGATGAGTGCCACAACAGAGATGAACCTTGAAAATATTATACTGAGTGAAGTAAACCAGACACAAAAAGACGACATACTGCCTGATTCCATTAATATGAAATATCCAGAATAAGCAAATCTCTAGAGACAGAAAATAGATTACTGATTGCTCAGGGCTTGGGGGAAGAGAGAGAAATGGGAAGTGACTGCTCATGGGTACATGGTTTCTTTTTCTTTTTGGGGTGATGAAATGCTCTAAAATTGATTGTGGTGATGGTTGCACAACTCTGTGAACATGGTAAAAACCACTGAATGGTACACTTTTAAAGGATGGATAATAATTACATGGTATGTAAATTAAATCTCAAAAAAAAAATTAAAAAATTTAATGCGGCCAGGCACGGTGGCTCATGCCTGTAATCTCAGCACTTTGGGAGGCCGTGCAGGTGGATCACTTGAGCTCAGGAGTTTGAGACCAGCCTGGACAACATGGCAAAACCCCATCTCTACAAAAAAATACAAACATCAGCTGGGTGTGTTGGTTCACACCTGTAGTCCCAGCTACTCCACCGGCTGAGATAAAAGGATCACTTGAGCCCAGGAGATAGAGGTTGCAGTGAGTCGAGATCGCGCCACTGCACTCTAGCCTGGGCGACACAGTGAGACCCTGACTCAAAAAAAAAAAAGTTGAGATGCATATCTGACACACAGTAAGTAATCAATAAACATTAGTTATTATTATTATCTTTTTAAAAATATATATTTTAAGAATCCAGGTCGGGTGCAGTGGCTCATGCATCACATCAGTAATGACAAGAGAGAATGTTGATGAGGAGGAAAGAAGGATCCTAACCCCCAGGCAACCCCACATATCCTGATTTTTGGCTCTGAAACCAGTAAAGAAAGCAACCAAATCACAATGTTTGAAAATACTGATCAAGTTATGTCATATTCCAAAATTCTAGTAAGGGGGAAATTCCAACATACAGAGGGAAAGATTCTTCTCTTGCACTTTATAAAGTTCCTTATAAATATAAGGATGAAATTAGCACTTGCTTAAAGTCAGGAATATGAATTCTTGGCTTGCTTATGTACTCTGTAACCCCGAATGAGACTCTCTGTATCTCATTTTGATTGCTACAAAATGGGAATAATGTCTGAATGCTCTGCTTCAAGGGATCCCTGTGAATCTAAAATGATCCCCACAATATGGTAAAACAGAAACTAGGCATAGTACCTACAGTATGATCCCTTTACATAAATTCCTTAAAATTTCCAGACAGAGATGTGTACAAGGGCTTTATCTTAAGTGTTAACAGTGATTGTCTTTGCATAGTGGGACTTCCACTTTCCAATTTTATTTTGCTTACATTTTCTACATGACTACATATTAGCTTTAAAAAAAAAAAAAACCTTAGCTATTTTCTTTAGGGAAAAGTACAACTTTTTGAAATGTTACCTAAATGCCATAAACGCAAGATAGTAAACTCTCAACTCTGGAATCGGCTGCACACAGCTCAAGTGAGCTTTTCAGGCACGATCTGGTTGTGAGGCCCCGGAGATAAGACCTCACCTCAACCATGCCAGGCTGGGCTCCCGGACACACGCCTTTTCTGCAGCCCTTTCTGGTCTCATGTCCACCATCACACAACTGACTTACAGGCAGCAGCCATCACACAGAGATGGCACAATCCATGGAATTTACTATCCAGCCCTCAAAAGGAGAAAACACAGAGAAAGTCCTCTGGACACATACAGAAATTAAATTCTACAGATCACAACGGGTCCAGTTCCTGGGGGCCAAAGCTGCAGTTCCTTAAATGCCTGATACAACGTGGACTACTGTTTCCACGGGCGCCTGAGCTGCCTCCAGAGAGGAGCTGGGAGAACACAGGAAAAGCACCATAAACGCTCTACCAGTTCATACACCGCAAGAATGGAAGGCAAGGCCCCTCAAGAGGACCCCAAGTTCCCCAAGCTGACTATGTCTGGTGCATTTAAATTGGAAAACTTCCATCCTTGTCCTCAGAGCGTGCTGGCTATGTTAGCTTTAACGAAAGTAAAATCAACCCTTACTCCCTGCACGTATCTCACAAACGTGGTTCTAGTCGCCAGTGAGTTCACCTGTCATGTCAGCCTTCCTTCCTAGCTGGGCATCTCTTTCCCCTTAGGACATGGCTGAAGCCAAAGTGAATACATGGTGAGTATTCAAATCACAGAAGCTTGCACTGAGCCACCAGAAGGGTGGGAGTACTTGTATTTACATTTATTTTGCACCGAATCCCTCAAATTAAGAATAAGGTGTTCCAGGCTGAGCGTGGTGGCTCACACCTGTAATCCCAGCACTTTGGGAGGCCGAGCTGGGCAGATCACGAGGCCAGGAGTTTGAGACCAGCCTGGCCAACATGGTGAAACCCCGCCTCTACTAAAAATACAAAAATTAACTGGGCATGGTGACGGGTGCCTGTAAACCCAGCTGCTCAGGAGGCTGAGGCAAGAGAATCGCTTGAACCCGGGAGGCAGAGGTTGCAGTGAGCTGAGATCGTGCCATTGCACTCCAGCCTGGGCAACAAGAGCAAAAGTCTGTCTCAAAAAACAAACAAAAAAAAAAGAATAAGGTGCTCCCGTATCTGAGGCAACTAAACCATTTTGTTCTACCCAGTGCACCTGCTGCCTGAGTTCAATCGGCTTCTCTCTCAGTGGCTTCAGAGCAGCCTGGGCAAGCTGCACACAGTCTCCATTCCCCTTTCAGGGCTGTCCTCACTTTCCCTGTAGACATCTGTCTTTTGCACATTTGGGTAGCCAGAGACCAGAAACCTCAAGTTACAAACAAATAAGCAACAGGGGGGACTTTCCTAAGATCTGAGTTAGTTTCCTTCCTCCCTACTAGAAAGTTGTCTTCCAATTTCACCATTCGTTAAATATGTATTATATACAAGATAGTTAAATTTCCAGCATAACTGAGATGAAGATATCGTGACTTTGAAAAAATGAGAAATCCTCGAGAAATCAGCTCTTTATGAAGTTTAGAATAAGACCATCCTATCCTTTAGGTCTGTTTCAAAGCAGATGTTAGTTTTGATGCTAAATATATCAACTCCTTTTACTGAACACCATCAACAACAAAGCCACTGCTCACAGCCCGCTTCTCAGACTTTCCAGTACTTCCTAAGTGCCTTCACTTTTCCTCCGTAGAGAAGAACAGACATTGGTGATGACCTGACATTCAGAACGTGGCCACACAAGCCTGTAGGTCACCGCAGAAGCACCCCTATGAGGATGGAGACCATCCCAGCTACCCCAGCTACACCTACCCTCCAGTGCTGCACACACAAGCCAAAGCAATCACTCTAAGAGAGAGCTACAGCTAAGACTAGTGGGAGAAAGCGCCACCAATCACCTTTTTGTTTTTGTTTTTGAGACAGTTGCACTCTGTTGCCCAGGCTGGAGTGCTGTGGTGCAATCTCGGCTCACTGAAAGCTCCACATCCTGGGTTCATGGGATTCTCTTGTCTCAGCCTCCTGAGTAGCTGGGATTACAGGTGCCCACCACCATGCCCAGCTAATTTTTGTATTTTTAGGAGAGATGGGGTTTCGCCATGTTGGCCAGGCTGGTCTCAAACTCCTGACCTCGTGATCTGCCCACCTCGGCCTCCCAAAGTGCTGGGATTACCGCGCCCAGCCCAACCACCCTATCTTAACACATGCCATTGATGAGACTGTAAGTAAGGAGGGAATAAATGTGGGTCAACCCGACTCTGGAACAACAAACATCAGATTTGTTGCTGAAGCTTAAATTAATATGTGCAATAATGCAAGACAACTATGCAGAAGATTCTAGAAAAGTTACACTTACACATTCTTAAAAAAATTCAGCTTAATCCCTAAGAGGACCCAAGAAGGTATGTATTTCTTTTATTTCTCTGCAAATCCAGAGTTATATTTGTCTCTCCTACTTTCGGTAAAGATGTATCAAAACAGGTTTCCCTTTCTCTCTCTGTCTCCCCATCCACCCACTAGAATGCTTTGGGAAGAACCCTGTCTGAGCTACATGCCAACTCTTGCTCCCTCTGGTCATTCGGCCCGCATCCAAGAGCCTACTGTGTGTCGGCAGGCTTAACGTTGCTTCCAGGCTTAACGCGTCCCCAAACTCAGGCTGCGTGACAGGCCAGGGCAGCTTGGCTCTCCCATGCTCAGCATGCAGGGACTTCCCATGTGTGCACTAGACAGAAAGCCTGGAGCCATGGCTCCTGCCCTCTTGGATAAGGGAGGGCAAACTCAGTCCTCTGCGGTGAGTTTGCCTCATAAAGGAGCACATAAGGATTTCCAGTGGCTCTACGTGATGTGCTCCCCCAGAGACCCGTGGCTGGGAGGTGGCTCCCGCCTGTCATCCCAGCGCTTTGGGAGGCCGAGGCGAGAGGATCACTTGAGACCAGGCGTTCAAGACCAGCCTGGCCAACATGGCAAAACCCCATCTCTACTAAAAATACAAAAATTAGCCAGCATGGTGGTGCACACCTATAATCCCAGCTACACAGGAGGCTGAGGCAGGAGAATCTCTTGAACCCAGGATGTGGAGGCTACAGTGAGCTGAGATCACGCCACCGCACTCCAGCCTAGGCAACAGAGCAACATTCTGCCTCTAATTAATTAATTAATTAATTAACTAAATCAAATCAAATCAGGGAAATATCAAGCTTTCTGAATCTAAAAACAAGGCCAGATCCACGTGCTTTTCCTCAAAGCCCAAGTCTGTATATAAAATATTTCATTTCTCAAATGTGTGTTTACTCAGAATACCTTTCTTCTGTGACCCCCCCAGGAGTCCTAAGGAAATGTGGATGAAGCTGCCATGCAGCTGCTAGGACACACTGCAGCCCACGGCCACTAGGCTCACCTGGCTGTCAGGCGCCAGCACAGGCGGTCGGCACGAAGGGCCCCTCATTCCTTTGGAAATCCGTCTGCACTGAGCACCTAAGAGACCAGGACCCTGACAACACAGGGCATCCTTAAGGCTCTCTGACGCTCAGAAAAAGGCTCATCCCTCCATCCTCTTCCTCCTGTCCTGTCCTAGAGAGAACCACCTAAGCCAACCTGCTGACAATCACCGAGCAGCTTGGGGACTGGGGTTGTGGAGGGTGAGACATGGGCCTTCTCTTGCAAGGTGGGGCCTGTCAGGCTGCGGGAGCCCCTGGGAGATGTCTTAAGTGGGCCAAGAGGACTCTGAGGCAGAGGAGGACTCGAGCTAGAATTAGAGGGATGAAAAGTCAAATAAATTACACAAAAGCGGTCCTAGTGGGAGCCGAGAAAGAAGAGCAGGAAAAGGGAGAGTGGGGGGAGGGGAGGAAAGGGGAAGGCCAAAGAGGGTCTGCAAAGCCAGCCAGACCCGAGAGTTCAGAATCCGCCAGGCCATGAGGGACCAGGTTTCCCTGCTGAGGACACCTGCCTCTGGGCAGCCGCTATTCATCTTTATAAACCGGCGAAAGAGCCTGCCTCGTGGGAAACAGAGTTTCCATTTACTACACCGCTTTAATTCAGCTCTCCTCCAGCATCTTCAGCCAGTCAAAACAGATTGTAATTTGATTTAATGAAGCCCATCACTCTCCAACTACCCTCCCCAAAAAAAACAGCCGAATACACTTTTTTTCACCCCACCATTCCCAACTTTGGGATACATCTTTTCTGTTTTGAGATTTCAGGATGGTCTTTTTTCCTTTCCGCTTCCCTCCCTCTGTTCCCTCTGTGGGCAGCTCCTCAGTCACTCTGCCCTCTTGGACTCCGAGGCTATGATGCAGGGATCCCTGGCCCAGGGCCTCCCCTGCGCCCTGTGAGGGCTGAGCCAGGTGACTCCCACGCCTGGCAACTCCAACCAGCCCAATCAACCGAGGGTGACAATGCACCCCCTACCCTCCCTGCTCCCAGGGGAGCTACGAGCGGCTCCGCACTGTGGCCATAAGTCCTGCTGGAGTGGCCACACATGGCAATCATGACTAATTGGCAATCTGAGGCTCACCCGGCTCGTGACCCCAAGGGCACCTTTCTGCAGCCATTATCTGGGAAGGGAAGGGAAAAGGGACCAACCAAAGAGAGCCAGGGAGCGAGCATGAAGAGACTGTTTTCCCCAGTTTTCAAACCTGGGCTCTCCTGGCAGGGCTTCAAGAAGACTGAGTCATTACCTGTCTATACCCACAGGCCCACGTCTCCATGACAAATGCTACAAATGAGAACTGGCCAGGAATTGGGAGGCAAGGTACATACATGCCTTTCACTTTCTGAGAAAGCTGCTGAACCTGCAGTCAACAGCTTGGCCCAGAGGCCTGCAGCCCCATCACAGGGCCAGCCCCACGCACCTGCAGGCACCCTGGCAGCTCAGCCCTGGCCAACACCAGGCCCTTTTTAGCCTTTCCTCTCCCCTCTTCTTTCTGATAATTCCCAGGGTAGAAGACAGAGGGGGAATGTCTTGTAGAATCTCCTTGAATTCTGGAATGTAAATGAAGGCTGCCAACTGATGGCTTTTCTCCAAAACCAGTTCTCTTACCACAAGGGATTTGGTGCTACAGACCTTCAATGTATTCTTTCCTCCCTTCCACCCAAAACCAAAAAACACCACATCTGGAAGTGGAGCTGTGCCGGGATATCAGTAGATTTGGGAGGAATCACCGGAAATCCCAGCGCTGTGGGGCTGGCCAGAACAGCTGCTAGCAGGCCTCCGACTCCTGCAACTACACGGTTGCACTCACACGCCCATGTGCCCCACACACACAGGGAGAGGGGGAGAAGCTTCAAATGGTGCTCCTGTGAGCCCTCTAGCAACTCACACAAGCCAGGCTTGTTGCTTCGGGGCTTCCTGCAACTTTCCCATTTTTAAGATATCTTTGTAAGCTGCACTAAAAGGACTCAGATACCAACTACTGTAGAGGCATTTGAAGAAATACAGGAGGGCATGGCACACACTGTACTGGACTGTCTTGCTTTTAAAACAGGTGCTCCTAAGATGGAGGCTGAGAGACCATCATGGGGAGCCTGGGGCTGAGAGGTGCAGGTCCAAATCCCAAAGGACACTGCCCCAAGCGTGTCCTTTCACAGGGGGCAACGAGCACCCCCTCACCCTCCATCTCAGATTATCAGAGGTGGCACAAGACCATGTGAAATTCCTTGGAATCTTAACCAAAAAAATCAAGAGCATTTGTGTTTGATTTCACCTAACTCAGGACTACACATGATCCATTTTAAAACAAATGGACACAGTAGGAAGGGGCTTTGAATTCTTTCTGAACACATCAAACCCTCAGCATGCTGCCGTTCACAGGCCATGAATGGACACTCTCTCCCCCACACATTGAGAAAAGACAGAGGACAGTGCATGGATTTCAAGAATAATAAGTCTTTTTAAAAAAAAAAAAAACACTATATTATTACTGAACACTAACTTTAGAGCTTTGAAGGAACTTGGCATGTCATCCAGCCCAAGTATGGCAGACTAAATCTCAGAAAAATCACATTTGAATATCAGTATTTGTCTTTTCACAACTTATTTCACTCAATATAATGTCCTCAAGGTTCATCCATGTGGTAGCATGGGTCAGAATTTCCTTCCTTTTCAAGGCTGAGTAATATTCCATTGTGCAGCTCACATTTTGCTGATGACTTCATCTCTTGCTGGACACTCAGATTGCTTCTACCTTTTGGTGACTATGAATAATGCTGCTGCAAACACGGGCATACAAATAGCTCCGAGCCCCTGCTTTCAATTCTTTAGCGTATATACCCAGAAATGGAATTGCTGGACACTAGGATAATTCTGCTTTTAATTACTTTTGCACCAAGATAATAAAAAATAACTAGTGGTTCTTTAAAAATTAAAAATAAAAACTTTGGATAATAAAGTTGAACTTCCTTAAAGCAACAAACAATTCAAACAACTATCTCACAAGTCTCTAGGATTAGTATCAATTTGTGGCAAACAAACCACGTAGCATACTGACTTACACTATTAGTGAGGCATATTTCTGATGACGAAGTGGTACCAAAAATAGGTCCAGCTGTCCTGAAAATGTTTTCTACAAACTAATTTCCTGTGAAAAGACAAAATATGTCAGCCAGGCACGGTGGCTCACACCTGTAATCCCAGCACTTTGGGAGGCTGAGGCGGGTGGAACATGTGGTCAGGAGTTCAAGACCAGCCTGGCCAACATGGTTGAAACCCCGTCTCTACTAAAAATACAAAAATTAGCTGGGCGTGGTGGTGGGCACCTGTAGTCTCAGCTACTCGGGAGGCTGAGGCAGGAGAATCGTTTGAACCTGAGAGGCAGAGGTTGCAGTGAGCCGAGATAGCACCGTTGTACTCCAGCCTGGGGGACAGAGAGATTCTCCATCTCAAAAAAAAATAAAAAAAGAAAAAGAAAAGACAAAATGTCTTAATGTTCACTAGCAAAGCACAGTGCTCCACAGATTTCTATTATGCAGCTGCCCATGCTACATGTCTTTTTTTTTTTGAGACGGAGTCTTGTTCTGTCGCCCAGGCTGGAGTGCAGTGACGGCATCTCAGCTCACTGCAAGCTCCGCCTCCCGGGTTCACGCCATTCTCCTGCCTCAGCCTCCTGAGTAGCTGGGACTACAGGCGCCTGCCACCACACCCAGCCAATTTTTTTGTATTTTTAGTAGAGACGGGTTTTCACCATGTTAGGCAGGATGGTCTTGATCTCCTGACCTCGTGATCCACCCGCCTCAGCCTCCCAAAGTGCTGGGATTACAGGCGTGAGCCACCGCAACCGGCCCTACCCTTACTATATTTCTAAAAGCATTCTTCATGAAAATCAGTTTTGAAATAATATCTGAAAACTTGAAGTCCACTGCATAAATGAAATGAGTAATCATCATTTCTGTCATATCTCTGTCGAGATTAACGACATACAAAAATCTGGATTATGCCACAAGGGAAATTTAAATCTAACATAACCAAGGCTAACAAAAGCACTTGTACATAAGGGATGGGCACAGCTTATGGGTCCCCCGTGCGGGTGGGAGACACTCTAGAACAGTCACTTTCACCTCTTGGTGATCTGGCTCGGCTCCTGCAGATCGGGGTCGAGGTCAAAGACCTCATTATCCAGCAGCCTTCGCAGCGTCACGTCGGCCAGCTGCTCCATGACCTTAAACACCTCATCCAGGTTCAGGAACATGGAGAAGTCACGCTCCTTATTCTGCGTGGTGATTCGGATGGTATCCGTCAGAAAGACATTGGACGTTCTTTCTAATTTCTGGATATCAACCCACGGAACCACAAGTTTAACTGTAAGAGAAAAGGGTGAAATACCTATTATGCCATGAAATTTGAGCCAAACTTGAGTGTGTCAGCAAGCAACTATCCAAAGCTCTCCTTAGGCCGATGTGTAAATGCCTTTTTAAAAAATCTTTTAAGTTCAGGGATACAGGGATACACGTGCAGGTTTGCAATACAGGTAAACTCATGTCATGCGGGTTTGCTGTACAGATTATTTCATCACCCAGGTGTTAAGCCTGGTACCCATTAGTAATTTTTTCTGATCTTCTCCCTCCTCCCACCCTCCACCCTCAAATGGGTGCCTATGTCAGTTCTTCCCCTGTATGTGTCCATGGGTTCTCATCATTTAGCTCCCACTTCTAAGTGGAAACATGCGGTATTTGGTTTTCTTGCGTGTTAATTTGCAAAGCATAATGGCCTCCAGCTCCATCCATGTTCCTGCAAAGGACATGAGCTCATTCTTTTTTATGGCTGCATAGTATTCCATGGTGTACATGTGCCACATTTTCTTTATCCAGTCTACCAATGATGGGCATTTAGGTTGATTCCATGTCTTTGCTATTGTGAATAGTGCTGCAATGAACATACGCACGTATGTGTCTTTATGGTAGACGATTTATATTCCTTTGGATATACACCTAGTAATGGTATCGCTGAATTGAATGGTAGTTCTACTTTTAGTTCTTTGAAGAATTGCCACACTGTTTTCCACAATGATTGAGCTAATTTACACCAGCAATACCATTCTGGACATGGGAACAGGCAAAGATTTTATGATGAAGATGCCAAAAAGCAATTGCAACAGAAGCAAAAACTGACAAATGGGATCTAATTAAGTGAAAGAGCTTCTGCACAGCGAAAGAAACTATCAACAGAGTAAACAGAAGCCTACAGAATAGGGGAAGTTTTTTGCAAACTAGATATCTCACAAAGGTCTAATATCCAGCATCTATAAGGAACTTAAACACATTTACAAGAAAAAAACAAACCACCCTGTTAAAAAGTGGCCAAAGGACACGAACAGACACTTTTCAAAAGAAGACATACATGCGGCCAACAAGCATATGGAAAAAAAAAGCTCAACATCACTGATCATTAGAGAAATGCAAATTAAACCCATAATGAGATGCTACCTCATACCAGTCAGAATGGCTATTACTAAAAAGTCAAAAAATAACAGATGCTGGCGAGGTTGTGGAGAAAAGGAAACATTTATATGCTGCTGGTATAAATACCTTTAAACCAGAGCAGGAAAGAAGAGCACAGACCACTTGCCAGCTGTTGGTCAAAACCCAACTCATGTTCTAATGGTTTTCTTAAAGATCTCAGTAAAACTTCCCAAGCTGCTGGCTACTGCATGTTGCAAAGGAACACTATTCTGAAATACCAAGTTAACAACATATACCTTTCTCAAGAATATTTAAACTTCAACAGTTATGCAAAAGTTTCTCAATCTACATAAATTCTGGTTTCAAAAACAGCATTCACGGTGTAAGCTATGGGAAAAAGAGGTGTGTAAATGAGGATCATTCATGATCTCGTTCAGAGAAATGGACTTAACATTTAGCCTGTGTCAATAACAGTTGTTAGAGTATTAGAAGACAGAGTATAAGCAGTTTTTATGAAACTTTAAAAAAGTAACATAGTACAAACAGTACATTTTAGAAACACCTGGTCTAGTCTCAGAAAGGTTTCTAACAGCAGTAGCCAGGGCTGGCAATACAGAGCCAGCAAGGAGAACAGAAAGTCTAAACATCTGGCGGCTTGCTGTCATCAGAGAGGCATGCAGAACACCTGAAAATCAGAAATGTCACCACATATTAGGAATCATTTATTTTTCCTAAATCTTTTTTTTTTTTTTTGAGGCGGAGTCTTGCTTTATCACCCAGGCTGGAGTGCGCTGGTGCAATCTCGGCTCACTGCAACCTCCACCTCCAGGGTTCAAGCGATTCTCGTGCTTCAGCCTCCCAAGTAACTGGGACCATAGGCGTGCACCACCGTGCCTGGCTAATTTTTGTATTTTTAGTAGAGGCGGGGTTTCCACTGTGCCTGACCTATTTTTTCCAAATCTTATCCTCCTAACACAATAAGGTTTAGTGACAATCACTAATAAGTGTAAGAAAACAATTCATTTTCCTTTTCAAATAGAGAATGACTGTTTTTATTTTTACCATTTCTTTCCATTTATCTTGCAATACCACTTTCAGTGCTTTAATAATTTTAAAGGCCAAATTTCTGCATCAGGCTCAACAATAAACTTCTCCAGCTACTTCTAGCTGCTTTCATAAAAACTCTTTTATACACAGGTATATGCTCCACCTACACCACCAACTTTCATTCATTAAGTATCTCCTTTGCGAAGTGCCTGCCCTGCATTGAAGGAGCTTGTTCACACAGAGAAAACAGACATGCATATTAGTAAGTGACCACTGACTTGCTGGGACCCAGCATAAAAATGCAAATACAGTACAAATAATATAGGGATCAGGGAAGGCTTTTGGATGTGACAAAATCTGAACTGAATTTTGAAGGATGATGGATGAATAGGAGTTTCCAATAGGCTAAGTACAGAGAAAGGAAAGAAAGCCAGGTGTACTTTGAAAAGCATTTCAAAAAGAAGGAAGGTGGCCAAGGTTAGGTCAGGGCACACTCCGAGGGTGTGGAAGGGCTGTGCAGATAGGGTGTATATCCCAGAGCATCAGAACCAAGGCTGGCGAGCTGGAAAAGGAACACCACGTGCCAGAAGCCAGCCACAGCAGACACTCAAGAGAAGCTCCTCTCACTGGTTCAACTTGAAATATAAATGAAGAAAGAAAACAAAATCACACACTCACATATGCAGCATCCATACTACCCAACATGAGCACTTGAAACAATATTTGGTTCTGGAAGAAGTGTCCGTGGGAATGACTTTTTAAACACTCAATACACAATTGACACTTGTGGCTTCTCTTTTTCACCTTGGAATCCCATTGCCTAGGACAATTCCTGCCACTGGATAAACAGGTGAGCAGTGAATCAGTGCATGAATCTCAAGGAAATAGTGAAGAATTCCCCTTCTGGAAGCGACTGCATATCCAGCCAGTCTTCCAAGGGGCAGTCCCGACCTTCAGCGCCAGGAATTTTTTTAATGGCCTGCTTTGTTAAGAAGCAGGAATATGTTCTCCACTTTGAGAAATATTAAGCCATCAGTGATAACACTATGTTTTCTAAACAACTTACAGTAGTAAAAACCCTTTAGTGGCTATATAAAGTGAACTATACAGGATGTTTCTTGAAGCAGTAGAAAAAGTGAATTCTCCAGATCTAATCCCCTGCTAGCAGTAGCATATATAAGTAATCAAGTGTCACCTGGTGTCATCTCCACCATTTATTTAAATCTGTCCAACTCTTCCTGTTAACGGCCCTTCCTGGGAGCAGCGCTGAGTCCCTGGGGCCAACTTTATCTTGGAAGAGCCTGCCAGGCCTCACTTACGTTCCTTGCCCAGGAAGAAGGAGTAGAAGCAGAGGTGGTTGATGCTGAGGTACAGCCAGCCCTGGCGGGGCACCCTGCCCTTCCAACAGCAGCAGGAGTAGTAGGTGACCAGCTTCTCCGCCTCGGGGAAGTTGAACCTGGCCTCGAACTTCACCAGGGCTTCTCGGAATTTCTCGGGTTCCTCCTCCTGCTCGGCGAGCCTGCTGCTGGTCTCCTCGGCTATCAGAGCCTGACACACAGAGATGACAGTCCCTGCTCAGTGAGCCAGCAATGGGAAGGCAGGGGGTGCAAGGGACAGGAAGCAGGAGGGACTGAGGTGCACAGGCCCCCGAGAAGTGTGCGCTGCTTCAACGACAGACACACCTGACGAGGAGAATGGCTCAGCCGTGTCATCCGTCAGCCACCCAGACACACGGCTGCAGCAGAAAAAAAAGGAATGGCAGTCGGGGTCAGAAAACCCAAGAACCAGTCTCTCACTCGGCCACTTACCGATCATGAGGCTCTGGGCAAATCATTTGACTTCTAAGCCCGGTTCTCAAACAAACAATCATTTTCTTTTCTTTTCTTTTTTTTTTTTTTTTTTTTTTTTTTGGAGACGGAGTTTTGTTCTTGTTGCCCAGGCTGGAGTGCAGTGGCACGATCTCAACTCACCGCAACCTCCACCTCCTGGGTTCAAGTGATTCTCCTGCCTCAGCCTCCCAAATAGCTGGGATCACAGGCACGCACCACCACGCTGGGCTAATTTTGTATTTTTAGTAGAGACGGGGTTTCTCCATGTTGGTCAGGCTGGTCTCGAACTCCCGACCTCAGGTGATCCACCTGCCTCAGCCTCCCAAAGTGCTGGGATTACAGGCATGAGCCACCACGCCCGGCCACAAATGATCATTTTCTAAATCTTCCCTATAGGCATATGAGGGTAAAAGGACTGGCTCAGGCCTGTGAACTCAGCATCAATCCCAAAGAACTACCCAACTTTAAGATAAAAGTTAGTCCTTTGAGCGTCCAGGTGTGGTGGTTCACACCTGTAATCCCAGCACTTTGGGAGACGGAGGTGGGCAGATCACTTTAGGCCAGGAGTTTGAGACCAGCCTGACCAACATGGTGAAACCCCATCTCTACTAAAAAATACAAAAATTAGCCAGGTGTGGTGGTGCACCTGCAATCCCAGCTACTTGGGAGGCTGAGGCACAAGAATCGCTTGAACCCCGGAGGCAGAGGTTGCAGTGAGCCAAGATTGTACCACTGCACTCCAACCTGGATGACAGAGTCCTCAAAAAAAAAAAAAGTTAGTCTTTTGAGAAAAACTCATGAAGATCTTCCTTATTAGGTTCAAAAATGTTGGTATTTAAGGCTACTACCTGCCTGACTGTGTGGCTCACTTTGTAGCCTTAAATGGATATTGGCCAAGGTTCCCAAGGTCATAAATAACCTCCAAAGCACTCAGGTCTATGGGAAAACAAAACATCTAAATCTATAATTTTTTGCCAAAACTGAGTAACAAGTAGTGTCCTTCATAATCTGGGGTGGTGGTAGAAGGGCCTAGAATTCAAGCTTGTGGCCTATTTGTTCCTAATTGACAACTCATTGCTAACATCAGAAATCTGATTTCCCATCCCTGGGAGCTCACCACAAAATCCTTCCCTGAGAATATCTTCTTGGTACCTTCATGTGAGCAGCTGTTTAGGAACTCCTGGGCCCCAAGCCTCACATGTGCTACCTGATTATAAAAATACATTTATAATTCAAATCCCAGCTACTCAGGAGGCTGAGGCAGGAGAATCATGTAAGCCCAAAAGTTTGAGGTTACAGTGCACTATGATGGCAACTGTGAACAGCCACTGCACTCCAGCCTGGGCAACACAGCAAGACCCCATCTCTAAAAATACACACATATATATAAATACTTCTATCATTTATTTTTATTAACATTTCTCTTTTTTTTTTTTTGGTAGGTATGTCTCATGAAAAGCTATGTCCCTCAAGACAAGACTACTTTTTGGGTATTGTTATGAAACCCTGCACTACTTTATAAGCTATTTTCAAAATCAAACCCGAGCACTGACATTAAAATAACAATGTAATGTAAAATTATTATTATTATTTTTTTTTTTTTTTTGAGACAGTCTCGCTCTGTCGCCCAGGCTGGAGTGCAGTGGCGTGATCTCGGCTCACTGCAAGCTCTGCCTCCCGGGTTCATGCCATTCTCCTGCCTCAGTCTCCCAAGTAGCTGGGACTACAGGTGCCTGCCACCATGCCTGGCTAATTTCTGTATTTTTAGTAGAGACGGGGTTTCACCGTGTTAGCCAGGATGGTCTCGATTTCCTGACCTCATGATCCACCCGCCTCCCAAAGTGCTGGGATTATAGGCGTGAGCCACCGCGCCCGGCCTAGAATTATTTTTAAAAGAAATCTGGAGGCTGATGAAATTTCAAGTGATTTTTATTTTCTTCATTATGTTTTTCTCTATTTCCCACATTTCATTTAACAAGACATTATACATTAATGAAGTTCTAGTTAAGAGAGATGAGTATTTTTGAAAAGCATATCTAATATATAATGAGTGCTGAGCTCTCCCCTTGCCCTGGAAGTGAGGCGTGGAGGGGTCTTTATGAAGGCTCCGGAGCAGACAGGCAGCAGGCACGGCTGCAGGGTGGTACCCAGTGGCTCCTGATGCAGGCATGAGGTGGCCGTGCTGACCCCTGCCTTCCTTGAAGTGTGGTTTCTGGTTATAGGCACAGCTTGAAACAGGGATTTTTTAAAAGTTTTGTAGAGTCATCAAAGGTTCAGGATATGAGTAGGAAAGCCTCTATTCCCAGATCCTTAGGATTTGGCCAGAGGAAAGGGAGATCAAATGTCATGCTGTGCTCCCAGGCTCAGGCCAGGCAGGCCCCTCACTCCCCAGCCCTGCCTCCTCAGGAATTATTTTTCAAAGCATTTTAGCTTCAAAGTGTCAGGGACTAGAATATGTCACCCCAAAATATGCCACTTTGGCATAAGGATTATTTTGAGCTGAAGAAAACTGAGAAACCACAAACACCAAAAAGGCTCTCTGTCTTCCCCTGGCATTTGCCTAAAAACAGGACCTGTTTTTAAAGGTCCATTTGTCGAGGTGTGTCCTGCTCCTGTACCAGAAAGAGGACTTTGACTCTCAGTCACCAGAAACAGCTCTTGACCCTCCCAAGTCCAGAAACAGCCCTGAGAGGAATCTACATAACAAACCTCACTAAAATAATCCTTAGCTTCTATGAGTTTCCCACACAGTACACTGCCCCCAAAAGCCTAAAGGCCTTTTCCCTAGTCTTGTCACCTTTCTACAAATGCACTGTTCTTTGCTGAGATGCTATGTAAGCCCAAGTGCTAACCACCCCTGTGAGTTACTCATCACTGAGTTTCTGTTACATATATGCATGCTTTTGTGTTCAAATAAAGTCTGTTTGGCTGGGCGTGGTGGCTCACATCTATAATCCCAGCACTTTGGGAAGCCAAGGCAGGAGGATTGCTTGAGCCCAGGAGTTCGATCAGCTTGGGCAACATAATGAGACTTCGTCTCTACAAAAAATAAAAACATTAGCCAGGTGTGGTGGTGTGTGCTTGCAGCCCCAGCTACATGGGAGGCTGAGGCAGGAGGATCACTTGAGCCTGGGAGGTCAAGGCTGATGTGAGCCACGATTGCACCACTGCACTCCAGCCTGAGTGACAGAGCAAGACCCTGTCTCAAAAAAACAACCAACAAAAATAAACTCTGTTTTTCTCTTGTTAATCTTTTGTCAGTGTAATTTCCAGGGCCCCAGCCATGAAATCTAGGAGAGTCAAGGACAAGTTTTCTTATTCTACAGAAGCCGTTTTAAAATCACTGTAGCGAAAGTTAATTTTCTTCCTCCAAATTAAGAAGAGCAACACCTAAATCAAATAACCACTACAACTTGCATTAGACCAAGAAACGCAGGGTAAGTGTGAAAAATAGTGCTGAATGGGGCCTTTCTGTAGCTACCCCAGTATGATCTGACCCAGGGAAGTGAGCCACAGTTGGCTGGGCCAGGATGAGGGCTGACCCGAGCCCACCAACGCCTAGCCCACCCCCTAACCCCACAGGCCAGGTATAACTCCAAGAAGACATTGTCAAGCTGGCTGGACTTGGGATGCCTTCCCTTTCACCAAATCCCACAAGTAACCCCCAGTCCCCAAAGGAAAAAATTTTGTTCCTCCAAAATCAAAAATCTGCTTTGACACCCTTTACTAAAAGCCATAGCACTTGACGTATTAGAAAGCCAAGCTTTTTGCAGAAAACAAACAAAATCGAAGGGCTAGGAGGTTTTACCCTAAGGAAGGAAAACTGTATCATACGCTAATGTGTTAAAGTATTTAATGAGAGAGTTAAATTTAGAATGAGAAACCATCTCTCCCAACCCGATGGGGCTTTTAAAGCACTGATTACCCATCATGTTATTGCAGTGAGGCCAGTTATATAAGACTGTAACTCACAGGAGGTATCACAGATACCTCCAAAAATATTCCTCTCTTGCCAACTCAAAACTTAATTGGCTTTCATTACATTTAATTTACATATTTTAAGAATAAACATCCACTTCTAGCAGGAGGAAAGTGGTAGATCCAACAGAACAGTGTGACAAGATGTCACAACTGCAAAAAAAAAAAAAAGGTGATTTAAGAAGTCAAATAATGTGTTGCTCTGCGGAAACATAAATCTTAACACTATTTTTTTTTCCTGGGATAAAAAAAGGCCTTCACTCCTGTAAAGGATAACAAAAACTAAGTCTGAGAATAAAGTCTTTTTTATTTTTTATTTTTTTTTTTTGAGACAGAGTCTCACTTTGTCGCCCAGGCGGGAGTGCAGTGGCTCTGTCTCGGCTCACTGCAAGCACCACCTCCCGGGTTCACGCCATTCTCTTGCCTCAGCCTCCCGAGTAGCTGGACTACAGGTGCCCGCCACCATGCCCAGCTAATTTTTTTTGTATTTTTTAGTACAGATGGGGTTTTACCGTGTTAGCCAGGATGGTCTCGACCTCCTGACCTCGTGATCTGCCTGCCTCGGCCTCCCAAAGTGCTGGGATTACAGGCGTGAGCCACCGTGCCCAGCCAAGTCTTTTTTTTTTTTTTTTTTTAACATGTCAGGTGTATTTTGCTAGACTGACTACAAAGTTAAGACAGGTGATAAATGAAACTTATTTGGCATTACGTATTGAGCCAAAAGTTCAGTTAGTAGGAAAAACTGTTAGTATGCTACAGTGTTCGGAATGTCTTAAGGAAGAAAGATGGAAAGATGGGGAGAAACATGAAACTCAGGGGACCTACCTTTACCTTCCCTTTGACAAAACTGGCAATGTCATCTTTATTATCAAAGACAGACAAGGTGTGGAGGAGATTTTGTTCCAGCCAGTCCCAGTGCTGATTGATTTCCTCTAATGTTGCACCTGGATTCAAACAGAAAAAGATACAGAGATTAAAAAATGCAATAGAAGTAATTCCTAGAACGTTAACTCATTTTCCAAATATTGTGTATCCCCATGTTGATGTTAAAACATCTGGCCTTGGCCAGGCGCAGTGGCTCACGCCTGTAATCCCAGGACTTTGGGAGACCAAGGCAGGCGGATCACAAGGTCAGGAGATCGAACCATCCTGGCTAACAAGGTGAAACTCTGTCTCTACTAAAAATGCAAAAAATTAGCCGGGCGTGGTGGCGGGCACCTGTAGTCCCAGCTACTCGGGAGGCTGAGGCAGGAGAATGGCATGAACCCAGGAGGCGGAGCTTGCAGTGAGCCGAGATGGCATCACTGCATTCCAGCCTGGGCGAGAGTGCGAGACTCCGTCTCAAAAAAAAAAAAATCTTGCCTCTCATACCCTGGGCCACAGTTTGCCAGATGAAAAGGAAGGCACCCCCATAGGGGCCGTGGTGCTCCTCCCTGCAGGACTGGGATGTGCAAGCGTCACTCCCACTGCCACAAAGATGGGCCAGGTGGCCAAGTGAGTTACCGCTGGGACTGTTCTATGACCATCCCACCCACCCTACTAACGCAAAGAACTCTGACCATCTCCACTCAAATGACAGAAACATTTCTAATGATTCAGCTACTCCGGCATGGAACAAGCCCTGAGTAGCAGACCAATCCTAAGCAGCCTTGCAAAGTTCTCCCATGAAAACAAGGGTGCCTTCAAGAAGTACTAAAGCCCAAGTCCACGGAGGAATGAGCCTCTTGCCAGGGCCAGGGACTGCCACTTGCACCCAACATTGCTGCAACACAACAAGCAAGGGCCTAGGAAATTTACAGCTTACAAATGCATACTTCATATCATTTATAGCAATGACCGTTAAAAACATACATAAAAAGAGGTCTTACGGTACATGTTAAAATAGAAACACAAAAGCATTAAATCAAAGGCGTAAATTCATTTCTTTCAATGACAATTTTTTTAAATCACCACATTATTAAAGCATTAAGCAAAAAGCTTAGTCATTTTAGTTGTCTGTATTTCCTCTCTATTCTCATCATCTCTACTGGACAATGGGCACTTTAACACAGGGACTACTTCCAGCTCCTCATGAAGGGCCTGGCACACAGCAGATGCTCAGTAAGCACACGACTAGAAGCACACACGGTCCTGGACAACAAAAGGCACGTGGGCATCAGGTGTTTCTACTGTAGGCAGGTTTCCAAAATGGGAAGCAGGAGATATTCTAACCTCAAAGAAATTAGACAACAACAGAGCTGAATCATCTAGCCAGTGTGAGAGGGATATGGTGCCCAGAGCCACACACCACTTACTCAAAAGCCAGATATGGACCGGGTGCAGTGGCTCACGCCTGTAATCCCAGCACTTTGGGAGGCCGAGGTGAATGGATCACTTGAGGTCAGGAGTTTGAGACCAGCCTGGCCTACATGATAAAACTCCATCTCTACTAAACATACAAAAATTAGCCAGTCACGGTGGTGGGCCCCCCTAATCCCAGCTTCTTGGGAGGCTGGGTCAGGAGAATCTGTCGAACCTGGGAGGCGGAGATTGCAGTGAGCCGAGATCACGCCATTGCAATCCAGCCTGGGTGACAGAGCAAGACTCTGTCTCAAAAAAAAAAAAAAAAAAAAAAAGCCAGGCATGCATTTTGCTCAGTCATCTTTCTCTCTGCATGTTATGTGCAGCCTTCCTCTCCCTGGAATGTAAATATAAACACCCCACACAAGAAGGTGCCAGGGGACCGGCTCTGGACTTGTGGCTGCTTTGGAGTCCATGAGAATGAAAAACATCTATCTGTAGTAGGACTGTTGTTCTGAGCGGACACTTAGGGAAGGAATAAAAAGAAGTATCTAATAGAATATTTCATAAGGAATAATGAAAGTTTAAAACAGTGGTGCCTATTTTGTATTTCTTGGGCAAGGCATTGGCCAAAGCAGTATCCTTCAGTCATCACTAAAGCCAGTGTTCTCATCAGAGCTGGGAGGGCCAGCCCAGGCTTCTCTCTGCCTGAGGTCTCTATTCACAGGCCATGACTTCCCCGGTCCCTACACCAAGAGCACTTAGTCAATGACCCTGCCCTGCTGCCCCTCGGTCCCACCTCCCGTGTCATGCTCTCCATGGATCACAGAAGTCCAAGCAGCAGCCCACTCAGGTGTAGCAGAAGCTTCCTCTGAGGTGAGGGGTCCCGGTCCTCTTGCTCTCCACTTCCTGCCATCTGGGAGGGCTCCTGCGGTGTCACAAAGCCCCTGGCCCTTCAGGCTCCCCATCCCTCTTACAATCAGGAAAGCTTATTTTAAAACAAAATCAAACCCAGCTACTCTAGGCTCCCCAGCATGACTCTCTTGAAGCTTCCGACCTTTCCCTACCTGCACTGAGGCCCAGAGCGTCTGCTTGGTTCCTCAGCTGGTCGTAACACACGCCATGCTGGCCCGACTTAGGGGTACATCTGGTTTACCTGCCTCTGGCTTAAGTCTCCCTGCCCTGTTCAGTGCTCCCAGGTGGCAGGTGTGTAGGTGTCAGCCACAAGAACACCCTCGTCTAAATCCAGTGGGTCAGCAATGGTGTCTCTCTATCACATCACTAAGTCGGGTTCCACCCAAGCTGATAATCTTGCACAAGCACCTGGGGTAGCCCAGGGCTCTGCTTTTCCTGGGTACTTTAAGACCTTTTCTTTCTAGGTCTTTATCCTTTATTATCCATTACAATAAAACCTGTCACTCAGAATAAAGAAAAAAAAAAAACAAGTGAAGAATAAGCTAAAAAGGGAGCATTTTATGGGACCTCGATCTTTTGCTATTTGTTTTCATGGACTCATTGATCCAGAAGAAGAGAGAACTAAGAGTTGCAGGAACGAAGAAGAACTAAAGCAGGGAGAAGACTCACCTTTGTGGTGCTAGTCTGTTCCAGATGCTATCTCACAGATCTGTGATGAAGACTGAATGAGGAAATGGAGGCTCAAGTATTTGTCCAAAATCATATCAAATGAAGGGCAAACCAGGGCATGAAATGACTCTCTACAACTTCAAAGTACTCTAGGGTCCTTCCATAAAAAGCTATATTTGAATCATTATTATTTATTATTTTTTTGGAGATGGAGTCTCTGTCACCCAGGCTGAAGTTCAGTGGTATGATCTTGGCTCACTGTAACTCTGCCTCCCGGGTTCAAGTGATTCTCCCACCTCAGCCTCCCAAATAGCTGGGACCACAGGCGCACACCACCACGCCTGGCTAACTTTTGTATTGTTAGTAGAGACGGGGTTTCACCATGTTTGTCAGGCTGGCATCGAACTCCTGACCTCGTGATCCGCCCGCCTTGGCCTCCCAAAGTGCTGGGATTACAGGAGTGAGCCACCGCGCCCAGCCCTGCTAATTTGAATTTTTAAGTATCATTTACATCATCCTCAGGCCCAGTTCTTGCTATGGCTGGGCATTAAAAAAGATACTTTGTGCTTCCACTTACAGCGAGCTGTCTCCCTCCACTCCCATCCTCCCAAATGCATCCTTTCGGACGACCTGATACAGGTTTTCATTTATCCTGCTATTAAGCTCACAGGGGCTAACACCGTTAACTGATACCAGCTAACCGCATGCGTCTTCCTCAATGATAACTTTAGATAACGTGAATAAATTATCATCAAGCTCCAACACAATATATCCCTATGGAATTAAGATTTGAGACAAAGTCATCAAAAAACTAGACTTTTATTCTTTAAAAAATTCATTCTAACCTATTAGGAAGGAGCTTATCATAGAGAAAGATAATTCTAAAACAAAAACAAACCCACACCTTAAAAGAGAAAATAAACCACACATAAAAAAAACTATCACTGAGCTATAGTAAGCTTTTGTTCCAATCTACCCTGCTCCTGAATATAAGACATAATTGTATGCTTCTCCCAGCAAAGACAATCAATATGATGAAACTTTTCCACCCTACTGGCTTCTATTTCCTACACAAGTTGCCAAATGGCAGGGAAATTTTCCAGACTGTAATTTCCTCTGCAGAGAAGTCTTATGATGGGTTCCACAAATTCCACAAATCAATGCAAGCCAACTGCATGTCCGTGACCGCAAAAGATTAAAAGGGAAAGTCCTTTAATATATGTCACATATCACAGTTCTCAAACTACACTACAGCAGTTTTTCAAATTACATAAAGTAGCACATCTGAAAATACCTTTTTTCAAAAAAAAAAATAGAAAACAGAATACATGCAAACTCCTAAGGATAGCTACTGATTTGTAAAATATTTGTTAGAGTTATGCACACACATGTGAATATATTTCTGTCTGTGGGTCATGGCCAAAAAAAAAACTGAAAGCCACTGCATTATAGACATACCAGCAGTGGGAAGGGTAGAGAAGAGAAAACAAGAAAGTGAGAATGTGTCATCCATTGAAGACGCAGGATGATAAAAAGCCTACAAATTAACTCAGTACCACAGCAATGTTCTCACTGCTGCTTCTGCTGACTTTCCAAAGCCAAGACAGAGGAGAGCTGCTATTATGGCCTGAATTTTGTCTCCCCAAAATTCATGTTGAAGCCCCTGCTCCCAGTGGGAGTGTGTTTGGAGATAGCACTTTTAAGGAGGTATACGGTTAAATAAGGTCATTAAAGCAGGGCTCTAGTTTGGCCTGACTGGTGTCCTTATAAGAAGAGACACCGGGGAAGTGCACCCATGGAGAAAAGGCCATGTGAGGACACAGAGAGAAGGCTGCTGTCTGCAATCCAAGGAGAGAGGAGACCTCACCAGAAACCAACCCTGCTGGCACCTTGATCCTGGACTTCCCAGGCTCCAGAACTGTGAGAAATCAATGCTTGTTATTTAAGCCACTCAGTGTGTGGAGGGGGATGGAGGTGAGGTAGAGGTGGGGAGCAGCTCTAGCAAACTAATGCAGCTGTCTAAAACCAAAATTTATAGCAATATTGTGGACCATCATGGAAGTACAATTAGTGAAACTACGCCTGTCTTATTAAGACCTCCAATTTTTCAAAAAAAGACTTTTTCGTTTTCTAAGAAAATGAAAGTCCAGTGAATCTTAAACTTCACCCACATAAGAAGTCAAAAGTCAGAGTTATAAATGCCTCTGCAAAACTAAAATTCAGTATTAGAAACCTCAGGTAAGACCACATAACGAACAACACTGATGACTTAGGAGTAACCAAATCCATGTTCTGAGAACAACCAGAGGTGGTCAACAGAGGACATCTTCTGGATGCCTGACATGTGTCAGGAATTTTGTTCCATATACCATACACATAATATTACTTATCTCCATAAAATACATAAAAAACAAGGTAACTGCCAGTATTTTAATTTTCTAGGTGAGAAGAGCAAAGTGAAAAAAATAACCAACCCGAAAGCCAATTCATCTGACTCGGGCCTGGCTCTGCCCATGACATCGTCATGGATGGAAGCTCCCAGTGGCTGAGTCACACTGAAACGCACACACAATATTTATTCTCTTAGGTTTTTCCCAGAGGTGTTTTCAGGAAATAAAACAAGCATCTCATTGTCTATGCCCACAGCTCCTGCATGGACACTGCCACAAAGAACTTGATCCAAGCTTGTTTTCAAAAGCAGCTGCTTCTCTCTGCACAGTAAATATCCAACTGAATTAAGTGCCTTCTCCAGCCACCTAAGTCCTAATCAACAATGAAATGGGCATTCTGTGTGTATAGTTCAGATCTGTTCCTCTGAAATGACAAGACATTTCTCTACAGGCCAAACACTAACCATCTACTGTCTAAATGCCTGGGCTAAAAGCCATACAGACTACAAAGGAGCTAGTTAAAAGTTAACTGTCATGGCAATGTCATTCCCAAATCTCACTCAACACTCACCCTGTGCAGGGTAACTCAGGATCAAAGAATTCAAGCAAAAATTACAAATGAAGGAGGGAAAGGGTTGGAACAAAAAGCCTTTGATTTTCAGAGAGCTGACATTCTTCAAGTGGATACTGTAACATCTAATCTGTAAGTCGAAAGCAGTATCTTTACAAGAACATGAAAAAGTTCAATGATCATCCCATCATCATGATTTACAAGATTTTCAGTCGGGTATATTTCTCACTATAGAGTTTAAGAAAATAAGCTTTAAATGTTTCTTTTTACAAAATTTCCTTGGCTTTTTTTTGCCTTCAAGTGAAATTAAAGAGTCCTAAAAGTGAAAAACAGACAAACTTAATCTCTGCAACAATAAAATTAAAATAGCCTTTTAATTTATAATTGAAGTGGTCATTAAAATGTCCTTGTAATAGTACCATTAGACATACTTTTCAGAAATAAAAGCAGGAATAGAAGACACAGGAAAAACATGATGTGATCAAATGAAAAATCAGTAAGTAGAAACAGAGTCAGAAATGACACAAAAAATAGAATCAGTAGACCAAGACATAAAACAGCTATTATAAATATACTCTAAGGCAGGCACAGTGGCTCATGCCTGTAATCTCAACACTTTGGGAGGCCGAGGCAGGCAGATCACCTGATCAGGAGTTTGAGACCAGCCTGGCCAACATGGTGAAACCCGGTCGGTCTTTACTAAAAATACAAAAATTAGTTGGGTGTGGTGGCGGGTGCTGGTAGTCCCAGCTACTCAGGAGGCTGAGGCAAGAGAATTGCTTGAACCCGGGAGATGGAGGTTGCAGTGAGCCGAGATCACGCCACTGCACTCCAGCCTGGGCGAAACAGCAAGAGTTCATCTCAAAAAAATAAAATAAAATAAAATAAATATAAATATACTCCATATGTTCAAATGGTAGAAGAAGGTACAGGCCTGTTAAGAAGCCAAATGGAAGACATTTAAAAAGACCCAGCTCAAACCTTTAGGAATGAGAAATATGGTATTTACATAAGATTAAATCAATATGGGGGAAAAATCAATTCTTAAAAAAATGGATAAAGTTAACTATTGGGTTATTAAAATAATTACACAGCAAAAATAACTAATTAAATAGTGTTTTGATTACACATATGTACAGACATACCTCAAAAATATTATGGGTTCAGTTCCAGACCCATGAAATTAAGGAAATATCACAATAAAGTAAGTCACACAAATGTTTTGCCTTCCCAGTGCATATACTGGCCTGGCGCAGTGGCTCATGCCTGTAATCCCAGCACACTGGGAGGCTGAGGCGGGCAGATCACAAGGTCAGGAGTTTGAGACCAGCCTGGCCAACGTGGCGAAACCCCGTCTCTATTAAAAATACGAAAGTTAGCCAGATGTGGTGGCATGCACCTGTAATCTCAGCTACTCGAGAGGCTGAGGCAGGAGAATTTCTTGAATTCAGGAGGCAGAAGTTGCAGTGAGCGGAGATCGAGTGCCACTGCACTCCAGCCTGGGCGACAGAGCGAGAGTATCCCAAAAAAAAAAAAAAAAAAAAAAAAATCAAAGTTATACTGACACTATACTGTAGTCTATTAAGTGTGCGATTGCATTATTACGAATCCTCCCATCTCCTCTCTCCTGCTGTTTCTGGTGGCCTCTGACCATGTATTTGTATGGTGTTGGAGATACAGCCAGTGGCTATGGGAGGAAGGTGCTTTCTGGCTGGCAGAGTGTTTACGACTTCAGTTCTTACATCAAATGCACCTTGCTAAATCTAAACAACCAGCTGTCTATTAAAATAATGAATCCTCCTCTCTTATAAGGTAGACGTACAGCCATGACAAGGTACTATACTGGCCTTTAAGGCATTTTGTTCCAAATACTGCATGGGAAGAGTAAAATGTTCTCTCTTCAAGAGCAGTGGTGACAATCACAGATGACCAAGCTTGAAGAACACAGTTTTCACAGACTGTCGTGGGGGACGTTGAGATCAGGGACAGGCATACCTTGGAGATAGTGTGGGTTTGGTTCTAGACCACCACGATAAAGCAAGTATCACAATTAAGTGAGTCACTCGCAGGTTTTTAAATTTCCCAATGCATATAAAAATTATGTTCACAGTATGCTGTTAGTCTATTAAGTGTGCGAAAGCATTACGTCTTCTAAAAAGTACATGTCTTACCTAGAGAATACTTTATGGCTTAAAAAAACATTCATGATTATCTGAGCCTTCAGCAAGTCATAATCTTTTTGCTGCTGGAAGGTCTTGCCTTAATGTTGATGGCTGCTGACTGTCAGTGTGCTGGCTGCTGAAAGTTGGGATGGCTGTGACAATTTCTCAACATAAAATGACAATGAAGTTTCTGGCACGATTGACTCTCTCTTTCACGAAGATGCTGTTGGTAGCATTTTGCCCACAGTAAAACTTTTCAAATTTGGAGTCAATTCTCTCAAACTGCTGCTTTATGAACTAAGGTTTATGAAATACTCTAAATCCTTTGTTGTCATTTCAACAATGTGTGAAGCGTTCAACAATGTTTCAACAGCCTCTTCACCAGGAGTAGATGCCCTCTCAAGAAGCCACTTTCTTTGCTCATCAGTAAGAAGCAACTCCTCATTCGTTCAAGTTTAATGAGATTGCAGCAATTCAGTCCCATCTTCAGGCTCCACTTCTAATTCCAGTTCTCTTGCTGTTTCCACCACATCTGCAGTGACTCCCTCCACTGAAGCCTTGAACCCCCGAAGCCCTCAAAGTCATCCACGAGGATTAGAATCAACTTCTTCCAAACTCCTATTAATGTTGGTATTTTGACCTCCTTCCAAGAATCACAAATGTGCCTCAGGCATCTAAAATGGCAAATCCTGACTATGACCTGCGGCAGCAGCTGAGACACCTGCGAAGGGATGCATCTTTTCTTCTGTAGGCTTGAGTCAAGAACTCTCGGTCTTCTTGGTAATACCGGGTTGGATGTCAAAAGTTGCAGAAAAAAGACCAGAACGTTCAGGAAAAAACTTAACTGTATCCAGCAATTCAGATATAGCGAAAGTGAAGTCAATGTTCCAGGAAGTTCTTCCAAAACAAAGGTAGTTGTCTCTGGAAGATGGAACCACAGTGGTGGTATGTAAACCCAAACTTTTACCCTTAAAATCTCTGACTCTGGTAAAATTAGAGAAAATGCACCAAGCAGCACAGGATACAATTCGCCAACAAGAAATGGCAGAAAAGGAACAATGGCAAATAACCCACTGGATGATACCTTAGCACTTTAGGGAACAATCTGCCTTATCTACTATTTAACAATAACTTGGCTGTATGTGGTGGCTCATGCCTGTAATCCCAGCACTTTGGGAGGCCAACGCAGGGAGATCACCTGAGGTCAGGAGTTCGAGACCAGCCTGGCCAACATGGTGAAACCCTGTCTCAACTAAAAATACAAAAATTAGCTGAGCGTGGTGGTGGGGCGCCTGTAATCCCAGATACTCAGGAGGCTGAGGCTCAAGAATCGCTTGAACCTGGGAGGCGGAGGCTGCAGTCAGCAGAGATCGCGCCACTGCACTCCAGCCTGGGCGACAAGAGCAAGACTCCGTTTCAAGAAAAAAAAAAAAAAAGGCCAGGCATGGTGGCTCACATCTGTAATCCCAGCATTTTGGAGGCCGAGGCGGGTGGATCATGAGAGCAGGAGTTCGGAACCAGCCTGGCCAATATGGTGAAACCCCATCTCTACTAAAAATACAAAAATTAGCTGGGCGTGGTGGCAGGCACCTGTAGTCTACTCGGGAGGCTGAGGCATAAGAATCCCTTGAATCCGGAAGGCGGAGCTTGCAGTGACCCAAGATCACGCCACTGCACTCCAGCCTAGGCAACAGAGTGAGATTACGTCTCAAAAAAAAAAAAGGCCAGGCACAGTGGCTTACGCCTGTAATCCCAGCACTTTGGGAGGCTGAGGTGGGCGGATCACCTAAGGTTGGGAGTTTGAGACCAGCCTGACCAACATGGAGAAATCCCGTCTCTACTAAAAATACAAAATTTGCCGGGCGTGGTGGTGCTTGCCTGTAATCCCAGCTACTCAGGAGGCTGAGGCAGGAGAACTGCTTGAACCTGGGAGGCGGAGGTTGCAGTGAGCCGAGATCGTGCCATTGCACTCCGGCCTGGGCAACAAGAGCGAAACTCCATCTCAAAAACAAAACAAAACAAAACAAACCAATAACTAGAAAATAAGGTGCAATGAAAGTATTTGTTAATAATATCAATAAAATTGATAATATTCATATAAATAATATAAAAATGCCCAAGATTGATAGAACTTGTATTGTGAATTTAAACACTCTGGTTTGTATTAAACATAGCAGTTAAACTTTGAACCAAATTTTATGGGATTTTTTTTCTCAAGTCATGTTTTTAGAATTGCAAATTAAATTATTCACTATTCTTATCGCTTTCAGTTTTACAGATAACATTCTTGGACACAAGGAACTAAATACAACATTTATATACAGAGCATGTTTACTTTTTTTTTTTTTTTCACACGGAATTTTGCTCTTGTTGCCCAGGCTGGAGTGCAATAGCGTGATCTCGGCTCACTGCAACCTCCGCCTCCTGGGTTGAGGCGATTCTCCTGCCTCAGTTTCCTGAGTAGCTGGGATTACAGGCACCCACGACCACGCCCAGCTAATTTTTAGTATTTTCAGTAGAGATGTGGTTTCATCACATTGGTCAGGCTGGTCTTGAACTCCTGACCTCAGGTGATCTACCCGCCTCGACCTCCCAAAGTGCTGGGATTACATGTGTGAGCCACTGCTCCCGGCCTACATTTTTATTAAAAACCTGAATTTGAAGATACATTCCAATCTTACATAAAGTTCATGTTGGGTTTTTACATTACCTAATTAGAAAAAACCTTTTTTAACCAATTTTCTGTGCCATGTTATGTTAAATACTATTAAATATCTTGTGTGACCAACCGATCCTACCAGTAAAGGCAAAACTGTGTCTTAAAACAAATCTGATTTTTTTTTTTTTTGAGATAGAGTCTCACTCTGTTGCCCAGGCTGGAGTGCAGTGGCACAATATCAGCTCACTGCAACCTCCGCCTCTCAGGTTCAAGCAATTCTCCTGCCTCAGCCTCCCTAGGAGCTAGGATTACAGGTGCCCACCACCATGCCCTGCTAATTTTTGTATTTTTAGTACAGACGGGGTTTCACCATGTTGGCCAGGCTAGTCTCAAACTCCTGACCTCAGGTGATCTGCCTGCATCAGCCTCCCAAAGTGCTGGGATTACAGGCGTGAGCCATCGCGCCCAGCCAACAAATCTGATTTTTAAGAAACCCTCACCTATTCTGTAGTCAGCTAAGCTTCTAATTACATTAATTTCAAGGACTTGAGAATTACATTTCTGCCTTTATCATCCACGTATCAAACAATTACAAACCTAAAAATGGTTACTGTAATTATCTACATAAGCCTAAATAATATGGACTTGAAAGACCCCAGGAGGTCAATATACATATTAAACTTGGATTTTTAATTCTAAAACATTGTACCTAAGCCTCTAATAGATACATTGCTAAAAGTATCTTTGTAAATTCTGAATGTAATTCTTGGGGGTTTGTCTCAGTCAATAATAGGCAATTTAAATTAGCATCGGCCAGGCCAGGCACGATGGCTCATGCCTGTAATCCCAGCACTTTGGGAGGCTGAGGCGGGCGGATCACGAGGTCAGGAGATGGAGACCATCCTGGCTAATACGGTGAAACTCCGTCTCTACTAAAAATATTTTTAAAAATTAGCCAGGTGTGGTGGTGGGCGCCTATTATAGTCCCAGCTACTCGGGAGGCTGAGGCAGGAGAATGGTGTGAACCCGGGAGGCGGAGCTTGCAGTGAGCCGAGATCGCACCACTGCACTCCAGCCAGGGCGACACAGCGAGACTCCGTCTCAAAAACAAACAAACAAACAAACAAATAAATAAATAAATAAATAAATAAGCATCGGCCTTAAGGCCTGGTTATTGGGCCCTGTGGGGAGGCTAGAAATGTGATCATTCTTTAGTTAATTGTTATTGACTGGTAGGTGATATTTTCTCAGATATTAAGTAAATGTAAAGCTTTGGGTATTTGGAGAATAACTTTCTATAACACTAACCATTATTTGATAATAGAACTTAAGAATGATGAAAGGTATTATACATTTTAGAAATTTAACCCAGGTCTAGATCAGAGTAGTAAACAATGGAGAAAAGTGTGCCTGTGTTTTTCCCCAGTTTAATTTTAAATAATTTACTATTGTACTCTCATTTTAAAAGTTTGCAGGGAAAAAAAAAGTTTTCAAGGCACACAGATTAAATTCACTAAGTTCAAATATGCATCCTTATATGATTTAAAATTTGCTGTGTGAAATTTAAAAGTGTTTTTAAAGATCTAAAATAAAGGTACTACAAATTTAAAAAATCAAAAAATAAAATGGTGCTTTCCAGAACGTTTTCAATTTACTTTGCCCAGATGAATCAGAGGAATCACAATTCATCTATGCAACTATAGCCTTATGAAATGTATTTCTTAAATAATAAGACTTGAAAGTCAAAATTACTCCTTGACCCATGGGCTGCAGAATGGATGTTGTATTAGCAGGCATGAAAGCAACATTAATCTCCTTGTACATCTTCATCAAGCTCTTGGGCAACCAGGTGCATTGTCAATAAGCAGTAATACTTTGAAAGGTATCTTTTTTTCTGAGCATTAGGTCTCAACAACAGGTATGTTAATCTGTTTGCACTGCTATAAAGGAATACCTGAGGCTGGGTAATTTATAAAGGAAAGAGGTTTAATTGGCTCACAGTTCTGCAGGCTATATGGAAAACACTGCACCAGCATCTGCTCCTGGTGAGGCCTCGGGAAGCTTACAATCATGGCAGAAGGCAAAGGGGGAGCAGGTGTGTCAAAAGGAGAGGGGCAGGAGAGAGAGAGAAGGAGAGAGAGAGAAAAAGAGAGCACAAAAGAGAGAAGGGAGAGGCCCCAGGCTCTCTTAACCAACCAAATCTCGTGTGAACTGAGTAAGAACTCACTCATCACCAAGGGGATGGCACTAAGCCAGCAGTCCCCAAACTTTCTGGCACCAGAGACCAATTTTGTGGGAGACAATTTTTCCATGGACCATGGGGGATGGTTTTGGGATGAAACTGTTCCACCTCGGATCATCATCAGGCATTGGTTAGATTCCCATAAGGAGTACTTGACCCAGATGCCTCGCATGCACAGTTCACAATAGGGGGTCACACTCCTATGAGAGTCTAATGCCACCACTGATCTGACAGGAGGCCAAGCTCAGGCAGTAATGTGCACTTGCCTGCCGCTCACCTCGTCCTGTGTGGTCCAGTTCCTAACAGGCCACAAATTGGTACCAAATTGGTACTAATCTGTGGCCCGTGGGTTGGGGACCTATGCACTCAGCCATTCAAGAGGGATCTGCCCCCCGACCCAAACACTTCCCACTAGGCCCACCTCCAACGTTGGAGGTCACATTTCAATATGAGATTCGAAGGGGACAAAACACCCAAATCATATCAGTGGGCTTCAGATATTCAGTAAATCATGCTATAAACAGATGTGCTGTCATGCAGGCTTTGTTGTTCCATTTATAAAGCACAGGCAGAATACATTTACCATAGTTCTTAAGGGCCCTAGGATTTTCAGAATGGTCAGTGAGTACTGGCTTCAACTTGAAGTCACCAGGCATGTTAGCCCCTATATCAAGAGGAGCTTTGAAGCCAGGCACTCACTAACTTTTCCTCTCCAGCTATACAATTTCTAGATAGCATCTTCTTCCAACAGAAGGCTCTTTCATCTACATTGTTTTATTTTTTTTATTTTTTATTTTATTTTATTTTATTTTATTTATTTTTTTTTTTGGAGATGGAGTCTTGCTCTGTTGCCCAGGCTGGAGTGCAGTGCCACGATCTCGGCTCACTGCAACCTCCGCCTCCTGGGTTCATGCCATTCTCCTGGCTCAGCCTCCCCAGTAGCTGGGAATACAGGTGCCCGCCACCACGCCCAGCTACTTTTTTGTATTTTTAATACAGATGGGGTTTCACCGTGTTAGCCAGGATGGTCTCGATCTCCTGACCTCGTGATCCGCCCGCCTCGGCCTCCCAAAGTGCTGGGATTTACAGGCGTGAGCCACCACACCCGGCCATCTACATTGTTTTAAAGTCAGTTGTGTAGTGTGGCAACCTTCATCAACGAGCTCTGCTGGACCTTCTGGATATTATAACTCACTGCAGCTTCTCCATCAGTACTTGCTGCTTCACCTTGTACTTTTATGTTATGGAGATGGCTGCTTTCCCTAAACCTGATTAACCAACATCTGCTAGCTTCAAACTTTTCTTCTGCAGCTTCCTCATATCTCTCAACCTTCACAGAATTTAAGAAAGTGAGAGTCTTGCATGGATTAGGCTTTGGCTAAAAGAGATGTTGTGGCTTGTTTGGTCTTCTATACAGACCACAAAAACTTTCTCCATAGAAGCAATAAGTCTGTTTTGCTTTCTTATCATTCATGTGTTCACTGGAGTAGCAATTTTAATTTCTTTCAAGAACTTTACCTTTGCATTCACAACTTTAACTGTTTGGCCCAAGAGGCCTAGCTTTCAGCCTATCTCAATTTTTGATATGCCTTTCTCATTAAGCTTAATCATTTTTAGCTTTTGATATAAAGTGAAAGACATACGACATTTTCTTTTACTTCAGCACTAGAGGCCATTGTAGAGTTATTAATTAGCCTAATTTCAGTATTTTTGTGTCTCAGGAAATAGGGATGCCCAACAAGAAGGTGGCCCAGTGGGTGGAGCAGTCAGAATACATACAACATTTATCAATTAAGTTCATCGTCTTACATGGTTCATAGCACCCCAAAACAATTACAACAGTAACAACTAAGATCACTGATAACAGATCACCATTAACAGACATAATAATAATGAAAAAGTCTGAACTACTGAAAATATTACCAAAATATGACAGAGACACAAAGTGAACACATTCCAACGCTGTTGGAAAAATAGTGCTAACAGATTTGCTCAGTTCTGGGTTACCATAAACCTTCAATTTGAAAAACATGCAGTATCTTCAAAGTACAATAACGTGAAACACAATAGAAGGAGGTACACCTGTAGTTAAATGTATTCTAACACCATATAGAGCTTCAAAACCTTAAAATCTCATTCAACTATTCTTAACAGCAATATTGACATTATTTAGAAATGGTGTGCGTGTACGTATATTAGATAAACAGACAAACAATTATGGGAACATTGTTAGAAATCAAGATTTTCAGTATAAGAGAAGAAATATAAAATCAAAGTTAAGTTATAACTATGTAGTTTTACAGTTGAATTGGAAAAGTCAGTATGAACTCATTATTTATTTTTCTTTATCATCACACACACTTTTTAGGTTCACACTTACTTGAAAAGCCTTAGAGGCAATGACAACCCAGTAACAATGAGCACCCCTACAGCCTAAACTGTGGTCCCTAAATACCATTAAATACGCATCATATATCAGTTAAATAATCATTAAAAAAGGAGCCATGGCTATTTGAGGAATGACCAATTCCAAATAAAAGGTAGGAAAGGTACAAGATGAGCATTTCACAGCTTGTTGGCCAGAAAGCCAGGAAGCACTTGAGACAAATGTTACAGTTTAGTCATAGAAGTCGGCTGGGCTCAGTGGCTACACCTGTAATCCCAGCACTTTGGGAGGCCAAGGCGGGCAGATCACCTGAGGTCAGGAGTTTGAGACCAGCCTGGCCAACAGGGTGAAATCCCATCTCTACTAAAAATACAAAAAATTAGCCAGGCGTGGTGGCACGCACCTGTAGTCCTAGCTACTGGGGAGGCTGAGACACAAGAATTGCTTGAACCTGGGAGGTTCAGTGAGCCAAGATTGCGCCACTGCACTCCAGCCTAGGCGACAGAGTGAGACTCCATCTCAAAAAAAAAAAAAAAATGTCATAGAAGTCACAGGAAGGGTGATCTAGTTAGACTTTGTGTCCCCACTCAAATCTCATCTTGAATTGTAATTCCCACAATTCCCACGTGTCAAGGGAGAGACCAGGTGGAGGTAATTGAATCATGAGGGCAGTTTCCCACATGCTGTTCTCATGATGGTGAGTTCTCACAAAATGGTCTTATAAGGGGCTCTTTCCTCTTTGCTCAGCACTTCTCCTTCCTGCTGCCTTGTGAAGAAAGTGCCTTGCTTCTCCTTTGCACCTTCTGCCATGATTGTAAGTTTCCTGAGGCCTCCCCAGCCATGCTGAGCTGTGAGTCAATTAAACCTCTTTCCTTTATAAATTGTCCAGTCTCAGGCAGTTCTTTATAGCAGTATAAAACGGACTACAAATGGGCTCTAATGGGCAGAAGATGGTTCAATCTACATACCAAAAAAATCCTGCAATTAATTGAAACACAGTGAATATATTTTTAAACTCCTGGCTTGTAGTGTTCACTGTATAATTCTTTCAACGTTTCTGTATGTTTGAAAATTTTCATAATGAAATGCTAAGAGCAGGGATTCTTAACTTTAAAATGATACTAAAAAGGGGAGAAGGGAGAGAGAAAAAGAAAAGGAAGCTAAAACAGAAAAATAATAATTCACTTGTCATCACTGCAGATGACCAGGGCACCAACTCCTTACATTAACAGTAGGCAACTACAGAGCAAAAGGAGGCATTTTACCCCATGTTTTCTAAATATATTATGTCTCAGGGTGACCAAATAGCACTAGTTGAAGAGACAAAGTTCTTCTTTACAGATAACTCAAGCAGACAGTTGTAAAAGGAATGATCAAATTAGAAAACCACCATTTCATGATCCATAGAGAAAAAGTGAATTCAGGCAATGATCATAACGGAAAAAAACCTTTGACGAAAGCTTGATGGGGGAGAATGCAATGGAAGCTGTCACCTGAACTCATGAACTAATCTTAGCATCAATAGGAGTGAGACATCCAGATGATACGTGCCTCCTGAGAGAACGCAAAATAAAATACATGGCGCAGCCTATAGAGTATTCTTCCTAAAAACAGCTGCACCTACATTCAATTAAACCTTTATTAGTAACTTCCAGTTTCCAGGAAACATGAAGAAAAGTGCACAAAGTTAAATGATGCCCTGAGGGAGAAAACAGACTGTGCAGCCAGCAGGATATTCCACATAAAAATTGGCCCAACTTCTTCAACAGGTCAGTGGCATGAAAAGAGGGATGGGGAGGAAGAGGGCTGAAACTGTGAAACTGCCTTTGCAAAAATTATAACTGAGAAATTATGAAAGAGATCTGCTCTAACCAATCCTTATCTTGCCTTTAACCTTCAAACTGCCCTTAGTCATTCCTGGGCTTGGGCCAACCTAACTTTGGAAGACATTTAGGTGATAGTATAAATGATGTATTAGTCTGTTCCCACATTGCTATAAAGAAATACCCGAGACTCACGGTTCTGCAGAAGCATGGCAACTTCTGCTTCTGGGGAGCCTCAGGAAGCTTCCAATCATGCTGGAAGGCAAAGGGGGACATTTCACATGGTGGGAGCAGGAGCAAGAGAGAGGCGGTAGTGCTACATACTTTTTATTTTTATTTTTAATTTTTTGAGACGGAGTCTCGCTCTGTCGCCCAGACTGGAGTGCAGTGGCATGATCTTGGCTCACTGCAACCTCCGCCTCCCGGGTTCACGCCATTCTCCTGCCTCAGCCTCCCGGGTAGATGGGACTACAGGTGCCCACCACCACGCCCAGCTAATTTTTTGCATTTCTAGTAGAGACGGGGTTTCACTGTGTTAGCCAGGATGGTCTTGATCTCCTGACCTCGTGATCGACCCACCTCGGCCTCCCAAAGTGCCAGGCTGGAGTGCAGTGGCATGATCTCGGCTCACTGCAACCTCCGCCTCCCGGGTTCACGCCATTCTCCTGCCTCAGCCTCCCGGGTAGCTGGGACTACAGGTGCCCACCACCACGCCCAGCTAATTTTTTGTATTTTTAGTAGAGACGGGGTTTCACTGTGTTAGCCAGGATGGTCTTGATCTCCTCACCTCGTGATCCACCCGCCTCGGCCTCCCAAAGTGCTGGGATTACAGGTGTGAGCCACCGTGCCCGGCCGGTGCTACATCCTTTTAAACAACGAGATCTCGTAAGAATTCACTCACTATCTATCCTGAGGACAGTATCAAGGGGATGGTGCCAAGCCATTCAAGAGAAATCTACCCCCATGATCCAATCACCTCCCACCAGGCCCCATCTCCAACACTGGACATTACATTTCAATATGAGATTTGGTTAGGAACACAGATCCAAACCATATCAAATGATAATAGCCCTTCCCTAAAACTAAAGCACCCTTGGAAAATGAAAGACCACCAGGTTAGGAGGATGAGGGGAGCCTGAATTCTGCTAAGGTGTAGACTTAAACAATTACCAGCCTTTATTCCTGGAAGTCACAAGATTGGCAACTTCTCCAATTACTCCTGCAGATAACAACACTCTTACAGAACCTAAAATTGGCCTTTTGAGATGTCTGTTCAGATTTTTGCATTTCTGATCACAGATGGCTCCACCCGGACCCACCAACTGGCCCAGTCATCCCCCGCAGAAGTGGGCTCAGCACACACAAAGACCATTTCCCACACTGCTAAGATTGTATCCCCAACCAACGAGCAGCTTCCATTCCCTGGCCCACCACACTATCCTTGAAAAACCCTAGCCTCCGAATTTTCAGGGAGACTGATTTGAGTAACACAACTCCAGTCTTCCGTTCAGACAGCTCTGTACATATTAAACTCTTTATTGCAATTCCCATCTTGAGAAATCGGTTCTAAATGGGCAGTGGGCAAAATGAACACATTGGACAGTCACAGTTTTCTTGACTCAAAGAGACTTTAGAAACACAACCAAATGGGTGTGCAGTTCTAGTTAGCTATGGATTAAAACCCAGATCTATGAAGATTCCTGAAGCAAGCAGGAAGCCTAAGAATGGACTGAGTCCAGGGACAACAAGGAATCAAAGTTAACTTTATCGGTTTAGTGAGGGCATTACAGTGATAAGACTGGCCATATTTTTCAGAGATGTTTCCTAAAATACGTAGGAGAGAAATATTATAATTTCTAGAATTTGCTTTAAAATGCTTTGGGGTAGGGGAAGGGCTTAGAGAGGAAGAAATAACTCAAGAAGGGCAAAACTTCAGTCCTCACGCATGTACACAATGAGGTTTCTGCAGGTTTCCTTACACTCTCCTCCCTATTTTGGGACATCTTTGAAAATCTTCATAACAAAAAAAAAAAAGGAAAGAAAAGAAAAACCTTTCTTAGCAAAAAAAAAAAAAAAAAAAAAGGAACAAATATGGATAACTAACTCCTACCTATGAGGAAAATATAATCAGAAGTGAAAATGTGGGGCAAGAAAACGGGCAGAAGTGGTTACTCCCTGAATTTCCTTATTATTTTTTTGATCAGGATCACTACCAGCCCCAGGCAATTCAGATATACAAGGCTCTAGCATATGTCACAGAAGTCAGTGAAAGGCAACCCTGAAGTGGGCCCCCGGGGACCTCATGGAATGGGAGAGACCAGAGTAGGCAGGCAACACACCCACTGGGGTCAGACCAGCAAAACTGGCCAAGAAGGAGAGCTCCAGGCAGCACAAAGTCATGGTGCCTCCGTGCTCATTCCCAATGTTATTTTTTTATCATTAAGGAATCATTTAATAAAAAGTCATTTGCCAGTCATCTCCTTTTGAAACCCACAGCCCCAGTCAATGTCTCTTCATCTACTAAAAATGAAAGGGATTAAACTAGACGCCTGCTAAGGTCCTCTCCAGACGGTTTCCTTGTTAATCAAGTCCTGCTCTACGCAGAAGTTACCAACTGGTTCTGTAACCTATAAGACACTAGAGAAAAGTCTGATTCCAGGCTTAAAAATTGGTTTTTTGTTTTGGAGGGTTTTATTCATGTATTTATTTAAAGACACGGTTTCATCTGTCACTCAGGCGGAGTGCCATCATAGCTCACCGCAGCCTTGAACTCCCAGGCTCGAGCAATCCTCCCGCCTTAGCCTCTTGAGTAGTTAGGACTACAGGTGCGCTCCACCACGCCCGGCTAATTTTTTTTTTTTTCTGTAGAAACAGGGTCTTGCTATGCCACCCAAGTTGGTCTGAAACTCTTGGCCTCAAGTGACCCTTCCACCTCAGCCTCTCAAAGTGCTGGAATTAAAGGCGTTTGAGTCACTGGGTCCAGTCTGGTTTTTTTTTTTTTTTTTTTTTTTGAGACGGAGTCTTGCTCTGTCGCCCAGGCTGGAGTGCAGTGGTGCGATCTCGGCTCACTACAAGCTCCGCCTCCCGGGTTCACGCCATTCTCCTGCCTCAGCCTCCAGAGTAGCTGGGACTACAGGCGCCCGCCACCACGCCTGGCTAATTTTTTTGTATTTTTAGTAGAGACGGGGTTTCACTGTGTTAGCTAGGACGGTCTCGATCTCCTGACCTCATGATCCGCCTGCTTAGGCCTCCCAAAGTGCTGGGATTACAGGTGTGAGCCACCGCGCCCAGCCCCAACCAGGTCCAGTCTTAGGAATAGTTGTTAACATCACTTTTGATATCAGCATTTACTAGATCTACAAGTTAGACTCAGTATGTCCCTGCTTTTCAAATAACTATAAACAACAACCCTAAGGGAAGAATGCCTTGGATGAGTGTAATTATTTGAGCGTAAGCAAAATGACTTTATTTAAAACAGTAAGAGCCTGGTGACAGTAACTCCATAATAGAAAAGAAACGTGAACCGCAGCACCCCGAGCGTGACCGAAAACAAGTGTAACAACTCGCATCGCCTGACCTCAGCGTGGGGACCCAGAGAAAAGCACTGTCTTCCCTCCCACTGGGTTGCTTCCCAGACTTTCCTTGAAGCACCCAGGGTGTTCTGTTCTTGAAAAAAAGATGGGGTTGGCACTTCCTTCGCTACCCTGGTACAAAGTTCACAGAGATGCTAATCTGATCCACCCTGGAACATTTCCTCCCTCAATAAAATTCTCTCTCCAAAGACAAAGCAAACAGTGATGCAGACTGCAAGAAAACCAAGATGCCACCCATGGTCAAGGGCAGGGACAAGAGAATGTGCGTCAGAAAGAACGCTCTGAAAGAACATTCTGTCAGGGATAGCACCTGACACACCCGCAGTGTTACCGATGCCTGAAGCAGCCCTGGCAAGTCCCTGAGCTCCCTGTGGCTTGCTCCTTGCCTCTCCAGAGCCAAAGCATCACACTTCCCAATATAATATTGAGAGGAACAAATAAAGAAAGTATGGGAAAGGGAAGGATTGTTTAAACTGGAAAGCCCAACTCTTGTACTCTCAATTTTTTTTTTTTTGGAGACAGGGTCTTGCTCTGTTGCCCAGGCTGGAGTACAGTAGCACGATCCCAGTTCACTGCAGTCTCAACTTTCCAGGCCCCGTCCCACCTCAGCCTCCTGAGCAGCTGGCACCACAGGAGCACTACCAGGCCCAGCTAATTTTTAAAATTTTGTTGTAGAGATGGGGTCTCACTGTGTTGCCCAGGCTGGTCTTGAATTCCCAGCCTGAAGCAACCCTCCCACCTCAGCCTCCCAAAGTACTGGGATTATGGGAGCAAGCCACTGTGTCCAGCTATTCTCAATTTTTTAAAACATATGCCACATTTTGATTTATGAAAATATCACAAACTTCTTTAACGATCTTTAACATTTCAAAAGGATGTTTTTTCCATTTTCCAAATCTAAACTATTAAGTAAGCTTTTTCAAACTACACACATACTCCCTCCCAAGATGTGGCAGTGCCCCTGCCCACCAGGTAAGCTCCTGCTCTGCTGGCACCCCTGCACCCCACAATGCCCAGGTAAGGTGGTCTCCTGACCCTCCCCTGCTACAACGTGGCACTTTCCTTTCTTTCTGTTTTCCTGCTCCCCATTTCACTCAAGACCATGGGACAGACCTTACTGGCTACATAAAAACCTTGCACTTAAGCTACCATAAACAGAGCCAACAAACTACTGGAGCAGCCCAGAGTCCAAACTTGGATCTGCAAAGCAGTGAGTGTTATTAAAAAGACATCTGTACAAAGGTTTGACAAGTTTTTCATGAAAGGCAACCCTGAAGTGGGCCCCCTGGGACCCTCCCCATGCTCTCGGGAGGACCCCCACCCTGGCTGCCTCAAAGTAAGGCAATCAGGAAGTCCTCTTCCAGTAACCAGAGGAGACAGTCCACCTCATGCCTCAGTTAATCTACAGGAAAAGGAGTCCAATTATTGCATAATCAATTCAATTCTTAGAATGATCTAGGCAGATAATTCAAAGTCCTGCAGTTCTTGCCTGTATTTTCTTTCTGCTTCCTGAAAACTGGGCAAGAACAATGCACTCAATGCACAGGGCCATGATAAAAAATAAAATGTGTACCCAGGTGTGGTGGCTCATGCCTGCAATCCCAGCACTTTGGGAGGCTGGGGCAGGTGGATCATTTGAGGTCAGAAGTTCAAGACCAGCCTGACCAACATGATGAAACTCTGTCTCTACTAAAAATACAAAAATTAGCCAGGCGTGGTGGCAGGCACCGGTAATCCCAGCTACTCAGGAGGCTGAGGCAAGAGAATCACTCGAGCCTGGGAGGCGGAGGTTGCCGTGAACCAGTATCACACCATTGCACTCTAGCCTGGGCAACAGAGTGAGACTCCGTCTCAAAAAACGAAAAAGAATAAAATATATGTGTGAATAATGCAGTTGGTAACCTTGGGAATTACCTACCAAAAAGAACATGAGACATCGACATCTCACATAGGAACATGATAGGTAACTCTCAGCCTACAACAGCCTGGACTTTCCAAGCACAGGACAGAGTCATGACTAAGACCATCAGATACGTAGAAATGGCAATGAAGTCTCCTTGTTCATCCAGAGACCCAGAGGGCTCTGCACGAGATAGGCATCAATGCAGCCAAAAACCGGCCCTCCTGCAGGCTGGGCACCCTGGCCCTCCCAGCATTCCTGCTCCCCATGACCTGACTAGGAATTAGCTCCTAGGATTTTGCTCTCCTGGTTCCACACACCACGTCCTTGTTTCGACTTATGCCCAATCATTCAGAGATATGATTTCAAACAGAAAGCCGACTTACAATGGAATATCATTCAGCTGTAAAAACGACGGACTTTCTGACACCCACTGCAACATGCGGGACACTTGAAGATAGGATGCTGACTGTAATAAGTGGTCACCAAAAGACCAACACTGCTCGAGCCCACTAACACGAGGTGCCCGAGTAGGCAAATTCCTAGAGACAGAACCTGGATCCCATCTGGGTTGCCTGGGACTTGGGGAGAGGAGAGTGAGGAGTGAGTCTTTAACAGGTAGAGTTTCAGTTTGGGAAGATGAAAAAAGTTCTGGAGATGGATGGTGGTGATGGTTGTACCATTCTGCGAATGTACTTCATGCCACCAACCTGTACACTTAAAAATGGTTAAGACAGTCAATTTTATGTTATATATATTTTACAACAATACAAACATTTGTTTTTTAAAGAAATTAAGAAACATCCCTGTTTTTCAAGTTCTTCCGTTGCACGTTGGTGGTGAGCAGGTCCATGCCTTGCCTGGAATATCCCTGGCCTGGCTCGGCAGAAAGCGCCCAAGGAGTTTCATCTGTAACTGCATGCCTTACCTTCACTCTCTTTATATGAGGAAGTCTTAACTGCTGAGACTCCCCTCCTTCTCTCCCATACTTCCCCACTTATTCACCCACTCATGGTTTACTGAGCATTGATGACACGTCAAGCTCTGTCCTAGGCATCAGAAGGTCACAAGTATGACTCTCAGAGAAATTTTACTTCCATGAAGTAAAAGGCAGACAAAAATCAAGTCAAAGGAGAGTTGGTGACAAGTGAGTGCCAGGATGGAGGACGCAGGTGACAGGGAGTCAGGGAGGTGACATCTCAGCTCTCATCCAAATCACACCACCCACAACCTCCCAAACAACTCACAACCACTCTCTCCTAGGATGTCTCCACCCACTGAAGCTGGTAATCTTTATAAAGCCTTGGGATTCTCTGGTCCATGTTAAGTTAAAAATAATAGGAATTCATTTCTCCTTCCAAACACAGTCAGCCATAGGTATCTTCTGCCAAATAATAATGTAGTTCACCCATGAAGTTATCTACCTATCTCTACTTAGAAAAAAAGGAAAAAAACTTAACCTCAAAGGCCCTCCTATGTCTCCCCATCCTGCTGTGCAAGCAGCCAAACTCAAGTGAAGATATAAATCATTCGTGCAGGCCATTCTTCCTGTTCCCACCTTGTCCTGGGGCTGCCCAGGCCCTTCCTACACTTCTTGTTTGGGCTTTATCTGAGACTTGAAACCCTGGGCAGGGGCCTTTGCTCAATGCTCAAGACACAATAAAATATTAACTACGGTGAGTCAATAACACAGTGCAAGATGCCCAAGGCACTCCCAGAAGAGGCCTAAGGATCTAAATTGATACCCTGGGTCCATGACAGAAATACACTCAACAATTCTCTCTTCCTTAACCCAAGAAAAGTGCACTGAAAGAACAAATTCTTACTCAAGGGATGTTCTGTGGGCAAGAAGGCAGCAGAAAGTGATGCATCTACAGACCTGGCCCGGGTCAGGCCTGAGGCAGAAATTGCGCCCAGTGGGAACTAAAGGAAGCTGATCTCGGCTCAACAGAAAGAGGGTCTAGGAGTTAACCTGCTCAGGACTCCTGCACTGCTGGAAGGGGAGGACCCAGGGAAGCTGGCACAAACGTCATGGCAGGCAATTTGGCAATAAACACAAAATGCATTAGGAACACACATCCCACCGGGTGCAGTGGCTCATGCCTGTAATCCCAGCACTTTGGGAGGCAAAGGTGGGAGGATCACCTGAGGTCAGAAGTTCAAGGCCAGCCTGGCCAACATGGCGAAAACCCGTCTCCACTAAAAATCAAAAAATTTGCCAGGCACAGTGGTGCGTGCACGTGTAATCCCAGCTATTCAGGAGGCTGAGGCAGGAGAACTGCTTGAACCCGGGAGGTGGAGGTTGCAGTAAGCCGAGATCGCATGACCGCACCCTAGCCTGGGCAACAAAGTGAGACTCTGTCTCAAAAAAAAGAAACACACATCCCTTCCATGCAGCCGTTCCTCAGGATGTGCTCTGCAAGGGTGCTTTTCTCTCGGGCCTCCCTAGCCCTCTGCCCACCTGCACCTGTTATTCATGTTGCTATCTGCCTTCCCCCAGGTCCTGAAAAGCTAGGTGCAGGGAGACTGCCCCTCACACACACAGCGCAGAATCTCCGACATCAAGCATGTGTCTGGTACGTGGCAGGCAACAAACATTTCAAATAAATGGACTTAAGGGATTGTGAAGTGTCCTGAAAAGTTGACATGAATGGGTATTCACTATTTTTTTTTTTTTTTTTGAGACAGAGTCTCGCTCAGTCACCCAGGCTGGAGTCCAGTGGCTCGATCTCCGCTCACTGCAAGCTCCGCCTCCTGGGTTCACGCCATTCTCCTGCCTCAGCCACCTGAGCAGCTGGGACTACAGGCACCTGCCACCAGGCCCAGCTAATTTTTTTGTTTTTTTTTAGTAGAGTCGGGGTTTCACCGTGTTAGCCAGGATGGTCGCGATCTCCTGACCTCGTGATCTGCCCACCTCAGCCTCCCAAAGTGCTGGGATTACAGGTGTGAGCCACCGCGCCCAGCCAGGGTATTCACTATTAAACTATAACAGTTTAAATGCTTTTAAACTATTAAAAAATCCAGGCCAATTAAGTATCCAATAAAGGATTGGATGAGTAAATTGAGCTACAGCCACAGAGTTGAATGCTGTGTGGCCATTAAGAACATGGTATGGCTGTGGTTACAAAGGGCATGGATTCAGGAACAGAACAGAAATGTGGGCAACTCCCCACCCTGACAACTCCCCAGAAGCCAACCTAGGGGGGAGAAAAAAAATACTCATATCAAAAGCTCCAAATCTGCAAGAAATGTGAAAAAGAGGATCCTACTCTCTCACCCACCACATCTCGTCTAGCGAGATGCCAGTCCTCCTTGCCCTGTTCCCATAACACGAGTTAAAGTCACACTACGTTAGCGCCAATATAACGTCCGGGATAACGATGCCCAAGCATGAGCAAGACAAGGAGAAACAGCACTGCAAACAAGCAAACACTCGACTGCTAAAGAAAATGAATGGATGAGAACGCAAGGTTCCAAAGAAGAGATTCTGTGCTAGAAGAGAATGGAACACTCAAGGAAGAAAAGAAAATTCTCACGAATGCTTCATGCTCCCTAACAACTGAAGAACACGGGTTCAATAAAACAAGCACTCACAGATGAGCTAATGGGTAACAGATTAAAAGGATGTTGGAAATCTAACAAAATGAATTGAGGATCAAAACAACTTGACAACAGGCCGGGCGCGGCGGCTCACGCCTGTAACCTCAGCACTTTGGGAGGCTGAGGCGGGTGGATCACGAGGTCAGGAGATTGAGACCATCCTGGCTAACAGGGTGAAACCTCGTCTCTACTAAAAATACAAAAAAATTAGCTGGGCGTGGTGGCGGGTGCCTGTAGTCCCAGCTACTTGGGAGGCTGAGGCAGGAGAATGGCATGAACCTGGGAGGCAGAGGTTTCAGTGAGCTGGGATTGTACCACTGCACTCTAGCCTGTGCAACAGAGCGAGACTCTGTCTCAAAAAAAAAAAAAAAACTTGACAACAAAATTAGTAGATAAGTTAAAAGCAGCAAGGTATAGAATATACTGCTGCAAACCAAATTATTAACTCAAAAGAGTTATGAGCTGAATGGAGAACACAGATGAAAAAGATAACAAAAAACAGAAATGAAAAGCAGATAACAGCTATCCAACATAAAGTATCCTTGAAGTGGAAAAGTTAAATGAAATGTAAAATGCATCAAAAAATATAATACATACACAGAATGATGCAAGAAAATTTCCTAAAGTGATTAAAGAAACCAATCTGCAGACTGCAACAGTATACTATGTTCCAAAACATGTAACACACTATGCTCACAGTAGTTACAGATGCTAATCAAGTTACTAAACTTCAATGATAAAGACAGAGTTGTGTGCACAAAAAAAACTCATCATATGCAAAGCAAAAAAAAAAAACAATCGGTGCTGCCTGAGATTTCTCCTATTGGCCTATCAAATACAGGAAGGCCCTAGAACAACAGCCACCAACCTCTAGACAAGGATGTCCAATCTTTTGGCTTCCCTAGGCCACATTGGAAGAAGAAGAGTTATTTTGGGCCACACATAAAATACACTAACATTAACAATAGCTGATAAGCTTAAAAAAATCGCAAAAAAATTTCTTTTTTTCTTTTTTCTTGACATGGAGTCTGACTCTGTTGTCCAGGCTGGAGTGTAATGGCATGATCTCGGCTCACTACAACCTCCCTCCTGGGCTCAAGCGATTCTCCTGCCTCAGCTTCCTGAGTAGCTGAGATTACAGGCACCCACAACCACCCCTGGCTAATTTCTGTACTTTTAGTAGAGATGGGGTTTCCCCATGTTGGCCAAGTTGGTCTTGAACTCCTGACCTCAGGTGATCCGCCCGCCTCAGCCTCCCAAAGTGCTGGGATTACAGGAGTGAGCCACCGCGCCCGGCTGAATTTCATCATGTTTTAAGAAAGTTTACTAATTTGTATTGGGCTGCATTCAAAGCCCTCCTGGGCCGCACGCAACCAGCAGGCCACAGGTTGGACAAGCTTGCTCTAGAGCATAGCCTCAAACTATCACCCAGCCAAAGTGTCACTCAAGTCCAGAAACAAGGGCAAACACTGGCAAATGGGAAAAAACATTCAGAAAATAGGACACTGACATTATGGAGGGAAAAAAACAGGAGTCCAGCCAAATAAGAGATAAAATACTCTGGATTGGGGCCGGATGCAGTGGCTCACACCTGTAATCCCAGCACTCTGGGAGGCCAAGGCAGGCAGATCACCTGAGGTCAGGAGTTTCAGACCAGCCTGACCAATAGGTAAAAAAAAAACCCTGTCTCTACTAAAAATACAAAATATTAGCCGAGCGTGGTGGCGCATGCTTGCAATCCCAGCTACTTGGGAGGCTGAGGCAGGAGAATCACTTGAACCCAAGAGGTGGAGGTTGCAGTGAGCTGAGATTACAGCATTGCACTCCAGCCTGGGCAACAAAAGCAAGACTCTGTCTCAAAAAAAAAAAAAAAAAAATTCCAGATTGGGAAATCTATACCTGAGTAAAAGCATTAAATCAATGTATAAGTGAGAACTGAGCTAAACAATAAAGTAAGGTTACATGACAGAATGGAAAGTACAATGTAAAACTAATAATAAAACTTTTTTAAATGAGAGATTGGGAAAGCAGGGAGGAGAATAAGAATGCTGGCACCCTTGACTCAGAGGGTGGAGAGCCAGTGAACACTATCAGACTTCAAACATTGTTTTTCAAAAGCCACAATTCTAACCTTTTAATGCTTTCAAAAATCTCTTCCCTTAACCTTACTTGAACCTTTTAGAAAATAATCTCTCTTGTACTAAAGAAACATTTATTTGAAGTTTAACATTTCTTTGGTTTCATTTCAGTTTATTTCCTTTTATTGAAATCAAGCAAGTGTAATACTTTTGTTATAAAACCACTGACACACAAGTTGCATTTTTATGAAAGTCCTTCTGTCCATCTTCTCAACTATCCCTGTGTGTCTAAATGTCTTAGAAAGTTATCTGGGCTGATGCTCACCTCATGAAACTAGAGGTTACTTTGGGTGGCTGGGATTTGGGGAGATAGATACCTTCTTTGTATTTTTCAGTTAGCTGATTCATTTGACACACACTCTCTCTCTCTTTTCTTTTTTTTTTCCTTTGAGACGGAATCTCACTCTGTCGCCCAGGCTGGAGTGCAGTGGCATAATCTCGGCTCACTACAACCTCCTCCTCACCGCAATTCTCCTGCCTCAGCCTCCCGAGTAGCTGGGATTATAGGCACCCACCAACATGCCCAGCTAATTTTTGTATTTTTAGTAGAGACGGGGTTTCACCATCTTGGCCAGGCTGGTCTTGAACTCCTGACCTCGTGATCCACCCGCCTGGGCCTCTCAAAGTGTTGGGATTACAGGCGTGAGCCACCACACCCAGCCTCTCTTTTTTAAGAAATGGGCTCTCCCTCTATCACTCAGGCTGGAGGGCAGTGGCACCATCATACCTCACTGCAGCCTCGAACTCGGGTTCAAGTGATCCTCAGCCTTCCTAGTAATTGAGACTACAGGTACACACCACCACGCCCAGCTAATTTTTAAATTTTTTGCAGAGATGCGTGTCTCACTTTGTCACCCAGGCTGGCCTTGAACTCCTGGCTTCCAGTGATCCTCCCTCCTCAGCCTCCCAAAGTGCTGTGATTACAGGCATGAGCCACCATTCCCAGCCTGATTTCTTTCTACCGAGCATGCATCATCTTTGTCATTTTATGCAAATACAGAATGATCTGTCTTAATTAAAAAACAAAACAAACTGAAAAAAAAATGCCAAGATGTTAACAGTGATTAGTATTGGATCCATGGGATATGAATGTGAATTCTCTTCACACTTCTTGTATTTTCGAGGAAAAAGAATTCCAATGTTGGCCAGGCGTGGTGGCTCATGCCTGTAATCCCAGCAACTCTGGAAGGCCAAGGCAGGCTGATCACTGAAGGCCAGGAGTTCAAGACCACCACCCTGGCCAACATAGTGAGACTCCATCTCAATAAAATAAAATTTAATTTTTTTTTATTTAAATCTTGCTAGAGAACATGTAGAGGTGATTTTGAAAGTTTAAGTTAACTAATAAGGTGCTATGAGAAGATAGAAAACTAAAAAACCACCACGTATATATGCAGAAAGAAGATTAGCTGTGGATAAAGGGTTGCAGGTGATTATTTTTTCCTTCTTTCTTATCCACTTTTTCATTTCTGGAAGACGAGCATTTATTACTCGTGTTTAAAAAAAAAAAAGATGTTTTGGTTTTGTTTTTTAATAAAAGGGTCTTCTCAAGAAGTGGTGACTCCTGGCCCAAGAGGAACCTGAGTGGTTAGACAGAGCACCAGGTAATGCCTGTGATAGGAACAGAAACCCCAGAAGGAGAAGATGAGCAGGTGGTTTCCACCTTCTCTTAGCCCCCAGCTGTCCAGTGACTCATTCTCTCAGTGCAAAGGTGGAACATGGGGTCAAGACTGCCCTAGGTCAGACACAGCTCTCAGAATCTGCCCACATGATCACAATAGGAGAAGACTGCCCTGAGTCAGACACAGCCCTCAGAAACTGCCCACACCATTATGTGTATGCATCCAGGAGCACATTGGTAAGTCAGAAACAAGATTAAGAAGAAAATGGCTCGATTCGTTATCGACAATATACGAGCACCATGAAACACACCAATGAAAGCCTGGCATGCCCAAGCTATGCTGCCCAAGATTACAGCCTTTATGTGCTTTCGATGGTTTTTAAAAAAAAAAAAAAAAAAGATGGGAGGGGAAAGCAAGGGTTGAGAGGGAGGGGCAGAAAGGAGAGGAGAGGAGAAGAAGGGGAGAGGAAGGAAGAGGAGGGCAGGGGAGAGGAGGGAAGGAGAGGGAAGGGGAAGGAAGGGGAGTGGAGGGGAGGGGAGTTAAGTTCCTGAAAGCAGATGAGGGAGTTATCCAAAGGGGTTACCTTCAAGCTTCACCAACATGCAGATACTCAGCATGCTTACACCTTAAGGTTTGGAACATTCCAACTGGAACAAAACTCACCAGTGGCTATGGCCCAGTAAACGTCTGATCCATTCAGTAACTCACCACATGCTATGGGAGAATAAACCTGGGAGCCGGGAACTTGAAGCAGAATTCGAAATGGAGCGACCCGTGCATTGGAATCCAACACTGCATCCAGAGCGCCGACCAGGCGACCTTCAAAAGAAAAGAGAAGAAAGTGCACCTGTGAGCATGGGGCTGGCCAGCTCCTCATGCGTGTGAGGCATGTGGTCGCTGTCTGGACTCCATGCTGGGGTAGCAGAGACAGTTTTACATCCAGTTCTTCAACTCACCTCACAAAGCCTGAGCTCCATGGAGCCAAGGGCTCTGTCTGCATCCGCAGCAGGACCTGCCCCTGACAGGCACTCAGTACTCATTTGCTCAATCAATGAAGAGGTGAACAAAGGGTGCTGAACCAGTCGCCCAGCCTAGCTAAGGCACTAAGTCCCAGTACATAAATAAGCAGGGGCTCTGGACTCAAGACTGCCTGATGCAAACCCTGGCTCCACCACTTTCAATCTGTGGGGCCTTAGGCAAATCACTTAACTTGTCTGTGCCCTGGATTCCTTGTTGGTGAAATAAAATAAGCACAGTCTACCTACTTCATAGGGTAATTGGGATAATTAAATGAGTTAAAGTATCCAATATTCAAAGTGCTTAAACTATTGCAAGCCCATAAAAAGTACTCTATGTCACCCATTATTATTATTTTGTCATCATTATCCTCCTCTCCAATATGGTAGAATAATCCCTGCCTGCTCCAGGGTACTGTGAGATGTAAATAAGAAAACCGGCCAGGAGTGGTGGCTCATGCCTGTAATCCCAGCACTTTGGGAGGCCAAGGCGGGAGGATCACTTGAGGTCAGGAGTTCGAGACCAGCCTGGCCAACATGGTGAAACCCCATCTCTACTAAAATTACAAAAAAATTAGCTGGGCGTGGTGGCAGGCACCTGTAATCCCAGCTACTCGGGAGGCCGAGGCAAGAGAATCGCTTGATCCCAGCAGGTGGAGGTTGCAGCAAGCTGAGATCGCACCATTGCACTCCAGCCTGGGCAACAAGAGCGAAACTCCATCTCAAAAAAAGAAAAAGAAAAGAAAACCTATCAAAGTCTTTTACAGACCATAAAGCACGAAATGTGAGTGCAGGATTAGCATTTTCCTGTAATGAGTGGCATCAGAAATCAATGGCAGGCAAAACAACAACAACAACAAAACAAACAAAAAAGGCATCCCAAGCTGGGTGCGGTGGCTCATGCCTGTAATCCCAGCACTTTGAGAGTCCAAGGCAGATGATCGCTTCAGCCTAGGAGTTTGAGACCAGGCTGGGCAATACAGTGAGATCTCATCTCTACAGAAAATTAAAGAATTAGCTGGGCATGGTGGCAAGTGCCTGTATTCCCAGCTACTCAGGAGGCTGAGGCGGGAGGATGGCTTCAGTTTAGGAGTTCGAGGCTGCAGTGAGTAGTGATGATGCCACTGTGCCCTACCCTGGGAGACAGAGCAGGACCTCAGTTTCAAAAAAAAAGGCATCCTGATCCTTGATTGCCTGGGAATCTAGATGGCTAAGATGGCTGAGAAGATTAGGTCTTCAATTTACTTCACATATTACCCTTAACTAATAGGCCCTGAATAAGGGCCACAGCTGCCTGAGCAATTACTATGTCTATTTTTATACAGTTTAACCACCTCAAGTGTAAAGAAAAACTGAATCACTGGGGGCAAGTTACTTACATAACACCCCGTCATATATTTAGTACAAACACAGTATCCTCCTATATAACCACAGTACAACCATCAAATTCAGAACATTAATATTGATATGGCCCTGCCATCTAATCATAAGACCCATTCAAATATTGCCAAATGTCCCAATAATGTCCTTTTGCTACAATGGATCCAGTTCAGAATCACATTCAGTTGTCAAGTCTCTTTGGACTACGTGGGTCTGGAGAAGTCTTTCACTGACTTTCATGACCTTGACACTTTTGAAGCTTTATAGGCCAGTTTTTCTTGTAGCATGTCCCAAAGTCTGGGTTTGTCTGAGGCCTGGTCATGATTAGATTCAGGTTATATATTTTCGGCAAGAATCACAGAAGTGATGCTGTGTTCTTTTCACCACATCCTATCAGGTGGCAGATGACCTCTACTTGTCCCATTCTTGGTAACGTTCGCTTTCATCACTTGACTCAAATTGGGGCTGCCAGGCTCCTGCACTATAAAATTATTCCTTTTTCTTTGAAATTAACGAGTATTCTGTGGAGAAGTATTCTGAAGCCATGCAAATTTCCTGTTCCTCACCAAATATTTCATTATTCTCTTACTTATATCAGTATGGCCTCATGTTTTTCTCCTTTTTTCAAAGGGTTATAATCTATTACTATCATATATTTTGATGCTCTGATTGTCCCAGGTTTGGCCAGTGGGAACCCCTTCAAGCAGGCTTTTGTGTCCTTCGGATGTGTCCTCATCGTTCTTCATATTTTCTGGGACAACAAAATATTCCAACTTCATCTTGTACTTTCACTACTCTGGCCCTGGAACCAGCCACCATTTCTTCAAGAAACTCTGGTTTCTTTAGTGACTAATGGTATTTAAAAGCCAGTACGGGGAAGCCAGGTGTGCTCATTGCTAATGGGGTGCCTCCAGGTCCCCTCAGTGTACAGAGCCAGGAAATATATGTCTGTACATGTGTATGTGTGTACAGCTGACCCTTGAACAACACGGGTTTGAACTGTATGGGTCCACCAACACGTGGAGTCTCTTCTGCCTCTGCACCCTGAGACAGCAAGGCCAACCCCTCCTCCTCTTCAGACTACTCAACATGAAGATGATGATGAGGATGAAGACCTTTACGATGATCCCTTCCACTTAATGAATAGTAAATATATTTTCTCTTCATTATAATTTTCTTAACCTTTTCTCTACTTTCTTTATTGTAAGAACACAGTATATAATACACATAGCACACAAAAATGTGTTAACCAACTGTTTTATCAGTAAGGCTTCTAGTTAACAGTAGGTTATTAGTAGTTACATTTTTAGGGATCAAAAGTTATATGTGAGGACTTTTGACTGCACGGGGGTTGGCAACCCTAGCCCCAGCACTGTTCCAAGGCCAACTGCATACGCATTTACATACTTACATACATACTTACATACACACACACATATACATGTATTTGTTGACACATTTACATGTATTTGCATTTTCATATATATCTACATAGAGAAAAGCGAGTTCACACCAAAACCTCCAACTGCAATCCAATACCACAGAGTTCTCATTTCTTTCCATATTTGTAACTCCTTTTCCAACACCAAGTAAACTGGCTTCCATTATTCTCAAAAAAAAAATTTTAACCAGGTGTGGTGGTACACGCCTGTAATCCTAGCTACTCAGGAGGCTGAGGCAGGAGAATCACTTGAACCCAGGTGGCAGAGGTTGCAGTGAGCCAAGATCACACCACTGCACTTCAGCCTGGGCAACAGAGCAAGACTCCATCTCAGGGAAAAAAAAAGAGATGGAGGGTCACTCTATCGCCCAGGTTGGAGTGCGGTGGCACAATTTTGGCTCACTGCAACCTCCGCCTCCCAGGTTCAAGCGATCCTCCTGCCTCAGCAACCCAAGTAGCCGAGATTACAGGCACCTGCCACCACGCCTAGCTAATTTTTGTATTTTAGTACACCATGTCAGTCACGCTGGTCTTGAACTCTTGACCTCAGGCAATTCACCTATGTGGCCTCCCAAAGTGCTGGGATTACAGGCGTGAGCCACCATGCCTGGCTGATTCTCAAAATACTTACTTATCTGATCAGTCCTCCTGTTGCTACCAATATCCCCTCCCCAGCAGAGGCCCTCTTCACCCCATCCAGGCTATAACACACCCCACCCCTGCAATCTCCTTAATCTGCCCACTTAATAACCCTCAGAAAAGAAGGAAGAGCACTGAGCTTTTCTAGCAAATACTCCTTAGGCTGCTCAGAATTCCTGCCCCCTTCCTAGTTTGCTCCTAAGTTCCAGATGACAAAGGAGGCTGGAAACCTGTCTACTGGATAAAGGGGCTGCCACTTTAATACAGAATCTTAGCCATACCTCAGGGGAGCTCAGTGATTAGGAACATCAGGTTGGGGACAGGGTTAAAGCTGCAGTTGCAGGGGATTGATAAAACAACCTTTGCCTGTCAAGGACTGGGACAGCAGGTGGTGATAAGGAAGCTGATGAAGATCAGAAAGGGGCTAAAGACCCCACTCATCCCACACCCCCACATGCTTGGCACTTTCAACTACATTAAGAGATCTGCTGTAGAACTCATATCTAGTTTGATAAAAACCGGAGGGACTTTGGACAACATCAAATGAAAGCAGCAGGGAGGGTGTGCAGCCACAATATGGAAGTAGTGACTTTTTAACTGGAAAGAGTGGAAATTTTTCTCTACAAGACTCAGGTGCTTTTGCAAAGGTCAGGACATTTTATGTCAAGACCAACCCAGCCCCTTCAACTGGTGGGAAAGTGGACAGAGCAGCCATCAGAAAGCCACAGGGGTGCTTCCGGTTTCAGCTCCAACATGCAAAGAGCTTGGAAGTTATCACTCCCATATATATGACAAAGACAAGGTGAACAAATTGAAAAGCCATGATTTTTCTCAGACTATTCAGAGAACGAAGGGCATAGGTTAAACCACAACCTCGAAATGTAGAGAGAGATGGAAGAATCCAGAGACAGCCAAGATCAGCTTCCCTGGAGCAGTTTATAGCTTCTGCTGGAGCCATAAATCGTAGGAATATTTAAATGGTGATTTTTGGCAACTTGCTGGAGGCTGAGTGTGTAAGAAGAGTAAGAAACTCTTGAAAGCCACAGTCTCTAGGGTACCCCACAACTTGCATAGGTTTTAACACCAGGAACCCCGCCAGGTTCTCACCGTGAAGAGCCAGGGAAGATCCTCTTTGGCCCTTTCAGGGCAAAGGGAAAAGTAATCATTGTTCAATATCCTCAGGCCGTTCTCCATTAATAAAGGCCAACGCACCAGAGAAGTATTTTCTTTATTATTATTATTATTATACTTTAAGTTTTAGGGTACATGTGCACAATGTGCAGGTTTGTTACATATGTATACATGTGCCATGTTGGTGTGCTGCACCCATTAACTCGTCATTTAGCATTAGGTATATCTCCTAATGCTATCTCCCCCCCCCTCCCCCCACCCCACAACAGTCCCCGGTGTGTGATGTTCTCCTTCCTGTGTCCATGTGTTCTCATTGTTCAATTCCCACCTATGAGTGAAAACATGCGGTGTTTGGTTTTTTGTCCTTGCGATAGTTTGCTGAGAATGATGGTTTCCAGTTTCATCCATGTCCCTACAAAGGACATGAACTCATCATTTTTTATGGCTGCATGGTATTCCATGGTGTATATGTGCCACATTTTCTTAATCCAGTCTATCATTGTTGGACATTGGGGTTGTGGAAGTCAGTGTGGTGATTCCTCAGGGATCTAGAACTAGAAATACCATTTGACCCAGCCAGAGAAGTATTTTCTAGAGCCTTTTCCACCCTCCCTGGCCCATGCAAAAAGGGCATTTCTCATTAACTAGAGAAAGTCTTCTCTAGTCAGTAAGAAAGCTAACTCCATCTAGCTTTCTTGTCTCATTAGGGATGTAAGGGTAGGAGGAACAGAAATCACTTGTGAAGGTCACACCGAGGGACACAGGCCCATGGAAGACTGAGATTTATGCTACTATTATAGAACTCTTCCCCTCCCCCATACCTGACCACCACACCAACAGGCTCCAGTATAATGACAGTAACGACAGCTGGAAGTATGGCAAGACTCAGACTCTATTTGAGAAAGAGTTCTTTTTTTGTTGTTTTAAATTTTTTTATGTTTTTAGTTTTCTGTAGAGATGGGGATCTCTCTATGTTGCCCAGGCTAGTCTCGAACTCCTAGGCTCAGACAATTCTCCCACCTTGACATCTCATAGTGCTGAGATCACAGGCGTGAGCCACAGTGCTCAGCCAAGGAGTTCTTAAAGAAGCCCAAAGACAAATGGAGAGACCATAACAAGGACACCTGAGGAATCTGAACACTCTGTCACCTACAACTACAGTGAAGATGAAACACAGCCCAAGTCTGAGCCAGAATAACACAAAACTCATACTTCAGGACTATTTTCTCAGTTCCTATTACCCAAAATATTATGTCTGGCTTTTGACAAAAAAAAAAAAAAAAAAAAAAAAAAAACTATAATGCACGCTACAACAAAGTCTGAAGAGGTAAAGTAAGCATTGGAATGAAACTCATATGACACAACCTTGGAATTATCAGACAGAATTTAAAATAACTGCAATAAATAAGGGCTCTAATGAAGAAGGTAAACAATATGCAAGAACAGATGGGTAAACAGAGAGATGGAAACTCTGAGGAAGAATTAATAAGAAATCCTAGACGTGAAAAGAAAATCAAGGAAAAATGAAGACTGCCTTTGATGGGCTCATCAGCAGCATGGACACAGTCAAGGAAAAAAATCAGTGAGCTAGAAGATAAGTCAATAGAAACTTCCCAAACTGAAAAGCAAAGTGAGAGAGAGGGGGAGAGAGAGAGAGAGAGAGAGAGACAGCACAAGGAATAGAACATCCAGCAACTGTGGAACAATTCCAAAAGGTACAAGATGTACGTAATTGGAATAATAGGAGAAGAGATAGTAATCATTTGAAGCGATAATGGTCAGGGATTTTCCAAAATTAATGACAGACACCAAACCACAGATCGAAAAAGAACAGAGAACACTAAGCAAAATAAATGTCAAAAAAAATTGGTAAATCATATTCAAATTGCAGAAATGAAAGATGAAGAGAATGTTCTAAAAGAAGCCATAGGGGGAAAAAACAGCTTGAGGAACAAAGATAAGAATTACTGCAGACTTCTCATTTTAAAAAGCCTGCGAACAAGAGAGTGGGGTAAAATATTTCAAATGTTTAAAGGAAAAAAAAACCTAGAATTCTATATCCAGTGAAATTATCCTTCAAAATTGAAGAAATAACGGCTTCCTTAAACAAAAACTGAGAAAATAATTTCCAGCAGACCTAATTAGCAAAAAATGTTAAATGAAATTATTCAGAGAGAAAGAAAATGACATAGGTCAGCAACCGAAATTTATATAAAGGAAATGTGTCTGAGAATAAAGGTAAAATAAAATATTTTATTTTTCTTATTCTCCATAGATCAAAAAGATAATCGTCTAAAGTAGTAATAGTAAGAATGTACTGGGTGATTACAGCACATGGATAAGTGACATGAATAATAGTAAAGTCATAAAAATGGCAGAGAAGACTTGGAAATACTCTGTTATTTAAAAAAAAAAAATGCACCTGCATTTAGACTGGGCCCAGTGGCACAAACCTGTAATCCCAGCACTTTGGGAATATCACTTGAGGCCAAGAATTTGAGACCACCCTGGGCAACAAAGTGAAATCCCATCTCACTTTTTACATTTTTCACAAAAAATGTAAAAATTAGCCAGGCATAATTGCATGCACCTGCAGTCCCAGCTACTTAAAAGGTTGAGGTGAAAAGACTGCATTAGCCCAAGAGTTTGAGGCCACAGTGAGCTATGATTGATCACACTGCTGTACTCCAGCCTGGATGACACAGTGAGACCTTGTCTCAAAAAAATAAATAAAGCCTGCATTCAATGTGAAACAGTATAGTATTGTTTGAAGGTTGATGTAGATTAATTTAGAATTTATATTGTAAACCTTAAGACAACTACTACAAATTTTTTTAAGGAAGTATAGTTGACATGCTAAAGACAGCAAATAGAATCATTTACTTAATTAAATCAATTAAAACCAGAGAAGGCAGAAAAAGAAAGGTTTTAAAAAAAGAAAGAACAAAGCAATGAATAAAAAAGAGATGGTTGCTCGCACCTGTAATCCCAACACTTTGGGAGGCTGAAGTGGGCGGAGTACCTGAGGTCAGGAGTTCAAGACCAGCTTGACCAACATGGTGAAACCCCATTTCTATTAAAAATACAAAATTAGCCAGGTGTGGTGGCAGGGGCTACTCAGGAGGCTGAGGCAGGAGAATCGCTTGAAACCATAGGGTAGATGTTGCAGTGAGCTGAGATCACACCATTGCTTTCCAGCCTGGGCAACAAGAGCAAAACTCCATCTCAAAAAAAAAAGAGAGAGACTTAGACTGCCAAACAATAGTGGGAGATTATAACACCCCACTGTCAGTATTAGATCAACAAGACAGAAAATTAACAAGGATATTCAGGACTTGAACTCAGGTCTGAACCAAGTGGACCTACTAGACATCTACAGAACTCTCTACCCCAAATCAACAGTGTATACATTCTTCTCAGTGCCACACGGCACTTATTCTAAAATTGACCACATAATTGGAAGTAAAACACTCCTCAGCAAATACAAAAGAACTAAAATCATAACACACAGTCTCTCAGGCCACAGTGCAATCAAACCAGAACTCAGGATTAAGAAACTCAACCAAAACCACACAATTTCATGGAAATTGAACAATCTGTTCCTGAAAGACTCCTGGGTAAATTATGAAATTACAGCAGAAATCAAGTTCTTTGAAACCAATGAGAACAAAAAGACAACGTACCAGAATCTCTGAGACACAGCTAAAGCAGTGTTAAGAGGGAAATTTATAGCACTTAATCCTCACATCAGAAAGCTAGAAAGATCTCAAATCAATACCCTAACATCACAATTAAAAGAGCTAGAGAAGCAAGGGAAAACTGTTCCAAAAGCTAGCAGAAGACAAGAAATAACTAAGATCAGAGAAGAAGTGGAGGAGATAGAGACACGAAAAACCATCCAAAAAAAAAAAAAATCTATGAATCCAGAAGATGGTTTTTTGAAAAAATTAACAAGACCACTAGCTAGACTAATAAAGAAGAGAGAGAAGAATCAAATAGACACAATAAAAAATGATAAAGGGGATATCACCACTGATCCCACAAAAATACAAACTGCCATCAGAGAATACTATAAATAGTTCCACACAAATAAACTAGAAAATCTAGACAAAATGGATAAATTTCTGGACGCATACCATCTACCAAGACTAAACCAGGAAGAAGTCGAATCCCTGAATAGACCAATAACAAGCTCTGAAATTGAGGCAGTAATTAATAGCCCACCAACCAAAAAAAGCCCAGGACCAGATGGATTCACAGCTGAATTCTATCAGAAATACAAAGAGGAGCTTGTACCATTCCTTCTGAAACTATTCCAAACAATTGAAAAGGAGGGACTCCTCCCTAACTCATTTTACGAAGCCAGCATCATCCTGATACCAAAACCAGGAAGAGACACAACAAAAGAAAGAAAACTTCAGACCAATATCCCTGATGAGCATCGATGTAAAAATCCTCAATAACATACTGGCAAATCAAATCCAGCAGCACAGCAAAAAACATATCCACCATGATCAAGTCAGGTTCATCCCTGGGATCCAAGGCTGGTTCAACATATGCAAATCAATAAACATAATCTATCACATGAACAGAACCAAAGACAAAAACCACATGATTATCTCAATGGATGCAGAAAAGGCCTTTGATAAAATTCAACATCCCTTCATGTTAAAAACTCTCAATAAACTAGGTATTGATGGAACATAACTCAAAATAATAAGAGCTATTTATGACAAACCCACAGCCAATATTGCACTGAATGGGCAAAAGCTGGAAGCATTTCCATTGAAAACCAGTATAAGACAAGGATGCCCTCTCTCACCACTCCTATTCAACATAGTATTGGAAGTTCTGGCCAGGGCAATCAGACAAGAGAAAGAAATAAAGGGTATTCAAATAGAAGAGAGGAAATCAAGTTGTCTCTGTTTACAGATGACACAATTTTATATTTAGAAAACCCCATCATCTCAGCCCAAAACCTTATTGAACTGAGAGGTAACATCAGCAAAGTCTCAGGATACAAAAATCAATGTGCAAAAATGACAAGCATTCCTATACACCAACAACAGACAAGCAGAGAGCCAAATCATCAATGAACTCCCACTCACTATCACTACAAAGAGAATAAAATACCTAGGAATACAGCTAACAAGCGATGTGAAGGGTCTCTTCAAAGAGAACTACAAACCACTGCTCAAGGAAACAAGAGAGGACACAAACAAATGGAAAAACATTTCATCCTCATGGATAGGAAGAATCAATATTGTGAAAATGGCCATACTGCTCCAAGAAATTCATAGATTCAATGCTATTCCCATCAAACTACCATTGACATTCTTCACAGAATTAGAAAAAACTATTTTAAATTTCATATGGAATCAAAGAAGACCCCATATAGCCAAGACAATCCTAAACAAAAAGAACAAAGCTGAAAATACTACTAAAAATTTATTTATTTTTAGTACACACTACCTGATCTCAAACTATACTACAAGGCTACAGTAACCAAAACAGCATGGTACTGGTACCAAAACAGGCACACAGACCAATGCAGCAGAACAGAGACCTCAGAAATAACACCACACGTCTACAACCATCTGATCTTCAACAAACCTGACAAAAATAAGCAATCGGGAAAGGATCTCCTACTCAGTAAATGGTACTGGGAAAACTGGCTAGCCACATGCAGAAAACTGAAACTGGACCCCTTCCTTACACCTTATAGAAAAATTAACTATTAACTCAAGGTGGATTAAAGACTAAAATGTAAAACCCAAAACCATAAAAACCCTACAAGAAAACCTAGGCAATACCATCCAGGACATAGACATGAGCACAGACTTCATGACTAAAACACCAAAAGCAACTGCAACAAAAGCCAAAATTGACAGATGTGATCTAATTAAACTAAAGATCTTCTGCACAGCAAAAGAAATTAGTATCAGAGTGAAGAGGCAACCTACAGAATGGGAGAAAATTTTTGCAATCTACTCATCTGACAAAGATCTAATATCCAGAAGTTACAAGGAACTTAAACATATTTACAAGAAAAAGCTAAATAACTCCATCAAAAACTGGGTAAAGGATATAAACAGATACTTCTCAAAAGAAGATATTTACGCAGCCAACAAACGTATGAAAAAAAGCTCAACATCACTAATCATCAGAGAAATGCAAATCAAAATCACAATGAGATACCATCTCACGCCAGTCAGAATGGCAATTATTAAAAAGTCAGGAAACAATAGATGCTGGCGAGGCTGTGGAGAAATAGGAATGCTTTTACACTGTTGGTGGGAATGTAAATTACTTCAACCATTGTGGAAGACAGTATGGCAATTCCTCAAGGATCTAGAATCAGAAATACCATTTGACCCAGAAATCCTATTACTGGGTATATACCCAAAGGAATATCAATCATTCTACTATAAAGATACATACACATGTATGTTTATTGCAGCACTATTTACAACAGCAAAGACATGGAAACAACCCAAATGCCCATCAATGATAGACTGCATAAAGAAAATGTGGTACATATACACTACAGAATACTATGCAGCCATAAAAAGGAATGAGATCATGTCCTTTGCAGGGATAGATGAAGCTGGAAGCCATGATCCTCAGCAAACTAATGCAGGAACAGAAAATCAAACACCTCCTGTTCTCACTCATAAGTGGGAGTTGAGCAATGAGAACACATGGACACAGAGAGGGGAACAACACACACCAGAGCCTGTTGGGGGGTAGGGGGTGAGGGGAAGGAATGTAGAGGATGGGTCAATAGGTACAGCAAACCACCATGGTACACATATACCTATGTAACAAACCTGCACATTCTGCACATGTATCCTGTTTTGTTGGTTTTTTTTAGAAGAGAAAGAGGAGGGGAGTGGAGAGGAGGGGAGGGAAGGGGAGGGGAGGGGAGAGACAGAAAGAGAAAAAGAAAGATGCAATGAATAGAAAACACTTACAAACATAGTAGATATTAATCCAACTACATCAATAATCCCTTCAAGGGCCGGGTGCAGTGGCTCACGCCTGTAATCCCAGTACTTTGGGAGGCTGAGGCAGGCAGATGACCTGAGGTCAGGAGTTCAAGACCAGCCTGGCCAACATGGTGAAACCCCATCTCTACTAAGAATACAAAAATTAGCAAGGCGTTGTGGCCGGTGCCTGTAATCCCAGTTACTCAGGAGGCTGAGGCAGGAGAATTGCTTGAACCTGGGAGGCAGACATAGCAGTGAGCTGAAACCACGCTGCTGCACTCCAGCTTAGGTGACAGAGCGAGATTCCATAAAAAGTTAAAAAAAAAAAAAATCTCTTCAAGTATGAAAGGTCTAAGTACACCAACTAAATGAGATTTTCAGAGTGGATTAAAAACCAAAAAAAAAACAACAAAAAACATGGCTCAACTGTATGTTGTCCAGAAGAAACTCATTTAAGACTCACATAGGTTAAAAGTAAAGGAATGAAAAAAAGTAAAGGGATATGGAAAAAGTATACTACGTTAACATTAATCAAAAGAAAGCAGGAGTAGCTGTATTAATTTTAGACAAATAGACTTCAAAACAGGAAATATTATCAGGAATAAAGAGGGGTATTACAGGCCAGGCACAATGGCTCACACCTGTAATCCCAGCACTTTGGGAGGCCAAGGTGGGAAGACTGCTTGAGGCCAGGAGTTCCAGACCAGCCTGGGCAACATAGCAAAAAAAATAAAATTAAAAAAAAAATACCAAGCTGAGATACTTTCACCGGTGAATACTACTAAACCTTAAGAAAGAAATGATAACAAGTTTCCACAATCTATTCCAGAAAACAGAGCAGAGGGAACACGCGAATTCATTCTATTACAGTAAGGAGGCCAACGTTCCTGTAATATAGTAAAATCAAATAAAGATACTAAAATAAAGGAAACTACAGACTAATAGCTCTCAAGCAAAATTTTTCAACAAAATATGAGCAAATAGAAACCAACAATGCATAAAATGAATGATACCATGATCAAATGGGACTTACTCCAGGTATGCAAGGATGGTTCAACATTGGAAATATCGATCAATATAATACATGACATCCACAGGCTAAAGAAGAAAAAACCATATGATCACATCAATTGATACACAAAAAATGTTGACAAAATCCAACATCCATTCATGATTTTAAAAAAAAAAAAACTTGGAAGGGGGAAGCAGGAAACAAAAAAAAAAAAACTAAGGATCAAGAACTTCTTTTTTTTTTTTTTTCTTTTTTTGAGACAGAGTCTCACTCTGCTGCCTAGGCTGGAATGCAGTGGCACTATCTCGGCTCACTGCAAGCTCCGCCTCCCAGGTTCATGCCATTCTCCTGCTTCAGCCTCCCGAGTAGCTGGGATTACAGGCACCCGCCACCACGCCCGGCTAATTTTTTTGTATTTTTAGTAGAGACAGGGTTTCACCGTGTTAGCCAGGATGGTCTCGATCTCCTGACCTCATGATCCGCCCGCCTTGGCCTCCCAAAGTGCTGGGATTACAGGCGTGAGCCACCGCGCATGGCCAGAACTCTTTAACTTGATAAAGAACATCTCCAGAAAAACTCCCCACAGTTAACATCATACTTAATGATGAGAAACTGGACATTTTCCCACTAAAATCAGGAACAAGACAAGAATGTCTTCTTACATCACTCCTATTCAACATCAGAGTTAATGCAGTAAGATAAAAAGTGAAAATAAAAGATATATATATAGAGAGAGAGAGAAGAAAAAAACAAAACTTTGTTCACAGATGATATGCTTGTCTTTGTAGAAATATCTCAGAGAATCAGCAAGAAAATCTCCAGGAATTAATAAGCAAGTAGAACAAGGCTGCAGGATTCAAGGTTAACATGACAACATCTCTCCTACATACCAGCAATTGGAACAACTGGAACTGGAACAACTGGAATTTGAACAACTAGAATTTGAAGGAAAAAAAATTACCATTGACAACAGTAAAAGGTATTTTTGTTAGGCATAAGCCTAAATAAATATGCATAGGGTTTATTTGTATCAAACTACAAAACTCTGATGAAAGAAATCAAAGGAGATCTAAATAGATAGATATTCCACATTCATGGTTTAGAAGATTTAATACTGTTAAGATGTAATTCCTCCCAATTTTATCTACAGATTCAACGCAATCCCAATAAAAATCCCACACACTATTTTGTAAATATTGACAACTGATTCTAAAGTTGATATAAAAATGTCAAGATATAGAGAAGCCAACACAATACTGGAGAAGAAGAACAAAGTTGGAGGACTCACACTACGCAATTTCAAGACTTGCTACAAAGTTACAGTAATCAAGACAGTGTGGTGGTACTGGTAATAGATTAGATATGTAAGTCAATACTTAGTAAATACTTATCGTTGACTAAAAAGCAAAGGTAGTTCAGTGGAGAAGGACAGTCTTTTCAACAAACGGTGCTAAATCACTAGACATCCGTATGCAAAGAAATGAACCCAGACACAGACCTTACATCTTTCACAAAAAGTAATTCAAAATGGCTCATAAACCTACGTGTAAAACAGAAAACTATAAAACTTCTACAACATAGGTCAGGCGCGGTGGCTCATGCCTGTAATCCCAGCACTTTGGAAGGCCAAGGCGGGCAGATAACCTGAAGTGAGGCATTCAAGACCTGCCTGACCAATATGATAAAACCGTCTCTACTAAAAATACAAAAATTAGCCGGGCATGGTGGCATGCGCCTGTAATCCCAGCTATTCTGGAGGCTGAATAGGAGGCTCAGGAGGAGAATCGCTTGAACCCGGGAGGTGGAGGTTGCAGTGAGCCGAGATCACACCATTGCACTCCAGCCTGGGCAACAAGAGCAAAACTCTATCTCAAAAAAAAAAAAAAAAAAACTTCTACAACATAACACAGGAGAAGGCCTAGATGACTAAGTGTGGTGATGACTCTGTAGAGATAACACCAGAAGCATGATCCATGGGGAAAAAATTGATGTTAGACTTTATTTTAAAATTTTTGCTCTGCAAAGGACACCTGAGTACCAAAAGACAAGCCACTGACTGAGAGAAAGTACTTGCAAAACACGTCTGATAAAGGACTTATATCCAAAATATACAAAGAATTCTTAAAACTCAACAATAAGAAAACAAATGACCCAATTAAAAATAGGCAAAAAATCTGAATAGATATCTCACCACAGAAGATATACAGATGACAAATAACATATGAAGTGTTTTGCAACCACCCTGGTCAACATGGCGAAACCCTGTCTCTACTAAAAATACAAAAATCAGCTTGGCATGGTGGCTCGTGCCTGTAATCCCAGTTACTCCGGAGGCTGAAGCAGGAGAATCACTTGAACCCGGGAGGCAGAGGTTGCAGTGAGCTAAGATCATGCCACTACACTCCAGCCTGGGTGACAGACCAGACTCTGTCTCAAATTAAAAAAAAAAAAAAAACATATATATATATATAGTTGTCCAACATCTTTTGTCACTAGGAAATTGTAAATTAAAACAAGATACCATTATATACTTAATAGAATGGCTAAAATCCAAAAAACTGACGATACCAATTGTGAGGATGTGTAGCAGCAGGGACTCATTCATTGCTGATGGTAATACAAAATGCACAGCCACCTAGAAGATAACTTGATAGTTCTGTACAAAACTAAACACAGCCTTATCGTATGATCCCTGCAATCGCACACCTAGGTATTTACCCAACTGACGTAAAAACATATGTCTACAGAAAAACCTGCAAGTGAATGTTTATGGCAGCTTTATTCATAATTATCTAAAACTGGATGCAGCCAAGATGTCCTTCAATAGGTGAATGGATAACCAAACTGTGGTTAGATCCATTCAGTAGAGTATTATTCTGTGATTTAAAAAAAAAAAATCTATCGAGCCATGACTTTTCACAAACAGGAAACTTAAAAGCATATTGCTAAGGAAAAGAAACCCTCCTAAGAAAGCTACATACTGTATGATTCCAATTATTCCAGAAAAAGGAAAAGGGAAAACTATAGCAAGGGTAGAAAGACAAGTGGCTGCTAGAGGGAAAAGGTTAAATTAGTCAAACATAGGGGAATTTTAGGGCAGTGAAAACTATTCTGTATAATATTGTGATTGTGGATGCATGACACTGTGTGTTTGTCAAAACCCACAGAACTTTACAGGACAAAGAGTAAACCTTAATGTTTGCAAGTTTTAAAAATAAATCCTTTAGGAGGTCAGGGACCCCTGGATTTAATGCAGGATGTGACCCAGCAACCTGACTGTACTACACATGTTTGAAACAGCCTCAGTGCGAGGAGTGAGGGAAATAGGGGACAGCCCTAAGTAATTTTGGAAATAAGTGGAGTCTGTGGAAAGGACGGCAAAGAACCATACACAAGTACAGGACTCCATGGGCCACAGGTTAACAACTCTGAAACTACTACACATGCACAGATGGTCCTCGACTAACAATGGTTCCACTTAACGGTTTTTTGGCTTTACAGTGGTATGAAAGCAACACACATTCGGTAGAAACCATCCTTTGAATTTTGAACTTTCACCTTTTCCCAGGCTAGTGGTGCAAGGCACAGCACTCTCTCGTGATGCTGGGCAGCAGCTGTGAGCTGCAGGTCCCAGTCAGCCACGTGATCACAAAGATAAACAACCGGTACTGTGCCCTACAGTGCACTGTATTCAATACATTACATGAGATATTCACACTTTGTTATAGAATATGCTTTGTGTTAGAAGACTTTGCCTAACTGTAGGCTAATGTAAGTGTTCTGAGAACGTTTAAGGTGGGTGAGGCTAAGCTATAATGTTTGGAGGGTCAGGTGTATTCAATGCATTTTTGACGATGATATTTTCAACTTAGGATGAGTTTATTGGGATGTAACCCCATCGTAAGCTAAGGAGCATCAGTATATTGTAAATGAACCATTAAGAAAAAGGATGGCAGAGCGTGAGAGCCAGGTTTCTCACTTCTGCAGTAGGAGCTTATAGACAGGCAAGGGAAAGAGGCAAGAATGATCCAGATGGTAATGAACTAGAGTCAGAGACAGGTGTGAACTCAGGTTCAGCTTACTATAGATACAAAGGGTTACTGCAATGGTTAATTGTAGGTGTCAACTTGACTGGGCTAAGAGATACCCCAATCGCTGGTAAAGCATTATTTCTGGTGGTATCTGTGAGGGTGTTTCCAAAAGAGATAAGCATTTGAATCAGTGGACTAAGTATGGAAGATCCAATCTCTCTGTGGGCAGGCACTATCCAATTGGCTGAGGGCCCAGACAGAAAAAAAAAAGGCAGAGGAAGATATATATCCTAGAGGTTCTGTCTCCCTGGAGAATCCTAATACAGTTGCATGAAGAAATATTTATAGACATGCATATACACAAGAGTAAATTCACACAGATGTATTTCCTTGCTCTATCAGGAAAAAAATTCCTTGCCCTCTGAGAGGGCCTAGAAGCAATGAGCACACATAGAGCGCAGATTTGGTTTCTACTACCATGCTCCAATGAAAGGAACCAGGGCTCCTTGGAGAAATGGCTGCTTCTGGAACTGGAACAGGAAATATACAAGATGAGCCTGGAACCATTTACAGTGTCAAAAAGTAAGGAATGCTAACCATACACAACCCACAGTATGAAAGGTGGGGGAAGTAACTTTACATTGAAGAAACTGACAAATACTACCTCAGCCAGGTGATTGAGGACAGCATCAATAAAGGTAAGTCATGTTGACAGAAGGTACCCTTGAGCCAGGCATGGTAGCAGGTGCCTGTAGTCCCAGCTACTCAGGAGGCTGAGGTAGGAGGATCACCTGAGCCAAGAGTTTGAGGTTGCAGTGAGCTATGATCACCACTGCATTCGAGCCTGGGCAAGAGAGCAAGGCTCTGTCTCAAAAAATAATAGAAAGAAAAAGAGGGGAGTGGGGGGAGGGAGGGGAGGGGAGGGGAGAATGTACCCTTGATATGAACTGATGAGAATGGCACTTTATCCCTGTGGTCTTCCTCTCCCAAAGCCAATCACCCTAATCTATCATAAGAAAAGCATCGGATAAATCCCAACTGAGCGACATTCTATAAAATACAGGACCAGCATTTTCTCAAAACTGTGAAGGTCATCCAAAACAGGGAAAGTCTGAGAAACTGTCCCAGCCACATTGACAACTAAATGTAATGTGTTGTCCTGAATGGAATCCTGGAACACAAGACTAGGGAAATCTGAATAAGACCTGGACTCTGGGTAATAATAATTGTATTCATTTGTTACTGCTGCCATAACAAGCTACCACAACCATAATAGCTTAAAACAAAACAAACGTATGAGTCTGATACAGAACGCACTGCACTAGGATCGAGGTGGTGACAGGTGCGCGTCTCCGAGGTCTGCTTGCCCTTTCCAGCTTCTGAGACCAACAACTTTACTTGGCTCGGGGCCCCTTGCTCCATCTCCAAGACCAGCAACATCAGGCCAAGTTCTTCCCACACTACCAACTCTCTGGTCCTCTCTTCAGATCCCCTCGTCCAGTTATAAGAACCCTTGTGATCACATTGGCACCCCACCCTCCCCACCCACCATTACTCCAGGATAATCTCCCTATTTTAAGGTCAGCTGATAAGCAACCTTACTTCCATCTACTACCTTAATGCTCCTTTGTCACGGGGACCTAACATTCACAGGATGGAGCCTTTATTCAGCCTACCACAATAATGTAACAATATCAGTTCATTAATTGTAACAAATAGGCCATACCACTACAAGTTGTCAGTAGCATGAGAAACCAAAACCAGGTATGGGGTATACCAGAACCCTCTGTACTGTCCTCACAATTTTTCTGTAAATCTAAAACTGTTCTAAAAAATAAAGTTTATTTTTTTAAGAAGTGTCAAGGAAAATCAAGTCAATCAGTGCCCACCTGCAGAGAAGCGGGGGAGAGTGACCCCCACATCTGTGCAAATGCTAACTGCCCCCATAGGAAACCAGGGTTGGGGTGGGGGAGTCGCATGAAACCAGGGGGTAAACTAGAGCATTCAGGGTGGAACCACCCACGGTACAAAGGACCAGCACCACAGAGGAGATGCAAAGCTGGCAGGCAGGGCAGTGAGTGTCCCTGGCACAACTCTGCAGACAAGGGGAAGATACGGGTGAGAAAAGAAAACTCAGGAAGAAAGAACTACCCATAAGTTTTTGTTGAATGGGCAAACAAAAAACGGTTAACATGGCAAAGAATGCCTTCAACATTATCAGAAAATTGGATAACATGTCTGCAAATTTCAAACGGGTCAAAGACAAAAATATATACATATATACACATAGAGAAAGCAACTATACGGAAAAATGTTAATGCATGCTCCCACAACAGCGTGCAGCCCTACTTAGTCCGTCCTTTTATAAGGAAGCTGAAGATAACTCACAAGGAGGCCTTTGGGCAATACTTATGAGCAGGGTCATAAAAAAAAAATACTGCTGTTCTTCCTACCCACGTGCATGTTTTCTCATCTGATCCTCCCACCACCTTTCCGCAGATGGGATGAAGCAGCTGAGGCCCTGAGCACTGAGAGATGATGCCGGGCCTCCCCAGCCCTGGCTCCAGAGCCCACGTTCTCTTCTACTGGGTGAGGACTGGTTAGAGACAGGCAAACACTTATTTTTAAAAATACTACATCATTTACAAACCTACAGTTCCATCTACATTCAGACTGACTTTCCCTCCACAAGCCCAAACCGGCAAACTCTTTGCTGCATCTCCAGGAATGAGGCCCCACTCAAGGGCTGCAGGGCCGCCACCTCGTGCATCCTGCTTTCCTTTCCGCAGCAGTTCCATATGGCTTGTCTGGCGCTACAGGAAAATCCTCCTGGCGTCTCAGCGAGCACAACACTCCTATTTTTAGGCTCTTAGAATAACAACTCTGGCTGAGATAGATGTCAAGTGACAAGTTTTATAATTAGGGCCCAAATAGAGGCCTACTAATAATTTGCTTCTAAGCAATAGTGCAGCAATTCTTTCATTCTGGCTGGATCTGATGCACAGTGATGGTACTAAGTCTGAGACAAAATGACAGCTACTGATTCAGGGCAAACAGGGGTACTCAGAGAAGCCTTCCCATGGCTTAATGGTTTTTATAACCACTGTGTTGGGCCTTGTGCTAACCACAGGCAGTGGTGGCAGAGTGCTCTGCTCTCACCAATAATAGTACCATAGCACAATAAAACCCGTTTTTAAGAAACAGTAACACCCATCCCTCTTCCCCGCCCCACTCCCACCTACATTAAAGAAAGTATGCCTTCCCTAACAGCTTTGGGCCCAGAAGTACATCTGAGCAGCTCAATGATGGAAAACGTTATTACTGGAGTAATAGAAGGACTTCTCACTATACACAAGCCGTTAAACAGTGATGGCTCCTTCACGGTACACCACAAGCCACTGTGGGGAAACCAGCTGCACTAGATAGCTGTCTTCATGCTAGGGCTGTTTGCTTTGGCTGCTGTCACTGTTTTTGAGGGTTAGAGAGAAAAGCAAATAAAGAACCAGAACAGGCCAGGCGCGGTGTCTCACATCTGTAATCCCAGCACTTTCGGAGGCGGGTGGATCACCTGAGGTCAGAAATTCAAGACCAGCCTGGCCAATATGGTGAAACCCCATCTCTACAAAAAATACAAAAAAAATTAGCCGGGCAGGGTGGCACACACCTGTAATCCTGGCTACTTGGGAAGCTGAGGCTGGAGAATCACTTGAACTTGAACCCGGGAGGTGGAGGTTGCAGTGAGCCGAGATTGCGCCACTGCACTCCAGCCTGGGCAACAAGGGCAAAACTCCATCGCAAAAAAAAAAAAAAAAAAGAACCAGAACAAAGAGAAAAACTTTTATTCACGAAAAGTCACAAATAACCGAAAAAGACCACATGAAGTCCTTTCTAATGACTAGTAAAAAGAAAAGAAAAATGTTGGGGAAATTTGCATTGGCAACATGAGAAATCTACCTATTCAAAGTAAAATTCATAATCCAAATTATCCAACTTTTGAATATTGTTTTTACAAAGCATTTCATAATTCAATATCACTCTTAATGAGAGCTCTTATGATCCCCACGAATTCCCACTAAACCAAGAGATGACTGCTATTTTTCAGGGCGTGCAGCAGAGCAGCGGACAAAGCTGCAGGGCGACCATATCACGCAGGATGCTCCGGCGGTGGCAACCTGAGAAGCTCACCGTTTATAACTAAGCAGACAACATGCGCGGTCCTGTGCCCATCATGGCTGGTGGAACGAGCCTGCCGAATCCACAACACGAATGCCTGAGTGTGTGCGCGAGTGCAGGTCCGGAGGAGCATTTCAAGGGCATTGCAAGGGAGGGATGCTGGCCCTCGTTCTCAAGAACAGAATGAGCAGTCACCTGCACATGGTGCCCCAGATACATGGGAATGATGACATCCACACAATGGTCCTTTGCTTTCTCAGGAAACCAAGAGAGGACAATGGGTGTGGCTGCTAGCCTCAGGTGTCTGGAGCGAGTTACGCTACCTGGACTGACTGTCTGATTCACACTGAATTACAGGAGGGAGAAATTGGTTTGAGTCTTCACTCAAAACCTGAAAATTCTTTATTGGGTGCAGAGATTCAGTTTTGCAGGATGAAAAGAATCCTGAAGATGTCTGGTGGTGATGCTGGCACAGCAATGCAAATGTACATAATGCCACCAAACTGTACATTTAACAGTGGTTACAATGGTCAAATGTTGTGTACTTGACCATAGTTTTAAAAAAAAAAAAAAAACCTGTGAAATTCTAGTGGTCAGAGATTTCTGCAGTTGAGCTCCTAATGTAAATAAAAAAACAACTTTTCCTAACCTCATCCCCAAGCAACGAATCATAAATCCATCTGAACACAGATGTGCTCTGGGTCCACATTGCTCACCCCTGACACAGTCCTCTAGCTGCTCCATAAATAACCCCTGGATGGGGACCAAGTCATCTGCTTTGCCTCAGACCAAACGTAGGGGTCCTGTTGTATTGAGCCTCCAAGCAGGGTGATATCATGCTCAAACACATGACAGCAAGAACCCTTAGCATCACAGCAGCCAGCTCCAAACCCAGTCACTGCTGTGTCTTTCTCACACTTGTTGCTGTGGCTTTAAAGAATACAGTTCTGTGGAAACTCCCCAGCGAATCTATCCACTTGGCCATCCATTGATCTAAGGTGGTCTCCTGCCATGATGGTTATGAAGAGCAATTAGATTTCATTTCTCGTCGTGAACAGATGATTCAAGTCTATAAAATGAAAGGCCAGGGCCATAATGGGAGAAGGAAAACCAAGATGTCACAAAGAGCTTGGCTTTAAGATCTGATACAGTCTTCAAATGAAATGCCAGGTGCCAGAGACATCAGGGTTAGACTGGAACAGCCTGGTCCACCTCCGCTGCCAAACGCAGGACAATCCAGGACTATCCACAGCTCTTCCCTGGACGTTGAGGTGCCATTCTCAGTCTCCCAAAGGCCATGAATGGAGGCCTGACTGCTCAGGGTATTGGCCACTCACGGTCCTGATGGTTCCAACTTTGTGTAACCCGCCCTTACCTTTCTTTTGGGCTCTTTCCAGACATGCCCATTTTAATCCCAAACCTTCCTCCCTTAGAGACCAGTAGCCCCTAACTCATGAAGACTAGAACAATATGACACTATGTTGTAATCAAACGTAACGGCACAGGCAGCACTCTTTTGCCAGTTTCTGCTACGTCAAAAGAACCCTTGCTGAAACATTTCTGACTACTTCTCCATTTCATTGAGACAGTATCTGCCTTGGGTCAAGTACTTTAACAGCCCAGCGCACTCTGATACCCGTGCAGGCTGTAACACAAGACTTCCCATCTGAGTCTGAATAACGTATCACTTTTGACATCCCATTTTAACAAGTCCAACAGGTATTACCTGTACTCCCAAAATCACATCAAGAGAACCAGTTATAAAGAATATCTTTCCCAAAAACCTTCCCTAATAAGGTCTAATCTCAATTTGTCCTCCTAAAAGCAATTTTTCCTGTTGATTCCAAAATTAATCCATTTTTGTTATAGAATTTTGGAAAACATATAAAACCACAAAGAAGAAAACTAAGCTTAATCGCTCATCTTGCCACTCAGCAATAACTAATTGGTATATGTCCTTCTAGCCTCTTTCCTTACTGGCCATAGATTTAGACAATTCAGTTCCCACACAGGATACTGAGAATTGGAAGTTAAAAAAAAAAAAATCAACAAAACAAAAACAAGACTGAACATGAAATACTAAGATTTCTTGTTTCATGATCAGAGACAGCTGCAGAAAGGCTGTTAAACTTGTTCAGCGAGACTCACAGCCCATGATGCACAAATCAGTTTCCCAGCCAGATTTAATCACAAATACCGCCTGCAGCCTGACAGCCCTGTATGCTACTGTTACAGACACAATTCTACCTCCACCTTGCAAACCACACTCTTGTTTAATGGCCCTGTACATAATAAAAGGCAGGAAATGGAGTTTGGAGGCACTCCTGGATCAGAGAAAAACATATAAATAAGACAACGCAAGAGTGCCTCCTTTGCAAAATGGAAATCAATATGAGAGGCAAAGGGGTCAGTGAAGGAAGACAACTCCATAGGCTCAAGTTCAAAATAAAAAAACGGTTGCTCTGCGGCGGATTCCGGCTCCTCACGCAGGAAGAGCTCCCCAGGGAGCCTGTAAAACTGCAAACAAATCTTGAAAAGGAATGAGTCTGCCTGTTTCATCAGGCTCACCAAGCTACATGCATTTCAAGACAGCAACTCTTGTGCAATTCCTAAAACAAGCAACTATCTATTGAACACCCACTACGTGCTCAGGACACTCTAGTTGATTAATCTTCCCCTAGGGGAAGGATGAATCATTTGCAAACTGCAGCCAGTGAGGCCACAGTGGGTTCCATTCATCTTGAAAATGTGCAGGTATATTAAAAACAGTCAGGCTTAGCACAAAAGTGTTTGGCACGACTGTTTCCAACACCCTTTACAACCTTTGCTGTAAAGCTCATATTTACTTGATTTTTATGTCAACATTTCTATCTTTGATAACAGAGGCATAAAATTATATCTAGTTTGCTACAACTAAATGTCAGATATTTACAAACTACAGAAGCTTTCTCAAGTGCACATATAAGGGGGTGCAAGGGTAAGGGCTGGGATCCTTTATCGGTTCGCAACACCTGGCATAAATACCTGGTTCCTGCTGTGCCCTCAATAAATATTTGTTTAATTAGCCCTTTCAGTAAAATAAATTCAAAGAACCCAGTTGTTTAAACTCACTTACAGGAAACTTTTTCCGTATGCTCCAAGTACCTGGAGTTTTGTTCACTGTGGATTCTGATCTTGAAATCCGATTACTCAAAGCCTGCCATATGTCCTTCAGTAATTTGCAACACAACAGTTACATGGTTCTGTTACAGTACCCTACTAATCTCATCCTGGACTGGGCAGAAGACACTGTGTCAGTAATTAAATTTATATCACGGACTAAACAGAGTTTCTTTTTGTTTTTACTTTGTTCTGGTTTTAGAAAGAAGCACACAGTGCAGACATTTCAGCAGGTACTAAAAGTGTACTCTCAGACACTGTCTTCTCTTCTGTAGGGTCATTCATATGGGAATTTAACCATTAATTCTAAAAAGCAGAGAAAGTAGGAGAGTAGGGCAAGCTAGAGGTAAGGAAGGCAAACACCCAGAACAGGGGTGCCACCCCACGGAAATAAGGAAGTGCAGTTGGCCCCATGGTCCCTGGTCTGACTTCCCCATAAAGTGACAATACATAGAGCTAGTCTGTAAAACACTGCCAACTGGTGTGTTTCACAGAACCTGTCGCTTTCTCCAGCTACCAAGAAAGCTTTGGATCGGGGCTCAGTCACGTGCGGATCCCAACAGTGTCCAAGATAGAGACAAGGAAGAAAGGGAGTAAGGATAAAATGACAGCTCATTCTCTCTCTAAGGCTATCACACATTATGACAGACAGCGGTCACCCAATCTATCTTTAGAAAATCTGTCCTTTTGACCCAAGATGCATCTCCGCCAACATCCACAAACAGACAACCTGTGGGAAGAACAGACGTGGAGCCAGTAATTAGAAAAAAATCAAATGAAATTAAAATTTAATAAGATGGAGTGGAGGAGACTTAGCAGGAGCAATTTACTTCCTCAGACTCATGGACGTCTCTTTATTAGCAGGAGTTTTCTACTGGGAATTCTGATCTTGAAATCTGATTGTTCAATGCCTTCCATTTAGGGGAAGTTGCAGCCTTCAAGATTCTGAATCTGCCAGGAGCAGTGGCTCATGCCTGTAATCCCAGCACTTTGGGAGGCCAAGGCAGGTGGATCACTTGAGGCCAGGAGTTCAAGACCAGCCTGGCCAACACAGTGAAACCCCATCTCTACTAAAAATGTAGAAATTAGCTGGGGTTGGTGGTCCATGCCTATAATTCCAGCTACTTGGGAGGCCAAGGCACAAGAACTGCTTGAACCCAGGAGGCAGAGGGTGCAATGAGCCGAGATTGTACCACTGCACCCCAGCCTGGGTGACAAAGCAAGACCTTGTTTCAAAAAAAAAAAGATTCTGGATCCTTGAGACAAACCAGTACACAGTACTTGTTTGCAAAATGCTCTGGCAGTGGTAGTGATGGAACCGGACCATCACCACCAGGGCCCCAGACATCCCATGACCTGGATCTGTTACGCACACGCCAGCAAGGCCAGCCACCAGGAGAAATGGGGCAAGTCTTCATCAGGTAAGGCTGACAACATAAAAGGATTCCAGGAGACCAGCAACATTCAGCAGGGTGCTGATTATTACCAAAGCTCTAAAAACCTCCTCTTAATTCCATTTAAAATATGCTTAAGTTGTTATAGCTATAAGAACGGAAACAAAAATAAATATAAGAAAAATCTCCACCAATCTTACCCCCTCAACAAATCAAACCAACTTCATGTTTCCAAGTTTCTTTCTGGTAATGGGTGAGGAGGCAGGGAAGTACTATCTTAGTATTTGACTGGTTGCCCACAGATGCATAATGTCCACAAGGGCCCTGAGAATGCCCAAAAGACATATGGACTCCAGTCCAAGGAAGTCACAAAAGAACCTATGTTTGGTCTAACCTACAGAAGTTGTACACTGCTCTAGAGTCACAATCCTCACTCTGCTCTGTATCAGCTGTGTGGCTTGGGTAAGTAGCCTCACCTCTCTCAGGCTCAGCTTCCTCATGTGTCCAACGGGGATCATCCCCACCGCACTGGTCTGCGTGGAGATTAAACAAGCAGGTGCAAAGTCCCTGGCCCACTTGCCTCTTACAGGCTGAATTTTGGAAGGGGCCAACTCGCCCCTTCCAAAAAAGATACATTGAAATCCTAATCCCCCATACCTCAGAATGTTACCTTATTTTAAAACAGGGCCACATTGAAGGTGTGATGTCAGTTAATATTAATTAAAAGTAGTGAATTTTTTTTTTTTTTGAGACAGAGTCTCCCTCTGTCCCCCAGGCTAGAGTGCAGTGGTGCAATCTCAGCTCACTGCAGCTTCTGCCTCCTGGGCTCAAGCAATTCTCCCTGCCTCAGCCTCCCCAGGGGCTGAGATTACAGGCGCACACCACCATGCCCAACTAATTTTTGTATTTTTAGTAGAGATGGAGTTTTGCCATGTTGGCTAGGCTGGTCTCGAACTCCTGGTCTCAAGTGATCTGCCGCCTCAGCCTCCCAAAGTGCTGAGATTACAGGTGTGCACCACCATGCCCAGCCGAGAAGTGAAATTTAATGTTATTTAAGATGAGGTCATACTGGAGGTGGTAGGCCCTTAATCCAATGTGATTGGTGTCATCACGAGCAGACGGCCACTGAAGACACAGACACACAGGGAGAGCACTGTGTGATGACTGAGGCAGGGATTGAGCCATGCAGCTGTGAGGAACCCCAAAGCATGCCAGCCAACCCCCAGAACCCCAGGCAAGGCAAGGAAGAACTCCCCTACAGGTTTCAGAGGGAGCATGGTGGACAAGCTGACTTTGGACTTCTGGACAACAGAACTGTGGTTTTGTTTTCAGCCACCTAGTTGGGGATCAGCCCTTAGAAACTGAGACAATGCCCAACTCAGGCCCTGGCTCTTTTCCACGCACAGAGTGAGAGAGCTTTAAATATACAAAGAGATGGCTCTCCAAAGCCTCCCACAATAGACTGACCATCTCACCCAGCCAATCTTTCTGGACCCAAAGTGGATTTCGTAACCAATTTCTATTTACTAGTCATTAACGTTGCTATTTACTTTACCTATTCCCCTGACCTGTCAATAATCTAAGTCCAGTAAAGGGCAGATTCAGCGGGGAGGCACTCATATGTTCAAGGCCTATGACAGTTGGTTAGGAGGCAGAACTTTTTTTTTTTTTTTTTTTTTTTGAGACAGAGTCTCGCTCTGTCGCCCAGGCTGGAGTGCAGTGGCGCCATCTCGGTTCACTGCAAGCTCTGCCTCCCGGGTTCACGCCATTCTCCTGCCTCAGCCTCCTGAGTAGCTGGGACTACAGGCGCCCGCCACCATGCCTGGCTAATTTTTTTTGTATTTCTAGTAGAGATGGGGTTTCACTCTGTCAGGCAGGATGGTCTCGATCTCCTGATCTTGTGATCCGCCCGGCTCGGCCTCCCAAAGTGCTGGGATTACAGGCGTGAGCCACCGCACCCGGCCTTTTTTTTTTTTTTTTTTTTTAACCTTTAAAAAGAGTGACCTCCTTCTAATTTCTCCATACAGAAGGGGGTGGGAGGACGGCCTCTTGCAGGGACACTGGAAAGTCATCTCTCAGTAACTTCCTCCTCCTTGACATGAACACAATGCTGGTTTGCTGAAGTTCCTGAAATAGCAAATGCCACTCTTATCACATCCATCATCAACCATAAAGTCACGAATGAGTGAGGACTGAGCTCCCTTCAACATGGGGAGGGGACTGCTTGGCAACACAGCCAGACCGCCATGTACCCTAGGTCCTACCTCCAGAGCCCTGGGTTCTAATGGGCCAGGTTGGGGCCTGGCTTTCAGTACTTTTTTTTTCATTTGTATAAATTTTGGGGGTCCAAATGCAATTGTACGTAGTGCTGGAAGTCCTAGCCAGAGCCACTGGGCAAGAGAAAGGAATAAAAGGAATCCACATTGGAAAAGAGCAAGTCCAATTATCCCTGTTGGCTGACAATATGATCTTCTATCTAGAAAAGCCTAAAGACTCCACCAGGTAGCCGGGCACAGTGGCTCATGCCTGTAATCCCAGCACTTTGGGAGGCCAAGGCGGGTGGATCACAAGGTCAGGAGATCGAGACCATCCTGGCTAACACGGTGAAACCCTGTCTCTACTAAAAATACAAAAAAATTAGCCAGGCTTGGTGGCAGGCACCTGTAGTCCCAACTACTCGGGAGGTTGAGGCAGGAGAATGGCGTGAACCCGGGAGGCGGAGCTTGCAGTGAGCCGAGATGGCGCCACTGCACTCCAGTCTGGGCGACAGAATGAAACTCCATCTCAAAAAAAAAAAAAAAAAACTCCACCAGGCTGGGCACAGTGGCTCACGCCTGTAATCCCAGCACTCTGGGAGGCCAAGGCCATCAGATTGGCTTGAGTCCCCACGAGTTCGAGACCAGACCGGGCAACATGTTGAAACCCCATCTCTACGAAGAAAATACAAAAATTAGCTGGGTGTGGTGGCACACAGCCTATGGTCCCAGCTACTTGGGAGGCTGAGGTGGGAGGGTCACTTAAGCCTGGAGGCAGAGGTTGCACAGAGCTGTGACGACACCACTACACTCCAGCCTGGATGACAGACTGAGACCCTGTCTCTGCCCCCCCAAAAAAAAGACTCCACGAAAGACTCTCAGATTTGATAAATGAATTCAGTAAAGTTTCAGGCTACAAAGTCGTCATACAAAAATCATAGCATTTCTACACACCAATAACAATCTAGCTGAGAATGAAATCAAGAAGGCCTCAGAATTTTTAAGGCTCCTCAAGCAGTTCCCATATGGAGAAACATGGGCAATGCATGTTTGCCAGTAGCTATTCCACATAAACCTTCAACTAAGTCCCCCTGGCCCTCCATGTCTCCCCAACATGAAGCCCCCTCCAGCCAACAGGGGAACAGTATCAGTGAGATACAAACCACCCTACTTACGGATGGCTCCACACTTTACCTGGTACCCACCCCCTTCTGACTCAGGAGCCTGTGCCTCCTCTTCCACCCTAAGTGTCCCATCTCTACTCCTTTGCTTCCCCTCCCACCAGGTTCAGAAGAAATGAGAACCCCTCTGACTCCTTTCCTTCTAGATGTGGTTGCATTAACTCCCTGGATTTCCTTCTAGAGCAGGGGTTCTCAACTTTGGCTGCAGTGCAGAGCCGGCCTGGGCCCCACTCCAGAGTCTGATGTCATTGGTTTGGGGTGCTGCCTGGGCACGGGCATTGTCACAGGATCCTCCATGACTCACTGTGCAGCCAAGACCAGGACCACTGTTCTAGGATCTTCTCTTGTTCCCTCTTCCCTAAGGCTCTTGACTCTGCCACTATGTCTGCCCTTAAGCTGCAATTTCATTTCTGTAGTTACTTTCACCTTGAAAATTACAGAGAAGCAGAAGGCACCTGCTGCCCCTTTCTTCTTTATCCATTGCATCTAGCCTCCATCCAGACAGTTCTTCTACAGCAGGTCCTTGAAATGACACCAATCAAATATTCCAGCCTTAGCTCTCTTATCTGCAACATGAAGATAATAGTCTCTCCTGCTGATGAAGGTGATGAATTTGAAGATGCTCCCTCCACAGAACAGGCAAAATAACCCAAGTGAGCCAGGAGCCCAAGAGAGCTAGATCTCCCTCATGCCTTCACTCCATGTCCATCCCCACAGTGCAGAGAGGGTCCCTGACTCCACCACCACCAACACCGAGGTGGGGGTGGCAACAAGGACGCTCCATCATCCAAAAGCCAGCTCCTCAGACCAGGACAGAGAGCAGCTTGAAGACCCCCTTCACATCTTGCCCACAACACACTGGAGAGTCATCCTGATCCTTCTGCCTCTTTGGCCGCTGCTCCCAACTCAAACCATCTCTCATGTGCCCGGCCTTCCCGGTGCCCACCCTTCCTGGTGCCCAAAACATCTTAGGCTGAGCTGTGGGTTGCTCCACTGGTTCTCAATCCTGCCTGAGCTCTGGAATCCCCTGGGGAGCTTTTGAAATCCCAATGTTAGAGATGCTAGTGGTCTGTGGTCCGGCCTGGGCTACTGACAGTTCTCCAGGCTCTCACCTGTGTGGCCAAGGGTATGAACCACTGTGTCTATCCTATTATTTGCACAACGAAGCAGGGACCTTTGTTATCTGATGCATCTGCCAGCTAAAATCTGCCTAGGAAAACATAAAGTACAGGCAGGAAAAAGCCAGCCTACGTTTAGGAAGAAACTACCTGTCAGTGTCATTCATCAAAAAGCTAAATGCAAAAGGATACAAGGCCCATGCAAAGATGTCGATCTCAGGTTCAACCTCGTGGCAGAAACACTGGGTAGGACACAAAGTCCCAGGAAGCTCTGAACAGAGCCAAGTGCCCCATGGGCAGTGACTCATGTCTGACCTTAACAAGAGCTGGCTCACAACCACGGGCTAGGGACATAAGGCCATTAGAAAGTACTCAGAGGGCACAGCACATGTACACATGCACACTCCCACGCCCAGAAGCATGCCTGAGTGGGACAATGACACCTGAAAGCTGAGAGCTGATCCCTACACTACAGCTGGATGTGTAGCAATCATTACAGGGTATCTTTACGTTCATTTTTTTAAAAACTCCTTAGCCCTATTAAATTCAGCTGCCTAGAAATACTGAACTCACAAGTAGCATGATAACGTTGAAGAGCCTAACCTAACAGATCCTATGAACGGGCAAACCTCCCTCTTTTCTAAGAAAATATATTAAAGTATCTCATATCACTAAGGCGCTCTTTTGAGGAAAAGAAAAAAATAAGAGAAAAAGAATTCCAAAGGACTTTGTTGACAAAAATATAAAGTAATATTCTATTCCATCCTTTATAAGGTTGTTATCAGCTGTGCCTGTTTGAACGTGTCATTCCAGTCCCTCCCATCATTAACTAACACATATCAGACATATGACACGTGCCAGGGACTGCGACAAGCTCCACCCACTCATCACCTCTGTTTAAGCCTTGCCACACTAGAGGCGGACACAGTCCTATCCCCGGGGCTCAGGGAGGCTCTGTAGCTGCTACAAGGTCACACAGCAAAGAGTGGGAGAGGGACTGGCACTCACATCCCAGATTCAGTGTCTGGTGACAGCCCATTTCCTGATTTAAAGATGGTGCCTTCTAGAGCTGTGTCCCAGGACGGTGAAAGGAGCGAGAGAGCTCTCTGAGGTCTCATTTGTAAGGGCGCTAGTCCCATCTTAAGTGCTCCACCTTCAAGAAAAGGCCCCAGCTGCTAATACCATCCTGCTGGTGTTTCTGTTTCAACATATGGATTTGGGAGGGACACAAACATTTAGACCATAGCACAATGCTATTATTCCAGTAAGTGAAAAGACACAGGACTGATATACAGAGTTCAATTATATAAACGAAATGCGGCCAGGCACAGTGGCTCACGCCTGTAATCCCAGCACTTTGGGAGGCCAAGGCAGGCGGATCACCTGAGGTCAAGAGTTCGAGACCAGCCTGGCCAATATGGTGAAACCCTGTCTCTACTAAAAATACAAAAATCAGCCAGGCATGGCGGCAGGCGCTTATAGTCCCAGCTACTTGGAAGGCTGGGGCAAGAGAACTGCTTGAACCCGGTAGGCAGAGGTTGCAGTGAGCTGAGATCACGCCACTGCACTCCAGCCTGGGCATCGCAGTGAGACTCCATTTCTTTTTCTTTTTTTTTTTTTTTTTCTGAGATGGAGTCTTGCTCTGCCGCGAGGCTGGAGTACAATGGCACAATCTCAGCTCACTACAACCTCTGCCTCCTGGGTTCAAGTGATTCTCCTGCCTCAGCCTCCCAAGCAGCTGGGACTACAGGTGTGCGCCACCATACCCAGCTAATTTTTGTATTTTTTAGTAGAAACGGGGTTTCACCATATTGGCCAGGCTGGTCTCGAACTCCTGACCTCATGATCCACCTGCCCTGGCCTCCCAAAGTGCTAGGATTACAGGCGTGAGCCACCGCGCCCGGCCAAGACTCCATTTCAAAAAAAAAAAAAAAAAAAAAAAAAAAAGCATGGATAATGCCAGGAAATCAATACAAAAAGGTTAACTGTGGGATTATGAGTTTTTCTTTTTCATTTATTTTTCCAATTTCCTACAATTGACATTTATTTATAAAATCATGACAGAAAGCATCATTACATTTGTTTTCTCATTTAAATAGCTAGTTCATGACTGAAAACAATCTTTTCCAATAATACTCTATTGACGATTTTGTTACGTTTCATTCCCAAGGACAGCCAGTCCTTTTGATAGCTTGGTTGCATAAATGTAATACTGTACATGAAACCGAAATGAATTGAAAACTCATAGACTATTTGAGTTTTCAATTAAAGGATTTAAAATAAACTTTTAAACAAAACAGTCCCCCCAAATTTTGAAGACAGATCCGCTTGCGTTTTTCAACAGTGTGCAGTTGAGAGCAGCACCACCGCGAGCCCTTCACATTGGTGTCAAACACTGATCAAGGTGTAAAATGTGCTTTGCCACAGCCGGGAATATAGACTTGTATGGTGGTACTTGTTGGAGAAAAACATCAGGCCCCGCATGTGGTACAGCGATGTGATGTGGGTGTGTAAGCAGCTGCCAATCAAAGGCGAAAGGCACAGCACAGTGTCAAGCCAGCACCTGTGTCTACCAAAACACACAGGTACAAGTCTTAGGAATATATACCTAAAACAGAGCAGGAAACTGGGCATGGTGGTGCGCACCTTGTAGTCCAAGCCACTCAGGAGGCTGAAGCAGGAAGATCACTTGAGCCTAGGAATTCCAGTCCACAGTGAGCTATGGTCACCACTGCACTCCAGCCTGGGCAACAGTCATCGTGACCAGCCTGGGGAGTCTTTAGGCTTTTCTAGATAGAAGATCATATTGTCAGCCAACAGGGATAATTGGACTTGCTCCTTCCCAATGTGGATGCCTTTTATTTCTTTCTCTTGCCCGATTGCTCTGGCTAGGACTTCCAGCAGTATTCAGCGGTTGTACATAGTGCAAATTAGCACTGTGGCTAATTTGCTTGGCGACCGTTCTAGCAGTATTCAGAGTAGGCCACAACCACAAAAATATTGTGGAGCCACTGCCCCAAGATGCAACTTCTCAAGCACGCTCCAAACCAGTGTGCACGGCTAAGTCATGTACCTGATCTCACCTGCCCCCGTGACAATCTGTGGAAGCTGTGTTCTTGGGCTGCTTTACCCTGTGATTGAGTCTCACCACTACTCCAAAGACAGAACATGCTTCCCACACACTGGAACAAATCACCTTAAGGACCAGTATACTGTCACAGATATAGGTCTACCTTACAAAAAGAGAGGAGTCAGTTGTTCGCTTTGTTTTGTTGGGGCTATACTTACAGCTACAGTCTTATGATAAAGGAACAGCCACATGGAGAAAACACATAAAGGAAGGTCCTGCAGAGCCCCTGACAGGGAGCTTCCATGGCCTCTCCCTGTGGGTCAGGGGGCATCCCCCTCCTGGCACATCAGCATACTCACCAACCAGGAAGCTACACCAAACCTCGGTGTTTAGAGTAATGAAACTCACCAGAGTTTTATTATGTAGGCAGGAGTGATTAAAACATCGGCCATGGACTTGGTGCTTGGACTCAATCTCCAGCCCCTGTTGTCCTGTCCCTGGATTCATTACTTCGATAGACAGCTGGTTGTTTAGATTCAGCAAGAGGCTCCTGGAGTAAGAACTGAAGCCATAAACCCTCTGTCAACCAGTGAGCACTTCCCTCCCACTGCCACTGGATCTCCGACACCACACAAACACAAGATCAGAGGCCACCAGAAACAGCAGGAGAGAGGAGGTGGAGGATGCATTACAATCTCCAACAGAAAAAGAATTCAAACCTTCTCTCTTTCTGTACACACATGTATAAAAGAATTGTCATGATTACATAGGGCATCTAAGCAGTGGGTGACTAAGACAAGCTCATTTCCTATCTCAAGGCTCTATAATAAATGCTTCAAATTTCCTAAAAATAATTTCTGGAGAGCGCTATAAGGGTTGCTTGCAGGCTAACCAAGATGAAAACTACCACATTTCTAGTCTCCAAATCCAAAAATACTAACACTAAAAAACAACTCTTCCAATTTAAGGAAAAAAACCTGCTGTTAATACAGTACACTCCGCTGGCTGAGGAGATGTGGCAAGGAATCTAAGTAAACCCTCGGCTGAAATGATGAGGTCAGTTAGGGTTATCCCCCAAGAGAAGAGAACTTCTGCACATGGCAGCAGAGCCCACCATAAGCCAACCCTGAACTCAGGGACCAGATCAAATGTGACTTTTTCCCCAACTTGCTTAGGGACATGGTCCCTGGGTTGGTACACAGCCCAGGTCTATCAGCTGCCAGAAGTACTTGCAGTTCATTACTTAGGAAGCTGTGGAAAAAATACTACAATCAGAGAGTGATGAAGAGGCTGGGTGGCCAGGAATCCTCTTTCGAAGCATCTGGAGACGTGATAGGGCTTCCTACAACAACAGGACAGAAGGCCAAGTACCCACCAAGTGAGTCAGAGCCCTTACCTTCCCATGTGCCTTAGAAATAAGCTCTTCAATAACCAAACTATCCCACGGATAAACAATCTAAGATCACCAAGGTTCGTGACATTTGTGTGTGAATCCATTTCCTCTGAGCAAATGATATTTTTATGCCTGTTTGAAAAACAAGCAGCCTCCCATGACAAATGCATTCATCATCCAAACAATCAAGCAGCCTCCGGCCACTCCTCCGGCCAACATCACTTCCAGCCAACAAGAGCAATCTGGCAAAGCAGCACCTACAGAGCCCAGGGGGCACCCGGGGCCAGGGTTCAGATTCTGACAACACAATCCCACATTCCTGAACCTGCTATTCATAACCACTCCCTTCTAAGAGTACACAAGAAAAATAGTTTAAAAAAAAAATCACATTTTCCAGGTCTGGTGCAGGCAGATATGAATAAAATACTTACAGATTTATGAAACACTTGCAAAGTCAGGAATCTGAGAAAATTATACACACAGACATTCACTCACACACAGACACACACAGGCCTCCTTCCAGAAATTTTATTTCCACAAAGCACAGTATAGTGTAATCTATTAGAATGTCACTTATTTTAAAAATCCTTATTTCTGTTCCAAAGAAAGTCCTGGGTCAGCCCCGTGCCCTTACTATCAATGATCCTCTGAAAAACTAAGCCACAAACCACAAGCATTCAAGATCAGAAATAACGCATGTTAGGCAATGTTTCCTGTCTTTTTACACTTAACAATAGTGTGAAATAGCTTGCAGAGATGAGGTATAGACGCACCTTTATGGTGCAGCAATACAATGTAGAGCCCAGAGACTTAAGGATATCTAAATGTATTGTTTAAAAACCATTACCTTTCCTTAATGCCAGAGTGAGGCAGGGTAACCAATATCCACGCATTAAATTCAGAAACATTCCCGAACTTCATTTGAGTTCTTAGCTCTTCCTCCATCCACCAGACATTTTAATTATTAGCATTACCAGAGAGTAACACACTTGAACTCCATTCTCCTTCCCCTTGAGTCCCTATTAGGTTATAATGCTGTCTTAGTCCATTTGTG